>NC_000010.11:100294610-100597640 GCF_000001405.40 Homo sapiens | reverse complement strand
GACGGAGTCTCGCTCTGTCGCCCAGGCTGGAGTGCAGTGGCACGATCTCCGCTCACTGCAAGCTCCGCCTCCCAGGTTCATGCCATTCTCCTGCCTCAGCCTCCCGAGTAGCTGGGGCTACAGGCGCCCGCCACCGCGACCGGCTGATTTTTTGTATTTTTAGTAGAGACCGGGTTTCACCGTGGTAGCCAGGATGGTCTCGATTTCCTGATCTCGTGATCCGCCCGCCTCGGCCTCCCAAAGTGCTGGGATTACAGGCTTGAGCCACCGTGCCCGACCAGAGTGATTTGTTTTTAACGCAGCCTGTTTATGCCAGCTGCACATACTATTCTTATCTAATTTAACTAAATGTTACATAAACCAATAAAATACAAGTGCAAAACTAATGTTGCTGTTTGGAAAAATTCCATAACACCAACTTGCTTAAAGTTTTTGTTATCAAATTATGTATTGGTGAGACAACTGGAAAAGATGAGGAACAATCATAAAAAAAAACCTAGGAATTTCACTCATATTGGTTCTCAAATACTTTCCAATTCCCAATCAATGTTAAAGAAATCAAAGCTGAAAATGGCAGTCAGCACATTCTGGGTGTAGCTCATTAAAGAAAGATGAGGCTGGGTGTGATGACTCATGCCGGTAATCCCAGCACTTTGGGAGGCCGAGGCAGGTGGATCACCTGAGGTCAGGAGTTCGAGACCAGCCTGGCCAACATGGTGAAACCTCGTCTCTACTAAAAATACAAAAGTTAGCCAGCTATGGTGGCGGGCACCTGTCATCCCAGCTACTTGGGAGGCTGAGGCAGGAGAATCCATTGAACCCGGGAGGCGGAGGTTACAGTGAGCCCAGATCGCGCCACTGCACTCCAGCCTGGGCGACAAAGTCAGACTCTGTCAAAAAAAAAAAAAAGAGAGAGAGAGACGAAAGAAAGAAAGAAAGGGAGGAAGGAAGGAAGGGAGGAAGGGAGGGAGGGAGAAAGAGAGGGAAGGAGAGAGGGAGAAAGAGACAGAGAGAGAGAGAGAAAGAAAGAGAGAAAAGAAAGATGATGGTGAAATGTCAATCAGTGCATCCATACACAAAGAAAGGTCTTGGTCCTACATGAACAAAGTGGACAGCAAATATTCCTTTATTTGTTTTAAGTTAAAATTAAAAAAAAATTATGGTATGTAAAGGCAAACTGTGAAGTGGCCCCAGCCCTCCAGAAACGTAGGGTTTAGAGAGGGAAACTGATAAGAAAGTTATTGATCTTACTGGATTATAATGGAGGTTAATGGGACAGAGGGGAGGGGATGCCTAACTAGAGCAATGGCTGTAGAGGATTCCTGGATGGGCTGGTCTCTAAACCGGCTCTGCTCTCCCTCACATCTATCCCACAGCTCCTTTCAAATCTTCCTGCAGCATAAAAACTGAAGACTTGCCTTCTAGCTTTGTCCAATGGCCCCCTTAATTTCAGAACCCCCCACCCGCCTCTTTTTTTTAAAGACAGCGTCTCTTTCTTTCACCCAGGCTGGGGTGCAATGGCACAAACACGGCTCACTGCAGCCTCTACCTCCTGGGCTCAAGTGATCCTTTTGCCTCGGCCTCCCTTATAGCTGGGACCACAGGCATACACCACCACGCCTGGCTAATTTTGTTATATTTATTTATTTGTCTGTTTGTTTATTTATTTATTTTTGTAGAGATGTGGGTCTCACTTTTTTGCCCAGGCTGGTCTTGAACTCCTGGTCTCAAGCAATCCTCCTGCCTTGGCCTCCCAGAATGCTGAGATTACAGGTGTAATCTCATGCCTGTAATCTTACGCCCACATCCCAGTATTGACATAATCTCCAAGAGTGTTAGAGGGGAAATAGCTGTTTTCCCTGGCATTAAAGGGGAGCCTCAAGGATCACAGAATGCTTTTGGGAATTTCCATACGTGCATTTACTTCAACCTTTTTTGATTCTTTTTTTGTTTGTTTTGTTTTTTTGAGATAGAATCTTGCTCTGTCTCCCAAGCTGGAGTGCAGTGGTG
Source organism: Homo sapiens (assembly GCF_000001405.40). Lineage (NCBI taxonomy): Eukaryota > Metazoa > Chordata > Mammalia > Primates > Hominidae > Homo > Homo sapiens. Next base: position 100,595,630 of record NC_000010.11, on the reverse strand, counting down.
CGATCTCGGCTCACTGCAACCTCTGCCTCCTGGATTCAAGCCATTCTCCTACCTCAGCCTCCCAAGTAGCTGGGATTACAGGCATGCATCACCATGCCCAGCTCATTTCTGTATTTTGGTAGAGACAGAGTTTCACCATGTTGGCCAGACTGGTCTCGAACTCCTTGCCTCAAGTGATCCACATGCTTCAGCCTCCCAAAGTGTTTGGATTACAGGTGTGAGCCACCATGCCCGGCCTTTTTGATTCTTGATATACTATTTCAGCTGTGCTCCATCTCTCAGGGTGAGGTCTATGAAGAACTTGTGCAAAACAAGTTGTACTAATTTTCTTTTATTGTTTCTTAAAATTAATCTTTCTATTTTGAGGCAATTTTAGATTCATGTGCAGTTGCAGGAAATAAAACAATACCCTTTGCACAGTTTCACCTGCCTAATGGTAACATCTTACAAAACTGGAGCACAGTATCACAAGCAGGACATTGACATCAATAACAGCCAAAGTACAGAACATTTCGATCACCACTGGGATCATTTCTGTTGCCATTTTGTAGCCACACCTTCTTCTGCCTAGCCCTCACTCCCTTCGTAGCCACTGGCAACCACTAATCTGTTCTCCATTTTTATAATTTTGTCATTTCAAGAATATCACATAAATGAAGCCATACAATACGTAACCTTTTTTATTTTTTATTTTTTGATAAAAAAATAAAATCTCACTCTGTCACCCAGGCTGGAGTGCAGCGACGCCATCTCGGCTCACTGCAACCTTAACCTGGGTTCAAGCAATTCTGGTGCCTCAGTCTCCCAAGCAGCTGGGACTACAGGTGCACACCACTACACCCGGATAGTTTTTTGTATTTTTAGTAGAGATGGGGTTTTGTCATGTTGCCCAGACTGGTCTCAAACTCCTGACCTCAAGTGATCCGCCTGCCTCGGCCTCCCAAAGTGCTGAGATAAAAGGTGTGAGCCACCGCGCCCGGCCAGTGTGTAACCTTCTGAGACTGGATTTTTCACTCAGCATAATTTTCTGGAGAATCTAGGTCTAGGTCACTGCATGTACTATTACTTCATTCTTCTTTATTACTAGGTAGTATTCCTTGGCATGGATGTACCACCATGCACCATTCACCCACTGAGGGATATCAGGATTATTTCCGGTTTGGGGTTATGATTAATAAAGCTGCTATGAACAGTTGTGTACAGGTTTTGTGAGGACATCATTATAAACACCTAGGAGTACACTTGCTGGATCCTATGATAAGTGTATGTTTAATTTTTTTAAGAAACTGCCAAACTATTTTCCAAAGTGACTATACCATTTGACATCCCCACCAGCAATGTGTCAGTGACCATCCCTGCATTCTTGCCAGCATTTGGGATTGTCACCTACATTTTTTTTTCTGTTTTTAAGAGATGGGGTCTTGCTATATTGTCCAGGCTGGAGTGCAGTGGCTATTCATAGGTACAATCCCACTACCAACAGGCGTGTATGATATCTCACTGGGTTTTTTAAAAAAATTATCCTAATGAGCTAATTTTTCTGAACATCTTTTCGTGTGATTATTTGCCATATGTATATATCCTCTTCAGAGAAATGTCTCTTCATGTCTTTTGCCCATCTTCTAATTGGTTTATTGGTTTTTGTTTTGTTTTTACTGTTGAGTTTTAAATGGTCTTTTTAAATTTATTTATTTATTTATTTTTTTCGAGAGAGAGTCTCACTCTGTTGCCCAGGCTGGAGTGCAGTGGGCGTGATCATGGCTCACTTCAACCTCCACCTCCCGGGCTCAAGCAATCCTCCCACCTCAGCCTCCCAAGTAGCTGGAACTACAGGTACGCACCACTAGGCTTGGCTAATTTTTAAAATTTTTTGTAGAAATGAGGTCTCACTATATTGCCCAGGCTGGTCTCAGGCAATTCACCCACCTCAGCCTCCCAATGTGTTGGGATTACAGGTGTGAGCCACTGTGCCTGGTCTAAATATTCTTTATATATTCTAGATATTAGTTCTTTGTTGGACATGTGGTTTGCTAATATTTCATCTCAATCTCTAGTTTGTCTTTTCATCCTCTTAACAGAGTCTTTCATAGAGCTAAAATATTAAAATTGATAAAGTCCAATATATCAATTTTTCCTTATATGGATCATGCTTTTATTTTTAAAAATTTTATTTTAAAAATTTTATTTTAAAAAATTTAATATCTTCATGACTTTTTTTTTTTTTTTTTTTTTAGAGACAGGGTCTCACAGTGTTGACAAGGCTGGTCTCAAACTCCTGACCTCAAGCAATCCTCCCACCTCGGTTTCCCTAAGCACTAGGATTACACGTATGAACCACCATGCCCAGTTTCTGGCTCATACTTGTGGTATCAAGTCTAAGAATTCTTTGCCTAGTCCTAGATTCTGATGATTTTTGCCTATGTTCTTTACTAAATGTTTTATAATTTTATATTTTACATTTGTGCACTTGAGTCTGTGATTCAATTTTTTTGTTGTTGTTTGGTTTTTGTTTGTTTGTTTGTTTGTTTTGAGACAGAGTTTTGCTCTGTCACCAGGCTGGAGTACAGTGGTGCGGTCTCGGCTCACTGCAACCTCCGACTCCCTGGTTCAAGCAATTCTCCTGCCTCAGCCTCCTGAGTAGCTGGGGTTACAGGCATGTGCCACCATGCTCAGCTAATTTTTGTATTTTTAGTAGAGACGTGGTTTCACCATGTTGGCCAGGATGGTCTTGATCTCCTGACCTCATGATCTGCCCACCTTGCCCTCACACAGTGTCGGGATTACAGGCGTGAGCCACCATGTCCAGCCTGTGATTCATTTCAAGTTAAACTGTGAATAAGGTGTGAGACCTTAGGTTGAGGTTTTTTTCCTTTTTTTGGTGGGGGTGGGGGCAGGGGGTAGCTACAGATATCCACTTGCTCCAGAGCCATTTGTTGAAAAGACCATCTTTCTTCCATTGAGTTATTTTTGTACTTTTGCCAAAAATCAGCTGGGCATATTTGTGTGGCTGTATTTCTGGATTCTCTATTCTGTTTCATTAATCTATGTGTATATACCTCTACCAATCTCTTGGTTACTATAGCTTTATCCTTCTTTTTCAAAATTGTTTTTAGCTATTTTAGCTCCTTTGCCTTTAACAGATAAATTTTAGGATAATCTTATCTATATTTGCAAAACATCTTGCTGTGATTTTCACAGGAATTTTGTTAGACCTGTATATCAACTTGGGAAGAATCAACATCTTTATTGTATTGAGTCTTCCAATTTTTTTTTTTTTTTTTTTTTTTTTTTTGAGACAGCGTCTCACTCTGTCACCCAGGCTGGAGTGCAGTGGCATGATCATGGCTCACTGCAGCCTGGAACTCTTGGGCTGTGGAGAGATGATCTTTCCACTTCAGCCTCCTGAGTAGCTATGACTGCAGGTGTGCATCACCATGCCTGACTAATTTTTTTGTATTTTTTGTAGAGATGGAGTTTCGCCATGTTGCCCAAGCTGGTCTCCAACTCCAGGACTAAAGCGATCTGCCTGCCTCAGATTCCCAAAGTGCTGAGATTACAGGGGTGAGCCACCACACTTGGCTAAGTCCTCCAATCTGTAAATATGGTATGTCTCTTCATTTATTTATTGGATCTTCTTTTATTTATTTCATCAGCATTTTGCAGTTTTCAGTACACAAGTTCTGCATGTTTTGTTGTATTTACATCTGAGTATTTTATTTTACTTTTGAGTGACTGTAAATAGTGTTTCATTTTTAATTTCAGTGTCCATCTGTTCATTGCTAGTATGTAGAAATACAATCGATGTTTTTGCATATTTATCTTGTATTCTTCAACCTTGCTGAACTCACTTTTTAGTTCTAGAACTTTTTTTGTAGATTCCTTTGGATTTTCTCAGCAGAAAAGAATGTCTTCTTTTCTGATCTGTATGCTTTTTTTTTTTTAACAGAATCTTGCCAGGCTGGAGTCCAGTGACATGTTCTCAGCCCACTGCAACATCCACCTCCCAAGTTCAAGCGATTCTCGTGCCTGTCTCCCGAGTAGCTAGGACTAGAGACATTTGCCATCACGCCTGGCTAATTTTTGTATTTTTGGTAGAGACAGTGTTTTGCCATGTTGGCCAGGTTGGTCTTGAATTCCTGGCCTCAAGTAATCTACTCGCCTCGGCCTCCCCAAGTACTGAAATTACAGGTGTGAGCCACTGTGCCTGGCCTGATCTGTATGCTTTTTATTTCCTTTTCTTGTATTATGGCACCGGTTTAGATATTCCAATTTGATTTTGTCAAATGCTTTTTCTGCATCAACTGATATGATTATGTGATTCTTCTTCTTTAGTCTGTTAATAGGGTAAAGTACATTAGTTGATTTTTGAATATTGGATCAGCCTTTCATCCTTGGAATAAACTCCAACTACTCATGGTATCTAATTTTTATTATATATTGCTGGGTTCTATTTGCTAGTATTTTCTTGAGTGTTTCTACATTTATTTTCATGAAGAATATTGGTCTGTAATTTTCTTTTTTTTCTTTTTTTCATACCATCTTTGATGATGGGTAATATTAGTTTCATAAAATTAATTGGAAAGTGTTCCCTCTTCTTCTATTTTCTGGAAGAGATTACATAATGTTGTTCCTTCTTCTTTAAACATTTGTTAGAACTCTCCAGTAAAACCATATAGGCCTGAAGATTTCCTTTTTGGGGAGTTTTTAAATTATGAATTCAATTTCCTTAATAGAGGGCTATTCAAATTATCTATTTCCTGTTGGGGGAGTTGGGGTAGTTTGTATTTTTAAAGAAATTTGTCCAGTTCATCTAAATTGTCAATATTTATATGTGTAGTTTTTCATAGTATTCCATTATCCATTTGATGTCTGCAGGGTCTGTAGTGATATCTCTTGTTTTATTCTCGATATGGGTAATTTGTGTCTTCATTCTTTATTTTTTGTCAGTCTTGCTAGAGGATTATTAGTTTTATTGATCTTCCAAAGAACTAGCTCTTTGTTTCACTGATTTTCTCTATCATTTTCACATTTCTAGTTTTGTTGGCTTTTGCTCTTTTCTTTATTGTTTCCTTCCTCCACTTGCTTTGGATTTCCTTTGCTCTTCTTTTTCTAGATTCATGAAGTAGAAGCTTAGATGGTTGATTTGAAATTTTCTTCTTTTCTAATGCATAAATTTGGTGCTATAAATTTTCCTGTCACCACTGCTTTAGCTATGACTCACAAATTTTAAGATGTTGTATTATCATTTTTGTTCAGTTTGGTGTATCTTTGTGACTACCTCTTTGACCCATGGATTATTTACAAGTGTGTTGTTTTGTTTCCAAGTGTTTGAAGATTTTCTTGCAATCTTTCTATTATCAATTCAATTTTTTAAAAATTCCATTTGTGGTCAAAGAACACACTCTATATGATTTCAATTCTTTTAAATTTGCTGAGTTTGTTTAATGGCTCAGCATATGCTCTATCTTGGCATATGTCCTATGGGCACTTGGAAAAAATGTGTATTTTGCTGTTGTTGAATGGAGTGCTTTATAAATGTCAATGAGACCCTAATAGTTGATGGTATTGTTGAGTTATTTTGGTTTTCTATCTATTTAGTTCTATCAATTGTTGAGGGTGTGTTGAAGTCCTCAACTATGTATTTGTCTGTTTCTTCCTTCAGTTCTATCAGGTTTTGCTTCACATATTTTGCAACTCTGTTGCTTGGTGCATAGACATTTAGGATTGTTATGTCTTCTTGATGGATTGACACTGTTATAATTACATCACGTCCCTCTCCATCTGAGATAATTTTCTTTGCTCTAAGGTAGACCTTATCTGATATTAATGTAGCCATTCCTATTTTGATTCACATTTGTATGATATATCTTTTTCCACCCTTTTTCTTTCAGTCTGCTTATATAGTTATACTTGAAGTGAGTTTCTTATAGGCAGCATATAGTTGGATCATAAATACCAATCAATTCTGCCAAGCTATGTTTTTTAGTTTATGTACATAGGCCATTTATATTTAATGTAATTATCAATGTTAGGGCCTAAGTCTGCCACTTTATTTTTTGTTTGCTGTTATTTCTGTTTTTTATTTGTTTTCTTTTTCCTGCCTTTCTGGGGTAACTTGAACATATTTTAGAATTCTACTTTTATTTTTCTGTATTGTTTTTGAGTGTATCACTTCATATAGCTTTTGTAACATATATATATATATATATGTAGCTTATCACAGTCTATTGGTCATTATAATTTTACCAGTTCAAGTGAACTGTAGAAACTTTATCTCCCTTTACATCCCTTTATCCTCATCTATTTATAATTGACTTACATATTGCCCCTACATACATCAGATAGTGTTATAATTTTTGCTTCAATAGTCAAACACAATTTAGAAAATTTAAGAGGAGAAGGAAAGTTTATTGTATTTATCCAGTTTTAGCTTGCTGTGTTCTTTCTTCCTTCCTGACGTTCCAATATTTTTTCTAATCATTTCCTTTCTATTTAGAAAACTTCCTTTAGCCATTATTTAGGGTGAATCTGCTGGTAATGCATTCTCTTAGTTTTCCTTCATCTGAGAATGTCTTCATTTTCCCCTTATTTCCCTTTTTTTCTTTCTAATAAATGAACCTACATGGATTCGTCATTATCACCCAAAGTCCATCATTTACATTAGGGTTCAGTCTTAGTATTGTGCATTCTATGGGCTTGAAGAAATATATAATGACATGTATCTACCATTATAGTATCATATAGAGTATTTTCACTGCCCTCAAAATCCTCTGTGGTCTGCCTATTTATCCCTCCCTCCCCCAAACCCTTGGCAACCAGTGATCTTTTTACTCTCTCCACAGACTTTCCTTTTCCAGAATGTCATATAGTTGAAATTTCATAGTATGTAGCCTTTTCAAACTGACTTCTTTCACTTAGTAATATGCATTTAAGTTTTCTTCATATCTTTTCATAGCTTGATCAATTATTTCTTTTTAGTGCTGAATAATATTTCATTGTCTAGATGTACCACAGGTTATCCATTCACCTACTGAAGTACATCTTGTTTACTTCCAAGTTTTGTCAACTATGAATAAAACTGCCATAAACATTTGATATAGGTTTTTGTGTATTTCAACTCCTTTGGGTACACAGCAAGGAATGTGATTGCTGGATTGTATGGTATTGGTGTGTTCAATTTTGTAAGAAACTGCCAAACTATCTTTCAAAGTGGCTCTATCCCCTTCATTTCTGAAAGATATTTTTGCTGAATATTTTAGGCTGACAGTTCTTTTATTTCAGAAAAATGTGTCACCACTGTGTTCTTCTGGCCTCTATGGTTTCTGATGAGAAATCCACTATCGTTAAAATTGTCTTTTTCCTGTAGGTAAGGTGTCATTTCATTTTAGCTGCTTTCAAGATATTTTTCTGCACCTTCATTGTCAGAAGTTGGACAAGATGGTCTTAGGACAGATTTGCATTTGTCTTGTTTGGGGTTCACAAAACTTCTTGAATCTATTGATTCATACCTTTTGCCAAATTTGGGGAAATTTTGCCATTCTTTCTTTGAGTCCTTTTTCAGCCCTGCTCTCTTTCTCATTTCTTCTGAAACTCCAATGACACAACTGTTAGATCTTTTATCATAGTCCTGCAGTCTATTTTCAGTGTATTTTCTCTCTGTTGTCCAGATATGGTAATTTATATTGTTCCATTTTCCTGTTTTCTGGTTCTTTCTTCTTTCCTTTTCATTCTGCTTTTGAGTCCATCCATCAAAGTTTTTACTTCTGTTATTATATTTTTCAATTTAATTTTTCTAGTTTATCCTTTATATATTCTGTTTATTTGATGAGACTCTTTTTTCATTTGTTTGAAAGGTGTTCATAATTGTTTTATAAGCATTTTTGTGGTGATTGTTTTAAAATGTTTGTCAGATAATTCTAACATCTTTGGCATCTATTGATTGTCTTTTTCCATTCATTTTGAGATCTTCCTGGTTCTTGGTATGATGAGTGATTTTTAATTGAAACTTGGATGTTTTGGGTATGTTATGAGACTCTTGATCTTATTTAAACTTTCTTTTTTAGCTGAGTTCCTCTGACATCGCTCTAGCAGGTGAGGGGGCTGATCACAGTAGGGTAGAAGTTCAGATTTCCCATTTGGCCTCTCTTCTTGTTGCTGCTGGTCAGAGGTAGGAGTTCCAGCTCCCAACCAATGTCTCCACTGATACCTCCCTAGCTGCGAGGGATAGCAGTGCCTTGTTACTGCTACCCATATGGCCTCCATCGACACCAAGGGTGTGTGTGTAAATTCCTGACTCTACTAGGCCTCCTCGGTGATGTAGAGGAAGGGGTGCCTCATCACTGCTGGGTGGGGTAGAGTATAGGCTTCTCACATGGTCTCCACTGACTTTTGTTCCCACAAGCAGAGATGAACATCCAGGCTCTCTACTTGGCCTTCCCTGAATACCCTGCAGGGAGCTGGCATGCCTTACTACAGCCTGGTGAGGGCAGAAGTTAAGGCTCACCACTTAATCACTCAGCCTTTGCTGGCCTGAATGGGGATGGGGCTACAGGTTTTTCTGTGGTGTTTGACTGGAGTAGAGTGGTTATTGTCTAAAAATACTCTCTCTGGGCTACCCACTTTCTAGCCCTTTGACTACAGAGAGAAGGCTTTTTGTTGAGGCTTTTATTTTGCAGGGGTGGGGTGGGGTCTGTACTCAGCATTTCCAGGTTGCTGGCTTATTTTGCTCCAAGTCTGGGATACATGAGGTGAGGCAAAAACAAAATCCAGGAAACTCACCACCATGTTGTTCCTTAGATTCCAGGGTCTCTGGCTGGTCTGCCTTCTTCTCTACATGTTTCAGAGTCTTCTTGTGTTTGCTTTATACATATTGTCCAGGGTTTTTAGTGGTACTTAGTGGAAAGACTAGAGAAAGTATGTCTACTCCATCTTCCCAGGATGGAAACCTCTTTTTGATCATTTTCATGCCAATCATTCTGCTGATCCTTCAGGACATAGCAGGCACTGTGTAGGCTCTGCAGGGTGAGCAGAAATAAACAGGTCATGGCTCCTGTAAGCCAGGACCTCACTACTCAGTGGGACAGACAGCTGTGTCTCATATAGCTTTACACTCGATCACAATTAAGAGCATGGCTTCAATCAGACAGGACTGAGTCCCAATTCCAGCTCTGACACTTTCAAGCTCTGTGACCCTGAATAAGTTAGTTAATCCCTCTGAACTTCAGTCTCCTAACTTACAAAATATGGGAGAGATTAGTCCAATTTCTTTATGTTTTTCTTTTTCTTTTTTTTTTTTTTAGACGGATTCTCACTCTGTCGCCAGGCTAGAGTGCAGAAGCACGATCTCGGCTCTCTGAAACCTCCGCCTCCCGGGTTCAAGTGATTCTCCTGCCTCAGCCTCCTGAGTAGCTGGGACTACAGGCATGCACCACCACACCTGGCTAATTTGTGTATTTTTAGTAGAGATGGGGTTTCACCATGTTGGCCAGGATGGTCTCGATCTCTTGACCTCGTGATCTGCCTGCCTCAGCTGCCCAAAGTGCTGGGATTACAGGCATGAGCCACCGTGCATGGCCCGATTAGTCCAATTTCATAGATTGTTGGTGGATTAAATTAAATGAAATAGTGCATTTAAATCACTTTGCATGGTGTCAGCACATGGCAAGTGCTTAGTAAATATTAGTTGTTGCTCTTAAAAGGCAGGCTGGGCCAACTGTAATAATTTTTTTTCAGCCTTGTCCATTGCAGACAGAGGTGTCCCCGTGACTTACTTTGTGCTTACTGCTTCTCTTTTCTCTTTAATCAATTGTGGGAACCTTTTCCACCTGTCTCTTTAGAGGGGTTAAGATGAATGGGTACACAGGATGAGGGGCAAAAGAATGTTCACTTTCTGTTTTTATTCATTCATTCCTTTATTTATTCATGCATTACTGCATCAAATCGTTATAGAACACTAACCCTGTGCTTGGCACCATAAGGAGAACTGAAAATCTAGCTGAATAGGCAGCAAAGTAATGATAATTCTGACAGACTCTAAGTGCCAAGAAGGATACAATCAAAATACTCTGAGCTCAGAAAGAGGAGAAATCACATTTGAGTAGAAGAATCAAGGAAGGATTCTTGGAGAAAGGGGCATCTGAGTTGCACTTCAATAGATAGACATGGAGAATGGGCATGAGATGAGCAAAAACTTAGAGACAGAAAAGCAAAAGTTGTCTCCTTAGAAAACAAATAGTGACGTTTGGCTACATGTGTATTTGTAAGGGATAGAATGAGAAGAGGCTGGAAAGTATGCTGGGGCTACTATTTAGAGCTTTGGATATAAGGTGTATAAGTCAGGATTAGAGTTGACTACAAGCAGTCAAATTACAATAGCTTAGACACATAAGGGTTTATGTTTCTCTGGTATAATAAGTTCAGACTTTGACAATCTGGGATTCGTGTGGCAGTTCTACTGTCACCAGGAACCCAGACTCTGTAGATCCTCAGCAAGTGCTTCCATCTTTAAGGCTGGCCCATAGTCCAAGATGGAGCTGGAGCTCCAGCGCACCAGGCAGGCAGGAAAAAGAAAGGAAAGACAGGCAATCTATCCAACTATCTACCTTCTTTATGGAACTTTTAAAGAATCCTCCAGGAAGTGGTACCTAACAACTTATATTTATATTTTATTGGCTGGAACTTAACCACATGGGCACTTATCTGCAAGGGATGCTGAGAAATAAAGTTCTTAAAAATCTGGGCATATTGCTTTAGATAAGATATGAGTTCTATTACCAAAGATGAAAAGGAGAATGGATACTGAATTGGCAACTGGAAAGTTCTGCAAAATCAGAGTAAAGAGTTTAGACTTAATTCAGTAGGAAGTGGGAGCCCTGTGGTGGATTGTTTAGCAGAAGACAGGTACAATGCAAATTGTTGACTTGAAAGATTAGTCTTGGAGTGTGGAAAACAGATTGCAGTAGAAAGATCAGAGGCAGAGAGATCAGTTAGAAGGCAATGTTACTGGTCAAGGGGGGAAGTGATGAAGATATGCAATAGAAAGTGAAAGGGACAGAGGGGAGACATATTTCAGGAGTGTATTATTAGATTGGCAGCTGATTGGATGTGAGTGTTAAAGTAAACCGTAGATTGATTTTTCAATGGAAAACTTCAGACAGTTGACCGATGGACATGGAATTGAATGGTAGGGCCATTTCTGGAAAGAGGGAAATCAGTAGAAGAGCTTATTTGAGGCAAGGCGATGAGCTTGGTTTGGAACAAAAGGCTTAGGCAAAACATTTATGTCAATGGTTCTCAAAATGTGGTCCCCAGACAAACAGCATCAACATCACCTGGGGATTTGTTAAAAATGAAAATTCATAGATTAGATGCGAGTCCTACTGAATCAGAAACTGTGGGGTTAGGGACCAGCAATCAGTGTGTTTTAACAAATACAGATTGTATATCCATACATTAAAGCAATAAACAATAGGATATTAAATAGAGATGTTTAAAACATTTCATTTACAACAGCATCAAAAATATTGAATATTGGCCAGGCACAGTGGCTCAGGCCTGTAATCCCAGCACTTTGGGAGGCCGAGGCGGGTGGGTCACTTGAGCCCAGGAGTTCGAGACCAGCCTGGCCAACATGGTGAAACCCTGTTTCTACTGAAAATACAAAAATTAGCTGGGTGTGGTGGCAGGCACCTGTAATCCCAACTACTCAGGAGGCTGAGACAAGAGAATCGCTTGAGCCTAGGAGGCAGAGGTTGCAGTGAGCCAAGAATGGGCCACTGCACTCCAGCCTGGGTGACAGTACAAGACTCTGTCTCAAAAAAAGAAAAAATTAAATATTTAGGGATTAATTTAATCAATAATGTACAAGCCCTGTATCCTGAAAACCATAAAACATTGCTGAGAGAAAGTAAAAGAAGACCCAAATAAATGGAGAAATATGTTCATGCATTGGAAGACTCAATATTGTTAAGGTGCTGATAATCGCTAAATTGATCTACAGATTCAATGCAATCTCAAAATCCCAGCAGGCTTTTTTTTTTATTTGTAGAACTTGACAAATGGATTCTAAAGTGTATATGGAAATGCAAAAACAACTTTGAAAAATAAAGTTGGAAGGCTTACATTACCTAATTTTAAGATTATAGAGATACTGCAGTGCAGTATGATATTGGTATAGAGACAGAAAAACAGATCAGTGGAACAGAATAGAGTCCAGAAATAAAATCACACATAGATGATCAATTGATTCTTGAAAAAGTACCAAGGCAATTCAATGAAGAAAGGATAGTCTTTTCAACAAATGATGCTGGAACAACTGAATACACATGTGCAAACACAAACACACAAAAATAAACCTCAACCCTTACCTCACACTGTATACTAAAATTAACTAGAAAAGTATCATAGACCTAATATAAGAGCTAAAACCATTAAACTTCTATAAGAAAACATAGGAGAAAATCTTAGTGATGGGTTTGGCAAAGATTTCTTAAATGTGACCCCAGGCTGGGTGCAGTGGCTCACATCTGTAATCCCAGCACTTTGGGAAGCTGAGGCAGGTCGATCACTTGAGGCCAGGAGTTTGAGACCAGCCTGGCCAACATGGGGAAACCCTGCCTCTACTAAAAATACCAAAAAAAAAAAAAAAAAAAAAAAAAAAGCCAGATGTGGTGGCGCACACCTGTAGTTCCAGCTGCCTAGGAGGCTGAGGCAGGAGAATCGCTTGAACCTGGGAGGCAGTGACTGCAGTGAGCCAAGATCACACCAATGCACTCCAGCCTGGGTGACAGAGTGAGACTGTGTCTCAAAAAAAAAAAAAAAAGAAAGAAAAGTGACCCCAAAAAGCACACACTTAAAAAAAAAACAATAAATTGGATTTAAATTTTAAAATGTTTGCTCTTCAAAAGATATTGTTTTAAAAAATGAAAAGGTGGCTGAGCACAGTGGCTCACACTTATAATCCCAGCACTTTGGGAGGCCGAAGTGGGTGGATCACTTGAGGTCAGGGGTTCGAAACCAGCCTGGCCAAGAAGGTGAAAACTCATCTCTACTAAAAATATAAAAATTAGCTGGGGGTGGTGGCACATGCCTATAGTCCCAACTACTCAGGAGGCTGAAGCAAGAGAATCACTTGAACCCAGGAGGCGGAGGTTGCTGTGAGCTGAGATTATGCCACTGCACTCCAGCCTGGGCAACAGAGGGAACTCAGTCAAAAAAAAAAAAAAAAAAGAAAGAAAGAAAGAAAAGGTAAGCCACATACAGGGAGAAATTATTTGCAAAACATATATCCAATGAAGCACTTGTGTTCTAGAATACATAAGGAACACATTAAAAAAGTACAAAGACAACAATCCAACTTTTTAAATAAGCGAAAGATATGAATAGATACTTAACCTAAGAAGACAATGAATGGCAAATAAGCACCTGAAAAGCTACTCAATATTATTGCTCATTAGGAAAATGCAAAGTAAAAGATATACCACTACATCCCCACTGGATTGGCTAAAGTTTAAGACTGACCATACTAGATGTTGACAAGAATGTGGAGCAATTGAAATTTCATACATTGCTGGTGAGTGTGTAAATGGTACAACCAGTTTGGAAAACAGTCTGGCAGATCCTCATAGAGTTAAACATATACTGACTATATGACCTAGCCATTCCCCTCCCAAGAGAAATAAAACCACAAAGATTTTGACATGAATATTCTTAGCAGCTTTATTTGTAATAGCCCCAAACTGGAAACAACTCAAGTGTCCATCAACAGGTGAACAGGAATACAAATTGCTGTATATTCATACAATAGATAACTACTTAGTAATAAAAAGGAATGAACTATTGATACATGCAACAATGTGGATTAATCTCAAAATAACTATACTGAATAGAATAAGCCAGAAACAATAAATAGTATACATAGGATTCCATTTACATAAAATCCTAGAAAATATAAATTAACGTATAGTGACAGAAACAGGTTAATGGTTGCCTGGAGATGGGTTTGGATGTTGAGGGGAGGAAAGAAGGGATTACAAATGAGAACAAGGAGATTCCGAGGGGATGGTGGTAGTGTTCACTATTTGGATTGTGGTGTTGTTTTCATGGATGAATTCATATGTCAAAACTTATCAAATTGCTTATTTTAAAGATATGCAGTTCATTATATATCAATGATATGTTAATAATGCTGTAAAAAATACTCCCTGACCCTGCCCCAGGTCTACTGAATCACTCTGTGATTAGGGCCTAGCAATCTGTGTTTTGACAAACACTCCAGGTGATTCTGATACACAGTAAAGTCTGAGAACCGCTAACTCCCAGCAGGTGGTTGAAATAAGGCTCTGGACTAGAGTACAAACTTGAGAGTTACCTGGTTGGAGGTCAAAGGTTGAAGTTGTAGGAAGAGGGGATTTAGAGAGTAAAGAACAGAAAGCAAGAGGTGGAGACTTAGAGAAAACCCACCCTCAGGAGATTGGAGGAGAAGGAGGAACAGGTGACAGAAACAAGGAAGTAGCAGGCTGGGGTTAGGGGAAGGAATGTAACAGATGCCAAAGAAGGGACTTCAGGATACAGAGTGATCAATAGTGATGACACCAATGGGATACCTTCTATTTGCATAACTGCTTTCTAGTTTCCAAATAGTTTTCATGTTCATCAGTGCATTAACCATGTCAAGATGAGCAGACAAACATGGAAAATGTTGTGCCTGGTAGGCCCCACAGTCAATAAGAAAGAGCCAGGATTAGGAGTCAGAGAGATCTGGGTGGAATCTGGCTCCTTTACTTACTCATGTGTACATTTTGTCAAGTTTCTTGAACTGAGTCTCTCTTTCTCTATGTTCAAAATGGAGATAAATTCTACCCACTAACAGGGTAGAATCTTTATGGTAGTTAAAATACCTGCACCAGATACTGGCAAAGTTGTTAGTGTCTTTACGCTCTCCACCTCCACCTCAACCTCATGATTCCTCATCTTACACATAAAGAAACAGAGGCCCAGTGGGGGTAAGTGATGTACCCAAGGTCAGAGGACTGGTAGGCACTCCAAGTTTGAAAGCACATTCTTGACTTGGAATCCATGAACCAACTGGGCAGGTCCATGGTGGGTCTTGCGGGTTCTGTGAAACTCCTAAAGCCACATGCAGACTGGGTAAGAAGGTGATGTTTTCTGAGCAAGTGTCCATTATCTACAATGGCATCTCCAAGAGGGCCAGGATCTAAAAAGATTATGAACTTCTGCTCAGAGGTCAGCTGTGTTTATTTTTCCCTAAGTTTCTTGATTCACACCTTCCCATATTCTCAGCCACCCATCTTCCTATCATACGTCTCCTTCCAGAACATAGTTTCACTCCCTCTCTGCTGACTGACCAGTCTGCAAACCAGGGAACTTGCTTCATGGTCTCAACATAAATCATTCATTCACTCCCCAAGCAACTGCTGATCACCAGTTCTACACTGGCACGGGGGAAAGGCAGATGAAGATCCTCCTTTGAAGGAGCTTACAGACCAGTAGAGGAGATAGGGCAGGAACAGAGATAAAAGGCAGCCTGTGGCCAGAAACGTGAGAGAAGGAGCACAAGTAAAGGTCATTTGGGAAGACCGCATTTGGACTGCTTGCAACATGGACCCCTGGGAATCTCTCTATCCACAGGTCTGTCCATTCAGATATGGGCAACCTTCAGCTTCAGCTTCATTCTTCAAACCGTCACAACCTGCCTACCACCAACTACTTTGATGAAGTGCTCATCTCAAAGTCAGCTACCAGGAAACTCTTGCCCTCTTTGGCAGACTCTGCCACCTTTCTCTTTCTTGCTTTCTGTAGCGTTGAGCCGTGCTGGCTGGCACCTCCTCAGGTCTCCTCCTTCCCTTGGCTTTCATGCCAACAGCAGCTCCAGGTCTCCTCTTCTCTAGGGACTCTTCTATTTCACTCACATGCCCCCTTAATGACTGTGTTGTCACAGCTCCATCCGCAGCCCACACCCCCTCCTTCCCACACACTCACCCTGGTGACCTCATCCAGGCCCAGGGCTCCCTTGACCACACTGGCACTTCTTTTTTCCATTCAGACCTCAGAGGTCAGCTCGGAATATCTGCATCTCCTGCTGGAAGTTCCTCAAGAATCTCAATCTCAACTCATCTACAATGAACTCACCAAATCTCCCTGCCCCAAATCTATTTGTGTATTCCCAGAGGCAGCCACCCAAACCGGAAACCCGGGGGTCATTGTGAATGCCATCTTTTCATCACCCCTTTCATCTAAGCAATAGCTAAGTCTTGTGAGTTTTCCCTCTTGAGAGCTTTTCAACTGGCCTCATGTGCTGCTTCTGCCTTAGCTGTGGCCTTCATTTTCTCTGCAGTACCCAGCAGTAGGCTTCAAACTCTGCCTTCCAGTGGTCTCCTCTAGCCCCAGTCCAGTCTGTTACAGTGAATAACAGTAACGAATCTTCACTAAGGGCATTTTCACATGCCAGCCTGACCTATACAATCTCACTTCATTCTTGCAACAACCCTAAGAGGCAGGCACTATTATTATTCCCATTTCATAGATGAGGCGATCAAGGCACAGAGAGGTTAAGTAAGTTGTTAGCAACACAGCTAGTAAGTAAGTGGCAGTGCCAGGATTATTCCACAATGCAAATCTTAATTATGTCATATATTGTCCTAAAATCCTTTATGGGCTCCCCATCCCCTTAATACAACGACTCAAATTCTTTAGCCCAGCAGACCTATCCACCTCTCCTGTGCCATCTTTACCTCTGGGTTTTAGTACATACTGGTCTTCCTGCCAGAAACTCCCTTTTCTCTCTGTCTCCCCTCCTGACTTTTTGTGGCCTGTGTAACCCCTACTCATTCTTCTAACCTCAGCCCAGGCATTGTCTCACACTGAAACCTTCTTTGATGCTCTGCTCTCTCCAGTTTGGGTCGGTGCCTGTGGTGAACACTACAACGTGCCACTCAGATCCCCTTCAATGTGGGACTTATCACCAGTTGCTCGGAGTGCTAGCACACAGGCCTCAGCTGTCACCTCCCATAGGAGAATGGCTTCAGCGGAAGAAAGCTCCCTGGCCCAAGGTTACACCAACTTCCTGGGCCCACCCTTATCCCTGACCCATCAGTGTCAGAGTATAAAAGCCGAGCCCTCTGGCCACAACTTGGGAAAAAGCTGAAGGGCCATTCCAGCTCCAGAGTAACCCAGAGGGCAGGTCTTGGCCCAACCTGACTCCCTCCTCTCCCTTCCACAGGTTCTTATCTCCAGAGTTCCCTGCACATTAATCTCCATCTCAGAATCTGCTTCCTTGTGAAGCCCCCAGTGCTCACGTCCCCCCAGCTAGGCTCTGAGCTCCCTGCAGACTCTGATAAAGGGCTGGGGTGCTACCGGAGAAAGGCGCAGTCCCCCATGAGCCCTAGCCCCAGGGGTAGCTCTTTAAACATGGGGCAATACATGACAAAACTTCTGCCTTCATCCATTCACCTGCTCACAGCTTCTTAATCAGATAATTCATCTCCAGGTGGCCTTGGACTTCCTGGCCCCAGATGAGTCATTAATTTGGTGACTCTTGCTGTCCTCCAGTACTCCCAAGCCACACCCCCAGTAACCCCCAAACTAGACCGTGAGGCCAGAGCCTTGAATCTGTGAGGTTTCAACACCCTGTCACACACTGGGACCACTCTGAAAACAAGTTACTCACACTAACACCACTTTCAGCTGTGATAATACGAACAAGCAAAGCATGAGCACTCTCGGACCTCACATCCTTGAATTCCAAATTCCAAATCCCAAACCCTGATCCTCACATCAAAGAAATAGCACTGTGTCTTAGAAAAGGCATGACTTTAGAAGCAAATGAATCTGAGTTCAATTCCTGGATCTTCCCCTTATTGGCGGAGACCTTGGGTAAGAAACTTTAGATACCTGGCTCGGCATGGTGGCTCACACCTGTAATCCTAGCACTTTGGAAGGCTGAGGCGGGCGGATCACCTGAGGTGAGGAGTTCGGGACCAGCCTGACCAACGTGGTGAAACCCCATCTACTAAAAATACAAAAATTAGCCAGGCATAGTGGCGCACATCTGTTGTCCCAGCTATTTGGGAGGCAGAGGTTGCAGTGAGCCAAGATCGGGCCACTGCATTCCAGCCTGGGCAACAGAGCAAGACTCTGCCTCAAAAACAAAAAAGAAAAGAAAGAAAGAAAGAAACTTTAACTACCTGAAGCCTTCATCTCCTCATCTGTGGAAGAGATGCCATGGCAATCCCTTCTCATGAGGATTTGGTTTGTTTTTCATTAAGATACCATCTGTAAGACCCTCAGCACACAGAGGCCACTTGGTACCTGTTAGCTCTTTTCCTCTAAACTTGAGAATCCTGAGTCCACAGAGCCAAAATAATAATAAAATGGTAACTCTTGCTTGTATAGTACTGACTTTATGCCAGGGATTGTTCTAAGCAGTCTATTCTAACTCGGTCCTCAACAATCCTGCAAGGTACATACTAGTATTAACCTCATTTTGCACTTGAGGAAATGGGACACAGAGAAGTTACGTAGAATGTAGCCTTGAGAGCCACATTCAAGGAGCTGTCTAGGGGTCAAGACCCTGAGGAAGCGTCATTTACGGGTCTCAAAGGTCTGCTAAACATCAGCTGAAAGCCTGTCCAGGGAGCTGAAGAAGGGGAAGAATGGGAGCCTGGAGCAAGAGGAATATTTGTGAATCACAGAACTCAGTAGTTTGCCCGAGGTCACACAGCTAGAAAGAGGTCGAATTAGAACTTGGGCAGTCTGGCTCCAGAGTCTGTTATCTAGGTGTGGGAGGGCCTCATCTGTGAAATGGGATCACCTCCTCTGTAAATGGGAATAATAATAGTGCCTGCCTCTTAGGGTTGTTGTAAGAACGAAGTGAGATTGTATAGGTCAGGCTGGCATGTGATAAGTCCTCAGTGAAGATCCACTACTGTAATTTACTATACCCTGCACATAGTAGGTTATAAGGAAACTTGTTGATGTTGAGGAGGAGGAGGATGAAGGGCAGGGCAGGGGAGGAAGGAAGATGCCACTGTCTAGGCAGGTAATGAAGAAGGTTGAGGGAACAGGTTGGGGCCATGACCCAAAGGACACTCCAGGGCTTGCTTGGACACACTGGGGCCCAGGGGAGTGTGGAACTCAGAATATGAAAGAGTCTTGGGGGTGAGCTGTCCACGAGCCCGGAGGAGCCTCGAACTCTGACCAGGGCAGGGTGGAAAGCACAAGACATGGCCATGAACTTGTTGGTACTGATGTCAACCTTGGTTGCCGGCAGGTCAGTATGCATGCATAAAAGGGCGTGTTTGGTGCCTGTGGGTCTGAGTTGGAGCCTCTTGTAGGGGCATCAAGGAAGACTTCTTGGAACAGGTGACTTCTAAACGTGGCTTTAAAAGCTGTATTAATATAATGTGAATGGTGGTGAAGCAGGAAACTGCTGGCTGTCAGGGAAGGTGGCCAGTCTTGAAGGTCTTGTGGGGGGTGGGAGTAGTGGAATTGGAAGGGGTGAGTTGGGCCCATATGGTGCAGAGCTTGGAATGCCACACTGAACCATCTTTGCCAGTGGGGCACTTGCTTGGAATAATGCTTCAGAAAGAATAGCTAGGCAACAGGAGATGGGGGGGCAAAGATGAGGAGGGAAGCCATAACAGCCAGGAGGAATATATCCTGGGGTCACCCTTTGCCTGCATGCTTGTGAAGTCATCTCCTACATTCCCCTGGTCCCCTGACAGATTGATTATCCTGGGTGAAAGGAGAAGGGGACCATCAAAGAGTCATCGGTCCCTCGGGGTTTCGTGTTCTCGGAAAGCACGTAACTCTCATCATCTTGCTGCAGTGTAAGTGGGACCTGGAGATGGACAGTGCAGGGAGAATGCTGATGGCATGGAGAGAGGGCGGAGTTAGAGGAGGAAAGCAAGCCCAAATACATGGCGTACAGTGCCTATCCTATGAATATTTCTTGATCATTTGACTAAGAGAAAGACAGAAACACCCAAAGAGAGATACATACAAAGGGAAGAAGAAAAAGAGAAGATTCCTCCAGAAGAGGAATGTGTCTTATTTCTCATTTGTCTCCCATGGCACCAGCCAGTGCCTTGTACAGAGTAAAAGCTTGATATTTATTTGTTGAATTGAGAGACTCAGAGATTCATAAAGTGGCCAACAACTGAGATGAACACAAAAACGGGGAGAGCCAAGTTTTTTTGTGGGGGGTTGGTGGTCCTCCCTGCCCTTGCGGCCATCTGTTTGCCATCATTTCCATGCCCCATAACAAAAATGCAAGTCCCGGCCGGCGCAGTGGCTCATGCTTATAATCCCAGCACTTTGGGAGGCCAAAGCGGGTGGATCACCTGAGGTCAGGAGTTCCAGACCATCCTGGCCAATATGGTGAAATCCTGTCTCTACTAAAAATACAAAAATTAGCTGGGTGCAGTGGCAGGTGCCTGTAGTCCCAGCTACTCGGGAGGCTGAAGCAGGAGAATCACTTGAACCCAGGAGACAGAGGTTGCAGTAAGCCAAGATCGCGCCACTGCACTCCAGCCTGGCAACAGAATGAGGCTCCATCGCAAAAAAAAAGCAAGTCCAAAGGCTGGACTCAAGCCTGAAAAGTGAACAGGTCTCAAAAATGACTTACTTCAGAGGTATAACCCCAGGTCCTTGGAATCCTGGCAGGAAGGAAGAGGGGGTGGTCAGGAAAAGAACCCTAGGCCAGGACTAAGTTGATGGATTTGGGGGAAAGACTGCTTGAGCTCGCCGGGCATGGGGTAGGGGGTGGAAGGAGGTACTCTGCCTTCCCATGGTTCCCAGCCTCTCCCCTCATCATCCCAAACCCAGGCCCTGCTCAGAGGCAGCCTGTGACACACAAGTAAATGCCTTACTATGGGAGGCAGAGCTGAGCCATGCGTATGGGGACTCTTAGAGACAGAAGCAGGTAGATGGGGGAGGAGGAGGCAGAGAGGGAGGGTAGGGGAGAGGGAAAAGGAAAATAGAGGGGAAGAGGGAGAGAAGGGGGCAGAGAGAGGGGAGAGGGAGGAAGGGACAGAGACAGAGACAGAATGTTTTTCCCAAACTAGAAAATCACATAGTCAATACAAACAAGTATGTAACAGGTGCTAAACATAAACATCAGGGGCTCAGAGTCTGATGATCTTTCCAACTGTCAGCTCCTCAGTTTACCTGTTTATCTCTCTGATTAATGTGGCCCCATGGCATCACCAGCACCTAGATTCCTTTCACATCTCTTCTCTGTCATCCTTGGCATGTCAGCTTTTGAACTCAGGCTGAACCTCAGGGTGTCAAAAAGGCTGGAGCAACCCAACACATTACATCTTCACATAGCAAAGCGAGAATCCAGAAGGAGGAAAGGGGCACATCCCTTCCATCTATCCTTTTTTAAGACTGCAGTAAAATTTCCCAAAAGCTTCGTAATAGACTACCTCCCACATATCGATGGTCAGAATTGTATCATAGGCCAGGCATGCTGGCTCACATCTGTAATCCCAGCACTTTGGGAGGCCGAGGCAGGTGGATCACCTGAGGTCGGGAGTTCAAGACCAGCCTGACCAACATGGAGAAACCGTGTTTCTACTAAAAATACAAAATTAGCTGGGTGTGGTGGTGCATGCCTGTAATCCCAGCTACTCAGGAGGCTGAGGCAGGAGAATCACTTGAACCCGGGAGGCAGAGGTTGCGGTAAGCCAAGATCACACCATTGCACTACAGCCTGAGCAACGAGAGCAAAACTTTGTATAAAAAAAAAAAAGTTGTATCATATGTCCATTCCCAAATCATCCATCCAAGATGAATGGAGTTACCATGATTTTCCTAGAACAATTAAGAGTCACCTGTTGGACAAGTGAAGTGTTTAACTTTCTCCAAAGCATTGGACTTCAAACCCACGAAAGTGGGTTCCTTAACAAAGAACGATGGAATGTGGGGCCTGGCTGTGGGGTAGGCCATCAGCAGAGCTGGCTCCATTCTGTGTCCTGAGCTACGCATCCATCTTCTCTGTGCAACCAGCTGTCCATCTGTCTGTCTATTGATTTGTCTGCCTGTCTGTTGGTCTATCTCTCAGTCACTCCTCAGGACTGTCTGCCTGCCTGCCTATTCATGTCAGTCTGTGTGTCTATCTGTACATCTATTTATCTATGTCTCTATTTGTCTTTTGGTCTATCTAGAAATAAATATATCCACCAGTTGGTGTCTTTCGTCAGTATGCCTATCTGTCGCTATCTATCCATCTTGAGTTTCCGTCTACTACTGCCCTTCTCTCCCTTACCTGTCCCATGTTTAACAAGTGGACAGGTCTTTTGTTTCCTTCCCCCTCCCCATGCCCGCCACACAGAATGGTCTGAAATAACTCATGAAACTCATTACCTTAGACAGAGCACAGACCACAGGGCCCCTCATAGCAACAGCGATGGCAGCAAGTTGGCCAGAGTTACTATGTCTCACCTTCCCAGGCCCCACCCAGAGGCTGAGCTGCCACGGTCTCTACCAGTGATCAGGCCCTCCTATACCTGAGATCCCTGAGGGTTTCTATTCATTCATTCATGCTTGGATAAATATTGATTGAGTACTATGTGCCGAGCCCTTTGTTAAGTGATGGGGATACGGAAGTGAATAGGACAAGCATGATCCCCCCCATGCGTGTGCACACACAAGTCCTCAAATATACATTTGCAGACATACACTGCCGCGTCAGGTACTGCCAGCCTCTGCAAACAATTGTTGATCCTAGTATGTGGATGGCACTTAAGCCAGCGTCGTTCAAAAGCACATCTTACACACACAAAAACACACACATACACACAGTGTTTAGTGCCCTGAGGCCCCCATAGGAGGGCACAGGATTCCTTATTTCTGTTCCCACATCTACTCTTTTTTTTGGGGGAGGGGGAGGGAGTCTCACTCTGTCACCCAGGCTGGAGTGCAGTGGCACGATCTCTGCTCACTGCAACCTCTGCCTCCCAGGTTCAAGTGATCCTCCTGCCTCAGCCTCCCGAGTAGCTGGAACTACAAGCACATGCCACCATGCCCAGCTAATTGTTGTATTTTTAGTAGAGACGGGGTTTCACCATGTCGGCCAGGCTGGTCTCAAACTCTTGACCTTGTGATCCACCCACCTCGGCCTCCCAAAGTGCTGGGACTACAGGCGTGAGCCACTGCACCTGACCTTTTTTTTTTTTTTTTTTCTGAGACAGAGTTTCGCTCTTGTCACCCAGGCTGGAGGGCAGTGGCACGATCTTGGCTCACTGCAACCTCCACCTCCTGGGTTCAAGCAATTCTCCTGCCTCAGCCTCCTGAGTAGTTGGAATTACAGGCCCCCGCCACCACGCCCAGCTAATTTTTGTATTTTTAGTAGAGACGGGGTTTCACCATGTTGGCAAGGCTGGTCTCACACTCCTGGTCTCAGGTGATCCGCCCTCCTTGGCCTCCCAAAGTGCTGGGATTACAGGTGTGAGCCACTGCACCCAGCCCCACGTCTTCTCGACTCCCTGCATGACCTTGAGTAATCATTTCTTGACCATACAGTGTTCCCTTGTACAAAATGGGGCACACCTGGCCCAGGGATCAACCTCCTGACTCATTCCCCCGGACTACTCAATTCACATTCCTTTACAGCATAGAAGTTGCTTCCAAACTGTCTCTCACCGTGAACATGTCTCTCTCCTTCCTCCTATCTCTGACCACCTGCCTCCTTCATGTCTCCAGAGGTTCTCCTCTGACAGTGCTCCTGGTTCTCTTTCCCTTTGGAGTATCTGGGAATGGGTCTCTGTCTTTGTATGGTGTTTCAGTGTGAATATTGAGTGGCATAAGGGTAGAGTGCTTGAGTTCGTGTCTGAGTATACGTTTGAGCTGCTGTGTATTTGTATGTGTGTCTGCTGCGGGTCTCTGTGTGTTTTTATCCAAGTGTGCACACACACGCGCGCTCAGCTCCCCTAATATGCTGAACGGGCCATTACGCCTCTTGCATGCGGGGCTGGGGGTGGATGGGTCGGGGGGCAGAGGGAGGCAGCAGGATTCTGTAAGAACATTAAATCCCAAATAAAGTAGAAAATATTTTTTAAAATTACCGACTTCCCGTTTTCTCCGAAATGGAGTGAAACGAGGCTGGTCCCGAGGCGGGGGCTCCGTAGGGCCAGCCACTGGAAAGGGGCAGCGCTTTATTTTTTATTTTTGTAATAAGAGGAACTGAATTAGAAAAAACGGGGAAGGAAGAGCAGAGTCGGATTGTTAAAGGATTCAATGAGCTGTGGCCAATGTATTCGAAAGGTGCTTAAGGCAGCAGAGCCGCTCACCAAACACACACACGCACACACACGCTGTCACACACAGTCACACACAGCCACACACAGCCACACCAAGGCACCACACATGCCATCACACTCACAACACTGAGACAAAGGCACATTCAGTCACACTCATGTTGGGACACACACAGGGCACAAAGACACACCAACCCCATCCCCACACACCCCCCACAGAGCCAGCACACACTCCATCTCAGTCTCCAGGGCAACTCAGATGTACCCCAAGAGACACAAAGGAATCCAGTGCAAATAGTTACACACAATGATAAGGACACAGACATTCACAAGCACACAAAGACACTCACCACTTCCGGATCCACACCAATACATCCACATAATTCAATACAACTGCCAAACACACATCTACACACCTGTCCACTCACGATGGACTCACAGCAGACAGAGCTCACACTAACAGCCTTGTCCTCTCACCCAGACACCCACTGTGACTGACCCACAAAGAGCCCCAGGCCCCCAGACACATCCACATCATCACACACAGTCACCCAACACACCCGCATTCAATTATTAACAACGACATTGCATACTTAGAGACTTACAGTCAGACATTTCCACCGACTGAAGACTCACACTCATCCTGTGAAACAGACACCCTTATCTCGACTTAGAGACAAGCAACACAGCACAGGGCGGATAAAGGCCCTACCCGAAGTCGAACATGAACAGCAGGCCAAGCCAGGGCCCAGTCTCTTGCTTTACCATTTAAATTCCCACACACAGAGAGCTGAATACACACGTACACACACACACACACACACACACACATACTGCCTTGCTCACACATTCTTAGGCACTCGGCCTCACATGCATTAATTTACGCACGTCCAGTCCACACCCTGGACAGTAATACACACACACACACAGCCATCCCTTTCTACGTTCGTTCTGCTTTTCTGTTTCCCCAGCTGCTGCCCTATCCTGCCTGTCCAAGACAGACTGAGCTAAGGTGACGTTTTAGTGGGAGAGGGAGGTGGCATGGCCCAGGCTCTTCCTCTCAGTTACACCTACGCGTGCCTCTCGCCCCACCAAAAAAACCCACTTCTAGCAGCTGACCCGGCCCGCTCCTCCAGGGCCTGGGAAAGGTGAGCTCTTGCTTCCCTCGCCCCACTCCTCCCACACATTCTAACCAAGGGGACATTAAAAAGTGCTGACAGGGCCAGGAGAGGCCACCTGCCTGCCCGCCAGCCGGGACACTTTCATCTCGGCCGCCTCCCGCCGCAGCCGCCCGCCCTGGCCTTCCCTCCCCCAAGTCCCTCTTTATTAATCTGGCCCCGTCTGGCCAGCCCTGGCCCCCCAGGTTGCCCCCATCTCCCCTCTAGCTCTGCGGGGGAGGTTCCTGATCTCCAACATCCCATGCAGAGAGGCTCCACTGCCTGCATTAATCATCCCAGGGGCCATGAAGAGCGCCCCCAACAGTCTGGGGGGAGCTCATTCAGCTCCGGATTTACAGCAGGAGATGGGGTCTCCGGTGCCACCCACAGACGCTTCACACCCACCAAGTGTCACCCGGTCAGGGCACACATGCTGACAGTCGTACATTCACACTGCACAGTAACACACACAACCACACATCACCTCAGCCACGTGATGCTGTCATATCAAGTCACACACAAAACCCACTATGACAGTCACACGTAATGACACCTACAACAGACTTACACCAACAACCATACAAGAACACAGCTACCCATGTGGTCAGTCACTTAGAGCACATGATTAACACATTCACACACGACACAATTCACCAACGTTGCACACACAGACACACAATCACTCATGATGTTCGTTGCCCATAATGATAATTTGACAGTATCTGCTTCATAGCGGCACTTAATAACTTAATATTTATTGAATGATACAGTGGCAATACATTCACAGACTAAGATTCACACATATGTACCTTACAGCTGAAATAGATACAGCACAAAAAGTGGAAACAAGCCCTGCTAAGAATGTCCCAAGCAGAACACGACTAGTCAGAGAAGCAGACCAAAAGAAGGAGACGGAATGAAAGGAACCCACCTCCGTCAGGGTTGGGGACAGGGCATTCAGTTACCCTTTGCAACTGGAGACATCTTTTTGAAACACAAATCTAATCCTAGAATAAAGCCCCAGCACTACTTAACAGCCTGCGCAGCCCATCTGGTATGTGGCCCCTGCCTGCCCATCTGGCCATGGCTCCTGGAGCTCCAGCCACACCAGCCTTCTCTCACCCCTTCACCCCATCTCACTCCCTGCTGCCACAGGGGCTTTGCATGTGCTGCTGCTGGATCTGTTGGAACACTCTTCTCTCTTCTCCTAGTTTACCTTTAGCTTTCAGCTGTGGGTTACTTTCTAACTAAGTTAAATCCCCCATTAATGAGCCCTCTTTATCATACCATTGATCTCTCCTTTGTGGCACTTCTCACACATGAAGTTTTTCAGTCCCTACCACTAGACTGAAAGCCCTATGAGGGCAGACAGTGTCTGTTTTTGCTTCCCATTGACTCCTAGGACTTGTACCTAATAGTCTTAAGGGCAGACTGTGTACTGGGCACATAGTAGGTGCTCAGTAAATATCTGCTGTGTGAATGAATGAAAAACACAAATTACATTTTTAAAAAACACTAGAGGGAGAGCTTGGCTGGATGTTAATAAGTCCTAGAATGCTAGAATTGGGAATTGGGGGAATCCTGAGTTTTTGCTCCTGCTGTGTGACCTTGGGAGAGTCCCTTCACTTCTCTGGGCCTTTCTCATCTGTAAGTGAAGAAATTGGGCTTTCAGAATGTGCTCCATGGAGCTCTAAGGGTTCTCAGGGGTGTCTAGGGCTGCTATGGGTAAAGGTTAGAGCAAGGGTAAATTTCAGCCAACGTATTTCTGCTTTTCTCTCTCTCTCTCTCTCTCTCTCTCTCTGTGTGTATGTGTGTGTGTGTGTGTGTGTGTGTGTGTGTGTGTGTGTGTGTACATTCAGAATTGAAGGTTCTAAGGTTAAAAATATCCTTGGAAACTCCTGGACTAGGTGAGCTCTAGTTCCCTTACAGAATATTACAATGCAATAGAGGCAAAAATGGTTCCCAGTCAGATAGCAGAGCACGAGCTGCTTTTTATCTGCAAAGTTATCTAAGTGGACTCCATATCTGCAGACTCAACCGAGGAAAGGAGCAATAAGAATTGAATGAGCCCAATTGGAGGAGGATTCCTAGAGGAGAGGAGTTTTCAACATCCCATGCAGATTCCTAACTCCGGTGACAGACTCAAAGAGACCAGGGAGCTGGTGGGGGAGGGAGTCGGGGCGCCACTTCTCAGAAGGGACTGTGATCAAAGCAACAGCCAAGAAAAGCCTAGTTGGGCCTGAATAGCAGTGGCAGATGATGACTGGGGGAAGTGGGAGATGCAGGGTGGCCCACACACTGTTTGAAAGCCCATATGCACTGAGGATGGCAAATAGGAAAAACTCTAAAGTCAGGTCACCTTACGGGAGCAGAGCTTTCTCCTAGGGAAGGGAATGCTGAGGGCAGAGGAGGCAGGGAATCCCCTGGAGCCAGATGAGTGAGGACACAGGCTATTTTTCTCCATGTTCCTTGAGGCCAGGGCAGAGGAAATAGCCTCAAATTGGGGGTCAAGTGTGTGTGTTGCGGGGAGGTGGAAGTCAGAGAATAGAGCCTGGAGAAATCCACTACTTTGGACCTGAGGTTGGCTGAGGTTGGGGGTGGTTCCCTGTGAACCCTAGTTCAGGGAAACGCTCTTCTCCTGCTCCCTTCCCCTCTGCAGGCCTCAGTGTTTCCGCACCCCACCACCGCCCCGTTCTCATGTACACACCCTCTTCAACTTGCCTCCTGAACCACGGCTCGGTCCACTCTCCTTGAACTCCCAAATTCCTCCCGCCCCTGAGTCATCTTCACCCTCAGCAGCTCCACTGTTCCTGGCTTCCA
This sequence comes from Homo sapiens, assembly GCF_000001405.40. Classification (NCBI taxonomy): domain Eukaryota; kingdom Metazoa; phylum Chordata; class Mammalia; order Primates; family Hominidae; genus Homo; species Homo sapiens. The sequence goes on along the minus strand of NC_000010.11, from coordinate 100,567,375 downwards.
CCCTGCTACTCTGCCAGCTCCTAGGCCTGTTCCCTGCAGCCGGCAGCGCTGGCAATGCCCTCTCCTAGTTCTCCAACCTCTCGCTGACTCTCCCAGCAGCTCTCTCCTCACTCCCTCGCTATGCAGAAGGGGCCCAGCCAGGCTTAGGATGCAGGTTTCCAGTGCTTTACCCCTCCGCTTTTTCCTATGACAAATTCGTCTGCAAGCAAGACTTCAAATTCAACTAGCAACCCCATAGGAATGACCCTCCAAGGGGCCCTATTTTATATGTGTATTGAGTGTCAATAGATGTGGAAAAATGACTCCCAAATTGGTACTTCAGTCCTAACTTCCAACTGGCATCACTAGCCCCTCACTAGACAGCTCCCAGACTCCCCAGCATCACCTGAAATTCACTGTGATCACCTTGAGTCCCCGACCAGCCCATCTCTCCCAGAATTCCTTCCCAGGTCATGCACCTGCTAGGGCCAGCCCAGCCCACTCACCACTCCTTCATCTTCACACGGAGTTTTCCTTCAAATGTGCCTCAGTGTGGTCTTTTATCTGCATGCTCCAACCCCAAACCCCAGACCAGCCCAGGTGTCTTTACCGCCTTAGGGGTTGTTCCCAATCCCCAAATGGGCCCCCTTTTTATCCCTCTCTAACCCAACCTCTTCCCTGGCTGCATGAGTGATCTCCCCAAATACATCATGTCCCTCATCCAGAACCCCATGGCTCTCCATTGCCCCTGCTTACTGTCCAGATCCCTCAGCCTGCCTCACCCCCACCCTCCCCTCCAGGAAGCCTTGCCCCCTCCTAAGTCTGATTCTTTCCAGCCCCTCACAGACCTCCAAGCTCATTTCCATACCTTTTCCAGCTGCTCCAATAGCTGGAGCTGCAACTCTTCTGAGGAGTTAAATCCCAAGCACCCTTTCCAGCTGAACTTCTCCACACTCTCAACTGGGTATGAATGGCCACTTTTAACACTCCTGGCTCCTGCCACCAAAAGTCAGTAATTCCCTGCTGCCCCACCCCATTACTCCCTCTCCCTACCCCCACAAAAAAAGTCAGTAGTTCCTCCAGGACACTGTTACAGCAAAAATGTCCCTTGTTGAGAACCACTGGTTGGATGCTACTCTCTTGCCTTTCCCCATGGGACCTTCTCTAAATGACTAATATGCCTCAGGACTTTCTTTCACCTGCCTGTAAGTCCTTAGCTTCTGGCTGGAGGCTGTAAGGAGTGATGATGATGAGGAGGAGAAGGAGGAGGAGGAGGAGGATGCTGGCAATGGCAGCACCCTCTTAAGCAGCACTTTCTATGTACTAGACACTGTTTTTTTTTTCAAATCTTCTACATATATTCATTCATTATCATTACAACCCTATGAGATAGTGTTACTATTATTCCTGTTTTTCAGATGAGAAAATTGAGGGAGAAATTAAGTAACTTGCCCAAGGTCACCTACCTAGTAAGTAGCTGATGAAAAGGCATAGCAGAAAGTCAGACTTTGGAGCCACTTCTCAGAAGGGACTGTTATCAAAGCAACAGAAAAAAAGCCTTTCGAAAACCAACTGTCACCAACTGGCTGTGTGACCTTGGCCAAGTTACTTCCCTTCTCTGAACCTCAATTTCCTAATTTGTAAAATGATAAAACAGTACCTAGTTCGCGGTGGTTTAGAAAGGACTCGTGAATATAGAACACTCCTTGGCATGAAGCAAGCACTCCCTTTCTGTACCTCCTCCTGTCCTTCCCTCCACTCATAGCCTACCTCAGATACTTAAAAATCATGACAATGACAATGCCTCACATTTGAACTCAGGCTCTTGAGTCCAGGGTCCAGGCTCTTGACCCCACACACTGCATGGCTGCCCATACTCGTCTATCGGGCCCTCCTGGGCCAGGCTCTGGCAGTTGTCCCTCCCTTCCCCAGGGAGGCCCCTCACTGTCCTCATCGTGTCCTGGCCCCTAGGCCCCTCAGCCTGGCACTGAGCCTATCATTTGTAATCAGGTCAGACCATGGCTTGCTTACTCCATCCTGCCCCAAGATGCAGCATCAGCTTCACCCAAGGCAAATCCCAGCCCAGCTGCACTGCACCTCCGCCCTACCAGGCAGTACATCACACGCCTAGATTGCTCCTTTGACTCCCAAACAAATTCTTCACAACAGCATTTCCACCCCTCCCTCTGTGTCCGTCCAGCCCAGCCTCACCCTGGCCACCCTTACCTGAAGAAGCCAACCTCAACCTTTACTCTTACTTTTAGGAGATCAAAACCTGGGTCCAGGTTGAACCCCATGACTTCCCCTCCTTCTCCCCATTTCTCTGAGGCTTCAACCTCCTGCAGGCCCTGTCCCCCCTTCCCTCTGGAACTCAGCTCCTTCAAGTGTCTGCTCTCTCTGGTAGCTTCCATCTCCCCCTCTCCAGTGGCCCCTTCTCCTATGTCCTCTGTCTACAGATTTGCTCCTCTTCCCCTGGCTAAAAAAGCGTTGCTGCAGTTTCCTTTTCAAAACCCCAACCTGTCTCCAGTCCTCTGTGTACTTCTCAACGGATAACCTATAGCAGTTTATACTTGCTATGCCCCCATTTCCTCTCCACCAACTCACCCTCTAACCCCTACCATTCTGCTGACCTCTTCATCCCCAAATCTAATGACCTTCACTAGGGCCTCACTCCTGTCTCCTGCACTCAAACCCCTCTTCAGAGGTGACCCTGGTTCCCACCCCTCCTGTGTCGTTCTTCCTCCCTCCCTCTCACTGAACTCCACCCTCAGTTCCACTCCTATTTACCTGGGAAATGACTCTCAGGCATGTTCACACCTACCCACCCCCCGCCCAAACCCTCTTTTCTCTCCTTTTCTCCTTGGGTGTTCTCATCTGCCTAATCCTCACTACCTCTATGAAGCTGAGCCCAACCCTGTTTCTTTCCCCTGGGTTCCAGCCTCATACCTCCTGTTGTTGCCAGATACTTTCTGTTGCAGCCAGACCCCTCTGCCCTACGAGCTCACTGTGCTCCAACAATGGTCAGAGCTGTCCTCTTCATCTCTTCACTGCCCTCCAAACCTCAGGAAATTCAGGCCTCTGTAGCTTTGCTCCCCTGAAGACCAACATGTCACAGTGTTCCATCCATATATACATATTTTGGAGACAGAGTCTTGCTCTGTTGCCCAGGCTGGAGTGCAGTGGCGCAATCTTGGCTCACTGCAACCTCCACCTCCTGGGTTCAAGCAATTCTCGTGCCCCAGCCTCCCAAGTAGCTGGGATTACAGGCATGCATCACCACACCTAGCTAATTTTTGTATTTTCAGTAGAGACAGGGTTTCACCATGCTGGCCAGGCTGGTCTCAAACTCCTGGCCACAAGTGATCTGCCTGCCTTGGCTTCCCAAAGTGCTGGGATTACAGGTGTGAGCCACCACACCCGGCCCCAATATATTTTTTCTTCATTTTCATAAATTCATAATCAGGGGGAAAAACACAAAAGATAAATTTTCCCCATTTAAAGATGCAGCTCTAGCTTCCCTCCTTCAAGGGGCCTTCTTTTATAGGCTCCTACCCACCTCTGAGCTCCCAGGTGTTCACCATCAAAGCTCACCACCCACCGCTTGACTCTGCTGTGTCTCTCCCTTCTCTAGGCAATGCACAAGTCCTGTCTCCACACCAGGTACTGGGATCCTCAGAGGCTTACGAAGCTCGGCCTTCACTTAAGGTGTCTACTCTCCAAGACCAAGCTGGGGAAGACAGCATCAGATGGTTTGTAAGTTCTCTTCCAGCTCCAATATTCAAGGATTTGGAATTTGAGGGTTCCTTCTATAACGTTCCTCTGGGAAAGTCTTCAGAGTGTCTTCAGTTAGCAGATATCCACATGTTTGTGAGCTGCTGACAAGAGTGCCCCCCTTTTGGGGAGTTGAGGCCCAAGAGAAACCAAGAGGATCATAAGATACTGTGTGTGGATGTAGGGGTGAGGGAAGTGTCCTGGAGACGAACTCCCTTGAAAATCTCCAATATGCTAACCTACACACACACACACACACACACACACACACACACACACACACACACACACAGTTCACCTAAACCCCCTGGAGGCAGAAACGTTCCCCTAGAAGCTCTTAAGGAGCATCCTCTTCCCCTCTTTCTCCAAAAAAGGGAATAGTCAGTATCCTGGGGCTCAGTGCCTCACCACAAACCACAAAGCATGGCTGCCCCCATGGGGCTTCACTGAGCATGGCAGCCTCCATTACCCGTCCTCCTGCCCCCATCAGGACAGAACCAACCTCCATCTCCAGCTCTCCAAGAAAAGGCCAACGGACTCCGCCGTTCCTCCAGTTCTTTCCCCTCTCCCACTCCTCCCAGTAGGCTGAGTCCACTCCCTGCAGCAATCCATCACCCTCAACACGCCCGTCCACCCACACCCCCACCTCCCCGCTCCTGAGCGGCACCCACACACATGGACGGTCCTCGGTTCATCTCGCCCTAGGTCTCCAACGCCCATCTGGAGCTTCCAGGGTGCGCCCGGATCCCAGCCCCGGCCGCCTCCTCCCGCCACCCGGGCCAGAGCTGCCTGAAGAGCAAGCCGGTGTCCTCGGCAGCCCCGCCCCGGGCTCTGAGGACTAGATCTCATCCCTAAACGAGGTCAGAGGACCACGGACCTCAGACTCACCTGGGAAACTGGTCACAAATACAAATTCCTGGGCCCCATCCAGAACTGCCGAATTATTCTGGCGGTGGAACCCGAAACCCGCCCTGCCTGCAGCCCCTCCGGCGAGCCCGAAACGGTACAGACCCAGGGCCCCGTCCGACGCCCGACCCCTCGCCCCAGTGCCCCCGAACGTGGCCGCCACTCTGCTTTGAACAGCGAAGGAACTCGAGACAGAGCCGAGCTGGGCTGCGGCCAGCCCACGGCCAGTCGGCGGAAGGTCGGGGGCCCCAGGCTCTTGCGCGGCCCCACAGACCCTTGCGTCAGAAGAGTGGCCCCCCGCGCCATGGGCTCTGCGGCCAGGAGGCCACGTGCGACGTCGCTCAGGCCGGAACACGTGGCTCCAGCAGAAGCCACATCTGGATTCTACACGTGCTGGGCTGCGGGCGAGGTTCTTCCACACCACAGGCGTCTTCTTGCCACCCAGGAGACCTGGGCCGGCAGCTTCCCTGCAGTGCGGGGCCCACGGGCTCCCCGCAGTGGGGAGTGCGAGAAACGCAACTGCGACCTCGCCGCGCACTCCGCTTCCGCCATTGGCTCAGGATCCCTGCGTGGAGCGAGGGCGCCACGCTGCGACTGCAGCAGGGACGGCACGTCCCAGGGGAGAGCGCGGGAAATATGGTGCGTGAGGTCCCAATTTCCAGGTTCCCTCCCACCTCAATGACTCGTTTTATAGCCGCCCCCTCAGGCTGACCTCTACCCTAGACCCCGTCTAACTAATCGCTAATCCCCTGACCTCAGGAAGGCCAGGGATGAGAGTCACAGGCCAATGCCTCTGGGCAGCCATAGGAAGTGAGGAAATGCAGACCCCAAATTTTCCCCTAAATCCTAGAAATATGCTCCAGATAAAAGTCTTTGCCTGGGTTCAGATTCTAGACTCCTGTCCTTCATTCCAGAAATTTCAGCACCATAGAATCACTGGCAAGTCTCGGACAGTATTCAGGCCCACTGCCATGGTGGCTTCCTATCAAAAATATTCTCATTTGTCACTGACCTTAGCAGGGGAAAAGACCTCAGAATTGGACCCAGTGCTCAGAGGTGGCCTGACCATCTCAGAAAGCAGTGGGGTAACACCTCCCTTGATCTGGCTGCTCCGTTTGGTTAATGCAATTCATGGCTGTGTTAGGATTTTAGCAGTCACATCACACAGTTGACTCATATTGAGCTTGCAGTCAACTAAACCCCCCAGGTCTTTTCTTCATGAACTGCTGTCAAGCTGGGCCAACCCCTACAACCGGTACTTATGTCATTGATTTTGTTTTAACCTAAGTGCAGGACTCTACATTTATCCCTGTTAAGTTTAATCTTGTTGGTTCCAGCCCAGTGTTCCAGCCTGTTGAAATCGTTTTGAATCCTGACTCTTTCATGCAAAGTATTAACTGCCCCTCCTAGCTCTATCACCTGCAAACTTGATGAGCCTGCTGCTTCGGTCAGTTGTCAATAAAAATGTCAGAGAGGACACAGGCCCAGACTGAGCCCTAAGGCATACTGCTGGAGACTTCCCTCTAGTCTAGGCTGACATGGATCCATTAATCAACCCTCACTGGGTCTGACTGTTCACCAAGCTTCCTAGCCATTTGGTTCAGATGCTTCTGCCACAACTAGATAACATGAGAGGCTTTGTCAGAAATTTGTCAGAGGCTTTGCTGGAAATTTCTCTTGCCCAGGCTGTGGCCCCCACATCAAGCTTAGGCCTTCTTTCTACCCTCCACACCCCACCATCATTTGTTTACTCATAACTTTAGGGGATTATATTTCCAATGGTGCCCCCTCCTGCATGACTTAATATTTCTGAGCTTCAGGATCACCTTGGGTGTGCCTTTGCTATTTCATATCCCATCATCCTATGCCTCCTCTGAGACCTCATTCTCTTAAATTCTCTGTCCTGCCACCTTCTCTGCCTATAAATGTGCAGTGGCCTCCCTTGCCTAAAAAGCTCTCTACTAGCTGCCCCCTTAAACTGTGGTTGGCTTCTGCCTCTGTCCTTCTTTTGAAAATCCAAACACTTCCAAACTCACCTTTCATGTCTCCTAAGCCTTTAGCAATCTGGGCTGCCAATCTCTCAGCTGAGCAACCATATTGCCCAAGCAGTGGACAGTGATGGTGGAGATAGAAGCAGAAGATTCACAACCACATCACAAAGATCAGATATGGTGGCTGCATAAAGCAGAGAGCCCAGGACCCCTCACAGACCAAAGTCAGGCTGCGGTCAAACTAGGCAGGTGACCAGAATGTTCAAAAGGACTGAGACATGAGGTCAGAGCCTAGGCAAAGTGCCTGGTCACAGACAAGAGCAGTGAACACTGAGAAGCCTGAGCCTGGGGACTTCTTACACAGTTGCTATAGGGGTTGGAATCAGTCCTGGAGCCAGGTCAGCTGGGAAGACAGCCTGGCTGGAGGGGGGAATGATGTGAACAGAGAGAGGTAGGGCCTACACTTTTCCTGAGCCCTTATTCTAGGCTGCCCAGCATCAGTTGTTAGCAACTCCAGAGTGCCTCAAGTTCAGGGCCATACCCTCAAATATCTATGTGGGCCAGACAGGTCACGTGAGTGAGATCTAGGGTACAACAGTGAAGAGTGGAGATTGACAAACTGAAAGGAACACAGCCAAGGGGGCAGTTGCTCTTCAGCTCCAGCCAACTGCTGTCACATGGGAAAGGCGATTTCATTACTGCCAGATCTGATTTTCCAAAGAGAGAAATCTTTTTAGGTCAAGTTTCTGATCTTTAATGTTGTCAATTTTTTAAAACTTTCAAAAACTTGTATTGGCCAAACAAAACCATGTCTGTGGCCGACTGGACTAGCGGTGGCCATCTTTTAACGGCTGCTAGTTACGTGGTACTTGTAGAGGCTAAGTGACTTGGGTGTGTGGTAATATTACATTTAGAACCCACTCTCTGAGTTTCTTAATGTCAATGAGAGTGACTTTGGGTTATATAGAAACAATTTATATTCATAAATTACTTTGGTTAAAAAATATATTCAAGGCCAGGCACAGTGGCTTATGCCTGTAATCCCAGAACTTTGGGAGGCTGAGGCAGGACTGCTTGAGCCCAGGTGTTCGAGATCCGCCTGGGCAATGAAGTGAGGCCCCTGTCTCTACAAAAAATAAAAAATTAGCCAGGTGTGGTGGCATGTGCCTGTGATCCCAGCTACATGGGAGGCTGAGGCAGGAGGATCACTTGAGTCCAGGAGGTTGAGGCTGCAGTGAGCCATGCTTGCCCCACTGCACTCCAGCCTGCGTCGAAAAGCAATGCCCTGTCTCAGAAAAGAGCAAACTATTCACCTCTTCAAAGTTACATATCCAAAATCCTCTCTTTTCTAAGCTTTTAAGTTCTGCTAACAAATCTTATTATTTTGCTTATAAAACAAAAAAGTTTAATGTTTGATCCAACTTACATTTAACTAAACTCCTTTAAACACTTAAATGGCATTTATATGATTAATGTATTTGATTTCCTTAAGTACTTAATTTATCTGACCAAGACAAAACCTGATCAAGTACTTATATTTCCAATAAATTAAGTTTATAAATACAGGAAATCTTAAGTTGTTCTAAATGTTCTAAAACTACAGAAAGACTTAGCAATGATTGTACCACTGTACTCCAGCCTGGGCAACAGAGTGAGACTCCGTCTCAAAAAAAAAAAAAAGAAACTTAGCAAAATTTCAACTTAAAATTCGAGTATAAATACACACTTTTTAGTTGGCATTACAAAGCAAACCTGTTACTCTCACAAATGCTCTTCCATATGTCAAGGACTTAAAATACAAACTGCATAGATCCTTACAGCAAATAGTAATGATGTGGGGGTTTGATGTTTTTAAACACACCTGTTCTTCATCCTAAGTCCTCCATCATTAAAAGATGCACACCTACCAAGGAAACACCTGATGCCACTGCATGTATTTTGGAGGTTATCTTCTCAGATGACTGAGATTGCAGAACAACCAGATATGTTGGTTGGGCCACTGACTAGACTGTGAAAGGACCCAGAAAGTGCTATTTGTGGCCTCATAAAGCCCTATCACATGGCCTCCATTACATAAAAAGGCAGTCAGTCAGCTCACATCCCTGAGTTTGACGCTATTCAGGGCCTAACTGCACTTTCTCACAGAAGTCTAGAATCCCATCTAGGCTGTCAGATACCTTGTCTCAGTGGCAAATTTCCTTGGCTGTCAAAACACAAAATGTCTTCTCATCTTGATGATTTCTGCTTTTTATTTCTAGGTGAACCACTGCTCTTAAGAGTGTTTGTTTTTTCAAGAGATGGGGTGTCACTATGCTGCCTAGGCTGATCTCAAACTCCTGGCCTCAAGCTTCCTCCTGACTCAAGCCTCCCAAAGTGTTGGGATTACAAGTGTGCACGACTGTGCCTAGCAACTCTTAAGTTTTTCAGATGAAACCTGGTTGAATGCAGGATTGCTGTAACAACTTTGACTTCTGGTCACAATTCCTAAGGTTCTCCTGACAGAATGCTGGCCTCCTCACCCTTAGTTCAGGGTCTTGTCCTCCGCTCCTCATTGCCTATCATCGTTTAGCTTTCCCCTCTAGAACACCCATCTTCTTTCTTGAGACTCTCACCTCTTAGCATCACCCTTTCTGCACCACACCCCCATGCCAACGATTCCCAGAGGTCCCTACTCCATCTCCAGTACTGTGGAGTCCTGCTCCCTTCTCCATGATTCTTCCCCATTCACACTCATGCTCCCTCTTACAGAACTGATCTCTCCTCAGAAAAGGGAAATCTGATGTTACTTGTTCACACTAAGACATGCACAGTTGAGTCCTCCTGTTTATGCTGGGTAAACGATGCTTCCTAAGAAGAAATGGAGGAAAAGAAACTAACATTTACTGAGCACTTACTAGGCACTAAGTTCTGAATTAACTTAGTTAGTTAATGAGTTGTCTCATTCATTCTCAATAGCCACATAAGAGGACCTATTAAGAAATCCAGGGCCAGGTGTGGTAGCTCGCACCTGTAATCCCAGCACTTTGGGAGGCCAAGGCAGGCAGATCACCTGAGGTCGGGAGTTCGAGACCAGCCTGACCAACATGGAGAAACCCCATCTCTACTAAAAATACAAAATTAGCCAGGCATGGTGGCGCACGCCTGAGTCCCAGCTACTCGGGAGGCTGAGGCAGAATTGCTTGAACCTGGAGGAGGTGGAGGTTGCAGTGAGCCAAGATCACGCCACTGCACTCCAGCCTGGGCAACAAGAGCGAAAACTCCATCTCAAAAAAACAAACAAACAAAATCTCCCGAAACCCCCACTCCCAATATCTCAACAACCAGCATTTATATAGTGCTCAGTTTACATAGTATTTCCACACACATTGGCAGGTCATCATATTATTAACCAATTTTTTTAAATGAGGGGACCGAAGCATAGCGAGATGAACACCCCCAAAGGCACCCAGCCTGTGCAAAGTCCACTGACATTCTCACTTAGGTTCACTGGCCAGAAGCTTGTGTTCTCTCCACTCAGCCACACTGTGTCCTCCACAGACATCCTCCTGCCCCATTTCCTTTACTCTTCTGGGAATCAGATGGCAACCCAGAACCAAGGTCTCTGTTCCTGTTCCTCAAGACCCTGCCCTATTAAACCCTTTCTGTCCCCAGCCCAGCACTTCATGGACTTTCAGTCCCTTCCACAACTTTATCTTTTCCATCTTGCTTTTCCTGCCCCAGTCATCTCTTCTGTGATTTCACTTCAAGCACCATTATCTTGAGAGTCAGAGTAGGATCAGAAAAGCCTTGCTGCTGTAGTCTCTCCAGACACTAAGGAAACACTTTTCAGAGACACTTGGTCTTCATAATAAAACATTTTCCTGAGTGCTTGAGCCAGGTGTTTTAAAAACATTATCACGAGCCCTTATAACAATGCTACAAGTTATGTGCTATTTCCTACCCCTCACAGAGGAAGAGGTTGAGACCCAGAGACACTGACTTACCTAAGGTTAGAATTAGCTAGTGGCAAATGGTGATTCAAACCCAGGAGTCACCTCCAAAGCCTCTGTTCTTGTCAGTGCATCACACAAACCCTTGTGAGAACAATGACCATGCAGACTGTAGGTGGGGTTTTGTTCAAATATGATCAAAAATTCACAATTCAAAAACTTGGAGGCAACGTTCTTAAATCCATGGTCCTACCTCTAGACTAGCAAGGCAGACTCTGACAATCTCTACCCATCAGTAACCTCTGACTCTTACTAGCATGACAGCCTCTGTGACAATCTCGTCTCCTGCATCCTTGTGCACATCCCAGGGTCTCCTTCTTGCCTTCTGACTGTGCTGCTGGCTCATACAAACCTTCAATGCCTCTTTAGGAACTGTCCTTTTATCTCCTTGGGGAGCAGCAGCTCCAATGTCTTATTTTCACCCAGTATGTTTCAGGTATTTTTAGTATTGTTAAAAATATTTTTGGAAGGTCATTCCCCACTGATGGCATAGGTGATAGTATCCTTGTAAGCATCAGAGGTTACTGACAGGGGTAGGAACTGGTAACACAAGCATGAGTTGACACTTATACCTCTGCTCTGCTCAGGAGCTGACAACTAGATATGCCCTGAGACTAGAAACAGGAACTTAGACAGAAAGCTAGATGGGGAAGAGAGGTAAAGACTGAGAGACACAGAAAGACTGAGCCCTTGCTATGGACCGGTCATTCTGCTAAGCCTTACCCTGACAATGTAAATGATGTCTTCCCCATACATATAAACAAGTCAAGTTTCGGGCAGTTTGTCCATTTGCCCAAAGTCATGCAGAATGGCAGATCCAGGTATGCAGACTCCACTCTCAACCACTACACTATATTGCACTATATATATTCAAGAGGTAATAAAAACCTGGCCCAAGCTTAGCTTAGATGATGGGTTAAGGAGCACAGCTTTCCTGATAGTTCTGACCTCAATGACCAAGTGAATAGGTTTTAAGTAAACGGAATAAAACAGCAAAATTAGCTAGAGCCAAAGAGAAGGTTTCCAAGGCCCAGAGCCAGTTATCTAGAAGGAAAGACGTGACTGCAAGGTGACTACAGAATGGCCTGTAGCCCAGAGGGATGGGTTGGCACAAGCTAAAGAGGTATCTTCTTCACCCACAAAGCTAGGGACCAGGGTCTGAGGCAAGAGGATCTGAGTATTTATAGAGAACTGCAGGGAGACTTGGCTTATAGTGAGGAGGAGAGGTGGCTGGGCGTGGGGATAGACCCAAGAGATTAATGGGATCATGATGTGGAAAGGGCTGAGAATTCCAGCCAGCCATAATACATCTCAGGCTGAAGTCTGAGTAGCTTGATTCAACATTTCTTCCAAGTAGGGTCTGGCAGGGTGGCTCCAGAGGCCAGAACACAAATGAGAACGGTGGAGGGCTACAAATAAGCAAGTCCAATCTACGTCCACTCCAGGACAAATCTGAGCCAGCAACCAAGACTTTCAGATTTCTGTGACTAACCAAAGGGTTTTCTTCTTGGGATCTACTGTCTCACCCATTCCCTGGAGTAAGGTACGACAAAACCCTTAGGCATTGGGAAGCAGTGTTTGTTTTGGACTGCTGGACTGGAAGAAAGAGAAGCTAAGGGGGAAATCCCCCAACCTCTGGTTAATTATTCATCTTCCACATATCAGCTTGGACTTATCACTTTCTGCAGGAAGCCTACCATAAAAAACTGGACATAGTGCAATGCTTCTCCTCTATACACCATAATTCTAACTGCCTGCCTGTCTCCCCTACTGATCTGAGAGCACCACATGGGGACGAACTAATACAGTGCCTGGAACAGAAGTGTTCAACAAATGGTAGCTATTAACATCCCACTCATATTTTTCTGAATTTTGATTGCCCTTCTCCCCTAGAACAATCTTAACATACTCATAATTTTTTTTTTTTTTTTTTGAGAGGGAGTCTCACTGTAGTCACCCAGGCTGGAGTGCAATGACGTGATCTCAGCTCACTGCAACCTCCGCCTCCCAGGTTCAAGTGATTCTCCTGTCTCAGCCTCCCGAGTAGCTGGGATTACAGGTACCCACCACCACATCTGGCTAATTTTTGTATTTTTAGTAGAGACAGGGTTTCACCATGTTGGCCAGGATAGTCTCAAACTCCTGACCTCAGGTGATCCACCCACCTCAGCCTCCCAAAGTGCTGGGATTACAGGCGTGAGGTAATCCTCCCAGGTGTCTGGTCCATATTTGTAATTTTTAAAAAATTATTTTCAAAAAAAATTATTAAGAGAAGGGGTCTCACTATGCTGCCCAAGGTTGGTTCGAACTCCTGGGCTCAAGTGATCCTCCTGCCTCAGCCTCCCGAAGTGCTGGGATTACAGGTGTGAGCCACCACACCTGGCCAACACTTATATAATTTAAATACATGGAAAGGCATGGACTAAAATTGAATCAAGAGGGGCCTGATTTGACTGCTATTACATTTCATGGTGTGAGGAGACAACAGCTTCTCCAGGTATAATAAGGACTCATTCGGCTCCACGGCCTCTCACACAGTGCAAGGGGAGCTCAGACCTGAAACCTTCTCACCCAAGGCCCTGGGCTGGTAGTACAGCAGTAAAGTCTGGCTGCCCAGGCAGAAGAGGCATAAGACACTTCCTGTTTCTCTTCCTCTAGGGTGAGTTTAGGTACTAGACTCTTCTGTCTACCCTCAACTCAATATGGTTTATCTAAGGTGTTTCTCGTTTTTCCCTATGCTTTTCTTGAGAGAGAAAGAACCACTGGAAATCTGTTTAGAGATCACTGAAACCAAGTTTCTGAATAAATCACATAATAAATATAACCACCACCACCACAGCCATTTATTAAGTGCTTGCCAGGCACTGTGCTAAAGCTTTACAAACATTGTTTCAGTTATTCCAACAACCCTGAGGTAGATATTTTCAACATGCCTCCCTCCACCCATGTTATTATAGTTGAGGAAACTGAGGCTCAGAGAGGTTAAGTAAATCAACCAAGGTCAAACCCAGCTGGTAAGTAGTGAAGCTAGAAATTCAAACCAACTATATGTGACTCCAAAATCCATGCCTTTAAACACTATCCTAGATTGTTTACCATTGAAAGTTAAAGGACATATGCTCCTTCCCAAAATATGAGAATAGATTTTCAGTGGGAAAGCAGGGGGGAGCCCATATGTAAATTCTTTCATCAGCTATGGGACTCAAACTCTTGGAGGAGTGGAGAGATAGTCTGGGTATAAGCTGACCACTAGGTCCTCTCATCTCTCCAGCTGCCAGGGCCTTTCTCATTAAGATCTCTACTCCTGACATCTGACTACGCAATATACTGTTTCCCTTTCAGCAACCACTGGGATGCAGAGGTCAGGCACATTTGGTGACACAGAGCCAAAGACACCTCAGAGAAATTAGGAGACACTCAAAAAAGTCCACCACCCCTGAACTACTGATCCCTAAGGCACACAGATGCATTTAGATGGAAACCCTCCATGAAGGGGACATGTTCCACGTCATGTTTGATGCCCATCACCACCCTGCAAAGGGGATATTGGTATCTCCTTCTGACAGCTCAGTTCTTCCACACCAGCTTCCCGGGCCTGACATCATTCTCACAAAGTCTCCTCAGCAATCCCTGCACCTCTCCCCTCAACTGGCCCTTGTAGGTGCCCACCCCTAACCCACCTCTGGAGGCCTCACTGACCACACGCCCCCAGGCCTCAAGACTTCCCGTTTCTGAGGTTGTGCCCAACAGAAATGCCCTCAAAGTGCTCAGCAAGGCTCCATTCATCCATGACCTATGAGGATTAAACCAAGATGGCTGAAGACAAGCAGAAGGGGCTACCACAGTGAGACAAGCTGAACCAGGATGTACAGAACTGACAATGGAAGGGCAAGAACACACAGCAGACACAAAACAAGAGGACTAGCCATGGGCAAAATAAACAGAGCTGTCAAAAATCAGAAAAGGGAGACGGCCCTAAGATGATCAGGGATGACCAGAGAGAGGGATCCTAAAGACAAGTCTATTCACACTTGCAGCCATGGAGTTTCTGAGGGAAGGACAACTGTTTAGGAAAAAGGGTCTTGGTAAGGAGGCCGCTGGAGAGACTAGGCAGGAGACAGCTGAATAAGGGAAACTGCAGGCAGCTCTGGAGAGGGAGGCTGGAACATCCCTTTAGAGCCAACAGTTTGAGAAGACATCAGAGAAGTATGCAGGCAGTGGAAGACAAGCAGCTGAAGGTCTCAAAGGGGAGTAAGACACCAGCTGAAAGGCCAGACTCTGGAGCCCTGAGCTACTTCTAGGTATACCTCATCATCTACCCCATCTGGGTGAAACTGGTCCCTGAGGGTCATTCCCTGCAGCCCCTGCTAAATTCTGTACCAGATTTTGAAGGGTGGAAGACCCAGAGGTAGGGAACCTACTGAGAGGCGAGACGCAGCCCCATTTTTGGGAAGTTCCCATTCTGAAAGAGAGAACCACCAACCCGCATTCCTTCATCCTTGGATCCTCTAAGGCACTCACTGCATTCAAGTCACAAAACTGAGGAAGAAATACTAGTATAAATTAATACTGTCCTTGAAGTTTGAAAGGACAGCAGAATATGAGAAGTAACACAGAGACATGGGAAGAGCCAAGGTGGGCTGCTCCACACCTGAAGACTCATCCTATTACTGAACCTCAGCACTGTTTACACATCTGGCCTCAGAGGCCTCAGAGCCCCTCCACACAGCCACAGCTGCACTGATGTGGGGTTGTGGGGACATCAACGTTGCTAGGAAGCGTAGAGTAGCGAGGCCCTCTCGGGGGAGCCCAGAGGCTTACAAGGAGCCTGGGTAGAGCTTTGCTCTCTACTGGTTTCCTCCTCTCTCAACAGTCCCTAATCTTGTCCACACAGGGTGCACGATATACAAGTGTGGCCTTATAACCTCTGGTTGCTTCATGTAATTTCTTCCCCAACTAAGCAGAAGCTCCTGGGATTTGATAAGGACCAGATTTTCCTCACGCCCTACAGTGCTGGAATGTAACAAGTACTTGTCACAGGTGGGCTATGAGGGGTGTTGACTATTACAAAAACATTTTCCACAAATGGCAAACACATGTCAAAACTTTTCCACTGTTATTCTTTGCCTTATAGCTTGTACCTGACACTCATCTATTTCTATCTTTGTTGGCTCATGCCCAAAGATGTCTGTTCCTATATCCATCTCAGGCTGGCAACTGGGTCCCTAATCTTTGTTAAGAAATACAAGCTCTGCCCACTTGTGGCAATACTGAAAGAGGATGTAGCCCAGGAGTCTCTGGGGGCAGAGGGAGGGAGTGTCTCCCCATACTGGGCTGGCCCACTGATAAGGATCCTTCCCCTCTCTGTCTCCTAACAGATTCAGATTAATGATCGCTCATTCCTAATTGTCAAATTTCTTTTCCTTCATCCTGTGTCTAATCACCAGTGACAGAAACCATTACGCAAATGAGAGCAGACGACTTCCCCCAACTGTTCACGTTGGTAAAAACCTTGTAATTTAGAGCTCTGATTTGTAGGGGAAGCTGGTCTCCCCCAGGCATCCTGGGCATCTGCTCAACTGATGCCCAGAACAGCCCCTCCTCCAACCCCAGAACTCCAACCCCCAACAAATATTTGACTTTACAAAACACTAGTTTTCTCTGTACCTGCTGGTGTGAATAGATGAGCCTGCAGCGTAGCTGACCTCTATACAGGCCCAAACCCCCACCTTCACTTGCTGTATGTGTGTGTCCCACACTGCCAGCTAGGATGGAGGTAAACAACTACAGCAGAAATGTTTCCTCTGTGGCAAGCAGAATTTGAGCCTAAACATCCCTCAAAAGGTAATCGAAGGGGAAAAACCTCATCTTTTCCTTGGGGGGAAGCAGCAGCTGAATATGAACCAAGACCCTTAGTGCCATCTAGAACTACAGCTTCAGTTCTATAGATGCAAAAGCATGCCGGGAGGAGTTATGGGTCCTATTCAAGGACACATAAGTAATGCAATTAGACACAGAACTCAGTTCCCCCCACAGCTTCTTCTAGCACTAATTCATAATATGGCTTCCCAGGCAGTTTTTCCAAGACTTTGTTAGCAGGAGCCCAGAAGAACTTTCACCCTGAGCTGTATATTCTGCACCATCTTGGGCTGGGTCTGCCTTCAGATACTGCCCAGTGGGGTGATATCTTGAGGACAGAACCTGTGGTACAAGGAGGGAGGTAAGGAAGGAAAATCAACATAGTTTGGTGGAAAGGAAGGAGCAAGGGGTTTGCAGCCTAACAGTGCTAAGTTACAACTGATTGTCACTAATCACCTAATCTCTCTGAGCCCATTTATTCATCTGTAAGTGAGAATACCTACCTTGCAGGATAGTGAGGAACAAAGAGAAAAGCACTAGGCACATATTAGGTGTCTAAAAATCAGGAATCACTCTTGTGTTACCCAAGGATCAAGGCCAATCCTGTGAAGGTTCCAAGATTAGCCTTCTCCCTCCCACCCCTCAGCCACCTTAGTGAGACCTGTGTCAGCAAATAACTCAGCAAGGACCAGCTGAGTGCATGCCTCCTTGACACATCACCCACATCTTTGAGCGCTGAGCGAGGAATACAGCAGACCTGCTGAGGAGAACGAAAATAATCTACTATCTTTCCAAGTGTGACTGTGGCCAAGTTTTTCCTCCGCTCCTGTGCTCCTCTTTCCCAAAAGAAGTGGAGAGATAGAGATCACTGCAATCACATTTCCCAGCATTGACTATATTTGAAAGAGCTACACTTGAGAAGGTACCATATCTTCACATCCACACTGCATCAGAGAACCCCAGAATGGGGTACTAAAAATAAACACCCCTCCCCAAAAAACGCACTCAGGCATGCACACACATCCACACGCATCCTCTCAGTTCATCAGTGCACTATAACTGAGCTTCAGGGGTGAGAGCCAGAGCTCAGATGCTGGAAGTAAACCTTTGGCAAAAAAAAAAAAAAAGAAAAGAAAACCAGAGACCTTCCAACTCCTCTTCCCTTCCAGAGAGAAGGTGATGAAGACAGGAGCAGAGGTGAGGAGACACAGGGCCACCACACTGCCCAATCCCAGGGACCCCACTCCCACTGAATAGATGTGAATGATGGCCCTTCAAGTTGTGCAATCACAGCTGCCCACCTGTAAGCTGCAGCCCTGAGAGGGGTTCCCAGGAGTAGCTCCTAACAGAAAAGGAAATTCGACTTCCATGCTCCACCAGTTGCCCTGACTATTGAGGGTGTTGTGGCACATTACAACGGGGTCTGGCAGAGGAGCTGGCTTTAAGACGCAAGCCTATGTGTTTGCCCGTGCCCTGAGGTGGATCACAGGTAGTGAATGAGCTGCCTGGGCTTGACCCCATTTCATCTATTCAGCCAGGAAGCTCAGCAGGAATAAAGGATATGGCCTGGGCAGGGAGCATCATAGGGCCTGGAGGCTCTAGCCAGTTAGCCTCGGGCAGGCTGCAGTGAGACCTGGCCAACATATGATGGCTAAAATCCAAGTGTAAAAGCTTAGGATAGGTCAGGCAGTACTTCCCGGGGGCTCACACTGTACTGTCCCACTGGAAAAGGTAAGCAGTGGAGAACCTTGGTAAGTAGGGAGGCTGGCCAGTGTGGACACACACACACACACACACGGACACACACACACACACGCACGCACACACACACACACACCCAGAGGCTTGCACCCCTAGTGTGGATACGCACACACAGACACACACAAACAAACACACAGAGGCTTGCACCCCTAGAACCTAGAGAAGCCACAGCTAGGAGAACTCCCTTGGTACCCAGCATAGGGGCAAGAGCTGGTGCTGAAAGAGAGAAACTATATGTGTCTCTAATTTAGAACTTATGCACAATCATTGGTTCTTATGTCCCAAGGTCCTTTTATGTATGGCTTGAGCTTGTAGGCCCAGTTGGAACCCTATCTAATCCTCTCTCACAGGAAGGCTATATAGGCTCTCAAAGGCAAGCCTCCCCTCTCTTTCACCCCATTAGAGTCCCGGTAGCCATTCCCATACCGCCTAGAGCTTGACTACGCAAAAACTGTCAGGAGGCAGACTGACCTAATGGTCAGACTAGCTCTGGCCCTGCAGCCCAGATGCAGTGGGGAGTCCAAGAGCATCTCATCTCTCTCTCAGGCTGAGGCACTGAGGTTGCAGGAGATAGGGCTGAGAGCCGGAAGTGACAGCCTGACCCAGAAGGAACAGGGAACAGATACATACATGCGTGTGCATGCACACACACGCACACATTCCGAAGTTGACAGACTAACATACACACAGACATGATGACAACCAAAAGCTGGGACTCCACACACTGAATGCAGGACTTTAGGCGGGGGGCAGAGAGAGAAGGTGCTGGGGCACAAGAGGCAAGGGTATGAAGTCCCTCCAAATAGGAGTGGAGTGCCAACTGCCCTGCCTCGCTCCAAACACCTGACTCCTGGGCCATGGCAAGAGTCCAGTCCATTAAGTGCAGCGTGCAATACTAGCGCTTGGAGTCTCCTGTCCTCATCAATGAAGCGGTGTGGACGGGATAGCAGTCACCTGGCAGGAGGCCTTGACCCCTGGCAGGCTAGTTGTATCGGCCCTTGATCATTGTGTTCAACAAGGGCCCCACCTGTAAAGAAACATGAGGAGCCAATCAGAACTGGCTGTTCCCTGGCCCTGGAATTGGACAGGGTGTGTCTGGAGACATCAGATGTCCAGCCAAGGACAGAGACAATGTTTTCATACAATCTTGTGAATCCTCTAATCACCTATCTTCCTGAAGGTCAACCCAGTATTCTGGGACATAGTCTTTCCCTCAGGGGTCCATCTTGTACTATTATTCTTCTCTCGCACAACACCGTCTCTTACCGTAATCTGCCCCAAACGGACAGACATGGTCAGAGAAGCTAATAATCCCCGAACACCCAAGAGTGTCTATATGTTTCTCCAGAATGTTAACTGCCTCCATATCCTCAAAAAATGATCATCTGCAACTGGGGCTGATGCTATCTCCCAACACCACAGGTGTCTGTGGATGCTGAGGTTACCTCCAAGAGGCAAGCAAGAACCCTACAAATACAAACCTCCCCCATTTACCCAATGGGCCACTGGCACACCTGCATGGGAAGCAGGTCTCTCAACATTACCTACAGCAGCCCTGGCACAGCTGGGAAAGTGCAAGGAGATGTGTTAGTGCTCGCTTCCTGTTCCAGAAGAATCCCCTCAGGGGGTCCCCAGATGGTACATAATACCCATGGGGAACATTACTACTAGCATGGAACTAATTATAATTGATCTGCCAGTCAAGCCCAGCTATCACCAGAAAACAAGAATTTTTCTGAACATACCCATAACCTCTATGGAGAGAGAGGACACCAGACACTGAAACACAGAAGCTGTAAAGAATGTCGCTCTGATCCTGACTTTCCTTGGTCAACCCACCCACTGAGCCACCTTGGGGCAGTCACCTACCTCTTGTGGGTTCCCCAAGGCCTCTCCAAGCATCTTCTCAATGTTTCTCATTATGGCCACTTTCTGATGAGCTTTGAGAGGATATTCAATTCTCTTAGGGGTGGGAGCCCCCTACAAAGGAAGCAGTAGCTCAGGAAATGCCTTTAGCAGCAGGCGTCAGTGTCACTCTACTGTTCTTAGTACCATCCTCCCTTCTAAGAAACCCAATTCTTGCCGGGCACGGTGACTCAGGCCTATAATCCCAGCACTTTGGGAGGCCGAGGCGGGTGGATCACTTGAGGTCAGGAGTTTGAGACCAGCCTGGCCAACATGGTGAAACCCCATCTCTACTAAAGATACAAAAATTAGCCAGGCATGGTGGTGTGTGCCTATAATCCCAACTACTCGGGAGGCTGAGGCAGGAGAATCACTTGAACCCGGGAGGCAGAAGTTGCAGTGAGCCGAGATCACGCCACTGCACTCCAGCCTGGGGAATAGAGCAAGACTCTGTCTCAAAAAATATATTTAAAAAAAAGAAACCCAATTCAATCCTGTCCCTTTCATCTCCCCAGACACCTGACAATCACTTCCAGGGATAGTCAACCATCCCATCCAAAATCATTTATTATACCTACCTCACCCAAGAGCCAGTTCCATCTGGAAAAAACAAAAAAAGCAAACCATATTCACCTTATACCAGAAGTTCACAGTGATGGTAATCCCCCCATTTAGTAATGACTCTATGTGATGCCACCTGCAAGAAAACAAACAGGCTCCTGTTTACTACTGATACTTTTGGCGGGGGCGGAGGGGCGAAGTGCGGGGGGGTGGCAGGGTTGGGCTGAAAAACTAGGTGGAGTCCAGTTACGGAAAATAGTGAAGACAATATCTTTACACTCATCCTGTGAAAAAAACACACACTTGGGGGTTAGAGGTACTGGTGTTCAGTCTCGAAATACCAAAGAGCCAAGAACAGTTTTTCTAGGCTCAAGCCTCCGGAATCTCTTTGGACTTGAAGAACCGTCATCCTGTCCTAGAGACAGGGCTATCATTCCCGCCACTATCCCCCACAGGTTCAGTACGCTCATGTCTGGATATGCCAACCTTCCTATAGACCACATAAAACCAATCATGCCATAACTCAGAAGCGACACAGACAAGGCTTTCCAGGGAATGGAAAAGAAAGCTCCCAAAAAGCCCCCAGCCCTAGCCCCCTTCTCACCAGTACATTGGGATGTAAAGAACATCACCAGGGCCAACCACTGTTTCGTAACCAACCACATTTTGGAAATTAGGGAACCTCTCGTAGTCGGGATTGTCAAAGTCCACCTAAGAGGTTCAAGAGAAAGAAAAAAAATATCAATCACCAAATCTTCACCAGTAAAACTACTATATGCCAGTTTGGCAGTAAAAACAAACAAACAAACAAAAAAAAAACGATGCCTTAAAAAAAGTATTTGGAATTTATATCCAGCAGAAGATATAATGCACATTAAACCCTGAGAGAGAACAATATAAGACAGTCCACATTTGAATGTTAAGTGATAAAGAATCCTAGGCTTCAGTGCTCCTGAGGTCAGACGACCTACTCCACAGCTGAGGATATGAGGAATTAGGAATTATCCTCCACCTAAACCTTCAGAAACTTTTCCCAAAAACATATTCTAACCAGCAAAGACTCCCACATGAAGTAGCTAGACAGCTTTCTGAAGAAAGGAAAGGATATCTTTGGCTGGCCACAGTTAACCACATACCTCATTTAGATCTAGGAAATACATTAAACAACATAGCTCAGTTTTATTCACCCTTCTTATCAAAAAGAAATAGCATCCATGACAAAAGCAAACAATGATTAAATCCAATGGAGACATACACATTTTGTTCCATAAACTTATAAGCCAATCAAACAGAGTAACCAGAGTCCATCAGCATCAATGACAGTGTCTGTCCTGAGAATTAGCTCTGTGGGGCTAGTTATACTTACAAACATCTGGTGGCCACTCCAGGGAGCCTGGAATATGTGAGCTACAATGAAATTACCCTCTTGGTGTGTTAAGGCAAGAACAGCCTGTAATCCGAACCTGGCATATCACTACGGGGAAGGGGAAAGACATTCCAGCCTAGGCATTACTAGAATCTAGAGTTCTATACCCTTCTCAGACCACACAAGCTCACCTGGCTCTGTCTGTCACATGGGTGATGAACAGGGTATGGGTAGAGGCACTCGAACTGATCCGGAGGGAATAAGATGCATCGTTTGTAACCTTTTATCTGAGCAAAAAAGTTCTGCTGCTCATCATAGTGAGCAGGTGTCACATTTCCTGTAAGAAGAAAGGCATTTTCTTATGCAGAGCAGTGGTTCTATTGCATAAGCTGGAATACAGGACCCAGTGCTAAAGAGAAACCCAGCCTGCCCTCCCAGCTAAAAGTTCCAAATCAAAATTTAGGCAGAATCAGGGAAATTCCAATTACAACTCTCAGAAAATTAGGTGTTAAGCTTGTATGGTAATAACTCTAGCAAACATCACTGGTTAAGGGTCCACTATCAGCTAAGTCAACTTCCCTAAATGAAGGCTGCTGCCCTTACTGGAAGCAAGAGCACATCAAAATGATCCTCAAAAATCAGGTAGGGTAATCAACTGTGTACACCGTGTACTCTTCTTGACTACGGCAGGAATTCAAGGAAAGCAAAACAGAAATGACTGGTATCAACAACATATACATGAGGAGTTAACCAGTCATTCTAAGTTGTATGATTATGTAGCTCTGTATTTATTTTGGGTAGCTCTGTGGAACTCAAAGATTCTCAACCTTTCCTCCCACTTCAATACACCTAACGAATGCAATACTTGTTTTTTTAAGAGATGGGGTTTCACCACGTTGCCCAGGCTGGTCTCCAACTTCTGGGCTCAAGTGACCTGTCCACCTCAGCCTCCCAAAGTGTTAGCATTACAGGCGTGAGCCACCACATCTAGCCAAGACAACACTTCTTAAAGCAACATTGGGGCTCACTGGTGCAAGTGATTTTCATTGGAGGAAAGAATATCAGATGACTGAAGAGAGTGCTGTGTAATTTAAATATGGCACATTATTTTAAATGCCACCTTGAATTAGTTGTGCCCTAGTGTATGTTCCATCTACTCCTTTCTAACTAGGACCACGTGTGTTGTTTGGCCTTTGCACAGTCCATGAGTTGAACACACACTTTTGCAGGGCATGGAATTTAGACAATCTTCCCCAGCTCTGTCTGGGTATGCCAAGACAGATGCTTTCTTAAGTGATGAGAGTCCACATGCATCCTCAAAGCAGACTTGCTCTCTCATCTCTACCTGAGGGATCCACTTCCATGCACCCTACCACAGGAAACGCAGGCAACAGAAAGACATAAGAGTCAAGTAAACTGCCGGGCGCAGCGGCTCACGCCTGTAATGCCAGCACTTTGGGAGGCCAAGGCGGGGGATCATGAGGTCAGGAGATTGAGACCATCCTGGCTAACACGGTGAAACTCCGTCTCTATTATAACTATAAAACAATTAGCCGGGCGTGGTGGCGGGCGCCTACAGTCCCAGCTACTTGGGAGGCTGAGGCAGAAGAATGGTGTGAACCGGAAGGCAGAGCTTGCAGTGAGCTGAGATCACGCCATTGCACTCCAGTCTGGGCGACAGAGCGAGACTCTGTCTCAAAAAAAAGAGTCAAGTAAACCAGAACTGGCTCTTTCTTGGCAGGTCAACCAAGAGTTGGTTTCAAAGGGGCAGGTAAGACTAGCCACAGTGGCTCACGTCTGTAATCCCAACACTTTAGGGGGCCAAGGTGAGAGGATCACTTAGGGGGCCAAGGTGAGAGGGGGCCAGGAGTTCGAGACCAGTCCGGGCAACATAGGGAGACCCCCATCTCTACAGAAAAATACTTTAAAAATTAGCCAAGCATGGTGGCTTACGCCTGTAGTCCTAGCTACTTGGAAGGGTGAGGTGGGAGGATCGTTTGAGACTGGGAGGTCAAGGCTGCAGTGAGCCCTGATCATGCCACTGCACACCAGCATGGGTGACAGAGTGAGACACTGTCTCAATAAAAAACAAAAACAAAAACAAAAAAAGAGGCAGGTGGTATCAATTCACAAGCCACATGGCCGGAAATCTTTATTAGTACCAGCAGCAAAGGATCCAAATCTGAAGAACAGACAATCAAACAAGAAGAAACCAAGGAGCTAAGTGGTGAATGACAATAAATAACTTCTCTGTTTCCTTGTTCAACCCAGGTTATTCACCATTTACTAAGTACCTACCATGGGCCTGGCATTGAGCTACTGCGAGAAATAAAAATAAGAATGAGACAATGACCCTGCCTCATAAAAAGCTCTCATTCTCCTGAGTGGAGTTTAAGGGCCTCTCCTTTCATTCAAAAGAAAAAAAAAAAAAAAAAAAAAAACACATTCACATATTTATTAGTGTATGCATAAATTTCTCTAGCAGAAAACACAAGCAACTAATAATATGCAGTACCTCCAGGGAGGAAATTGGGAGGCTAAGAGACAGGGGTAGTTATCACTATGTACCTATTTACACCTTTTGAATTCGAACTCCATGAATGTATTATCTATTTAAAAGATAAAGTTGAATTTGCCAGGCGCGGTGGCTCACGCCTGTAATCCCAGCACTTTGGGAGGCCGGGGCAGGTGGATCATGAGGTCAGGATATCGAGACCATCCTGGCTAACACGGTGAAACCCCATCTCTACTAAAAGTACAAAAAAAATTAGCCAGGTGTGGTGGCGGGCGCCCGTAGTCCCAGCTACTTGGGAGGCTGAGGTGGGAGAATGGCGTGAACCTGGGAGGCGGAGCTTGTAGTGAGCCGAGATCGCGCCACTGCACTCCAGCCTGGGCGACAGAGCGAGACTCTGTCTCAAAAATAAATAAATAAATAAAAACAATAAAGTTGAATTTACACTAAAAAAATAAGTTTCTCCTCTTTCACAGGGACAAAAATTGTCTGAATATAGACAGATCTAGTAGAGAAAAGTGGTACAGTCATGTGCCACATGATGACATTTTAGTCGACAACAGATTGCATCTACGATAGTGCTCCCATAAGATTATGATGGAGCAGCCCTATACAGGTATACCGTTTTTTATCTTTTTTTTTTTTGGCAATAAAAAAATTCCCAAACTACCATTTTTTAACCTTTATATACTTTTTTCTTTTGTCACCTTTTTCCTGCAGTATCTGATACCGTACTTTTACTATACCTTTTCTATATTTAGGTATGTTTAGATACACAAATACTTACCATTGTGTTAGAATTGACTATAATATTCAGCACAGTAATATGCTAACACCATGTAGTACATGGTTTAGTCAGAGGCTACACCATATAGCCTAGGCATATAGAAGGCTACACAATCTAGGTTTGTGTAACTATACTCTATGGTGTTTGCACAATGATGAAGTCACCTAACAACACATTTCTCAGAACGTATCCCTGACATTAAGCATCACATGTCTGTATTTCAGAGAGGTCCCTAATATCTCAGTATACACACTCACATAACAGCTGAGGAAGGGAAAAGGGAACTTTTTAGAATACACGAAACTAGCTTAAAGACTCGACATAAGCCGGGTATGGTGGCACACGCCTGTAGTGTCAGCTACTTGGGAGCTAAAGCAGGAGAATCACTTGAACACGGGAGGCGGAGGTTGCAGTGAGCCGAGACCACACAACTGCACTCCAGCCTAGGCAACAGAGTGAGACTCTGTCTCAAAAAAACAAAACAACAACAACAAAAAAAAACAGACTCGACATACATTATTTCATTTAATCTTCACAACTTCACAACTATTTACAAGACATTATCATGTTTCATTTCTTTTCATTTTTCCTTTTTTAAGCAATAGGATCTCACTCTGTTGCCCAGGCTGCAGTGCAGTGGTGCAATCATAGTTCACTGTAGCCTCAAACTTCTGGCTTCAAGCAATCCTCCTGCCTTGGCCTCCCAAAGTGCTGGGATTACAAATATGAGCTACCATGCCTGGCCCTATTATGTTTCTTTTTCTTTCTTTTGAGACAGAGTCTTGCTCTGTCGCCAGGCTGGAGTGCAGTGGCGTGATCTTGGCTCACTGCAACCTCCACCGCCTGGGTTCAAGCAATTCCCCTCTCTCAGCCTCCCGAGTAGCTGGGACTACAGGCACGCACCACCATGCCCAGCTGATTTGTTTTCTTTGTATTTTAGTAGAGACGGGGTTTCATGATGTTGGCCGGGATGGTCTCCATCTCCTGACCTCATCATCCACCCACCTTGGCCTCCCAAACTGCTGGGATTACAGGCGTGAGCCACGGCATCCAGCCCCTATTATGTTTCTTTTAGAGCTGAGTAGGCTGAGGCTTAAGAAAGTGAAGTGGCTTGTTCAAAGTCATGGAGCTAATAAGCGGTGAAGACAGGATTAGAAATCAGGTTCATATGACTCCAAGCCATGCTGCTTTTGAAAGATTTCTTACCTTCCATGCCAATGAGCAGCAGGTTAGAGGTAAGCTGCCCCCAGCCACGCTTTCCCTGTTGCTTATTAATCCAGTTCCAGTTAAAACCTAAGAAGTCCATGACAATCTTCCTGCCCACAGTGTCATTGAGCGTTTGCTGCAGATACAACCTATGTTCCCCAAGAAGAAAATCCTATTAGTGCATGCACACACAGCCCCTGGCATGGCCTCTCCACATCTGAAAATCCAAGCCCAAATCCATACCAGCATCTCCCACAGAGAACAGATGTAGTCAGGCAAATTTTAGCCAACATGGATTCTCATACAACTGAATTCTTACTTATCCTTCATTGAGTTATGTTCAACACCAAATTTTTTAATTTACTGGTTTTTCTTTGTTTTGTTTAAAGAAACAAGGTCTCAATATGTTGTCCAGGTTGGTCTTAAACTCTTGGGCTCAAGCAATCCTCCTGCTTCTGCCTCCCAAAGTGCTGGGATTACAGGTGTGAGACACTGCATCTGGCCCCCAAACTTTTTCTTTAAAGAAGTGATGCTTAACCTTTTTTGGGTCACAGAATGACTCCTTTAAGAATCCAAAGAGTAGGAGGGTGAGATGAAAAATAAAATTAAAAAAAAAAAAAAGAACCTGGAGAAGAAGTCCCAGCTACTCAGGAGGCTGAGGCAGGAGAATCACTTGAACCTGGGAGGCAGAGGTTGCAGTGAGCTGAGATCGTGCCATTGCACTCCAGCCTGGGTGACAAGAGCAAGACACCATCTCAAAAAATATAAATACATAAATAAATAAATAAAAGAATCCACGGAGGTTCCCCATAAAAATGCACATACACCCAGAACTTTCACACAATTTCAGACTCCTAGAAGCCTATCCACAGACCCTAGAATGATGAATCAGTCTCACTCCAGAGACTCGCAGAGCCTGAGACATCTCCGTTGGCCCTTGATGACCACTGTGGTAAATTGTATTACTGTTCACCAAGAGCTGGTTCCCTCAGTGTGCGAGTTTTCTTTCACATCCCCTTGAAGCCAGGCTTGCTTATTTACGCTGCTCTGGCCAAGGAAATGTCCACAGAAGCGACTTGTGTTGTTTCCAACTGTAATTTAAGAACAAGTTACCACTACCACATCTCTTTCCTTCTGCCACAGCAACTCCAAAGTTCTAGATAGTAGCTGCTGGGGCAATCTGGGTGCCAGAGCAAGTAAGATGATGTAAAGAACAATATGACATTACCCATGATCAACATGTAGTAAGTGAGAAATAAGCCTCTGTTGTTTCTAGCCCGAGCTCTGGCTTGAAGCCTAGTTTATCTTAACTGATTCAGCCACCTATCCTGTTGCAGCCTTCTACAGCTAAAGTAAGGAAGATAGCTTATTAGGTAAAGGCCTCAGGCTCCTAACATACCTGAGGAAGGTCATAAGTTACTTAAGAGATATGAAAACCCAGACACACTTGAACAAGCCCACAAGAGACATTTAATAAGTGTGCAAACCTAAAAAAAAGACAGAAGCATCTCTGTCCTGGTCCTGAGATCATTATTTCAAAAGGCTCAAAGAGGCCAGGTGCGGTGTCTCACGCCTGTAATCCCAGCACTTGGAGAGGCCAAGGGAGGTGGATTGCCTAAGCTCAGGAGTTCGAGACCAGCCTGGGCAACATGGCAAAACCTTATGTATTTAAATAAATAAATTGGTTATTAAAAATACACAAAATTAGCTGGGCATGGTGGTGGCAGCACATGCCTGTGGTCCCTGCTACTTGACAGGCTGACGTGGGAGGATCGCTTGAGCCTGGGAGGTGAAGGTTGCAGTAAGCTGAGATCATGCCACTGCACTCCAGCCTGGGTGACAGAGCAAGACCCTGTCTCAAAAAAAAAAAAAAAAAAGAAAGGTTCAAAGGCATCTCATCTCACTGCCTAGAATCACAATGTTTAAGGCAATGTTAATCAGAAATCTTTTTTTTTTTTTTTTTTGAGACGGAGTCTCACTGTCACCCAGGCTGGAGTGCAGTGGCGCAATCTTGGCTCACTGCAACCTCTGCCTCCTGAGTTCAAGCAATTCTCCTGCCTCAGTCTCCCAAGTAGCTGAGACTACAGGCACGTGCCACCATGCCCAGCTAATTTTTGTATTTTTAGTAGAGACGGGGTTTCACCACGTTAGCCACGCTGGTCTCGAACTCCTGACCTCAGGTGATCTGCCTCCCGAAGTGCTGAGATTACAGGTGTGAGCTACCATGCCCAGCCTTAATAGGAAATCTTGATGAGTTGGAAACACTACCTTTGTAGGAACATGAAATCCTCAAGACTCAATGCAACGCTCCCCAAAGATAATAATTATATATTCACCCAAAAAATATGCAAGTAACTTTGAAAGAGTCAGTGATACTGCCCATATATGAATCTAAACAATATTATGATTACACCAGAATGGTTAATGCTCAAAATAGCTCAGAGGATCCTAATACATTTCACCCCATAGTCGCCACAACCTGTCCAATCAGGTTGAAGTGAAGCTGACTGGTGAAGCTGCTCGGTGCTAAAGTCAGCTGATAGGGTAAAACTTCCAAACAATTAAAGATTTTCCTTGAAAACTCTTTAATCACCCATAAAGTACAGATTACACTCATTCTTATGCAAAATGCTCTCACTATGGGACACAAGAAACTTCAAGCGACTGAAGAACCACAAGATTCACATATCTTATGCTTATTCTTGGGTATATGTTCATTCAATGGAATTACACACTCCAACAGCATCATTTAAATCAATCTTTCTCTCAATGTTGGGTGTGTGTATATGGAAGTGTGCACACACACACTGTGTTAAATTTTAGAAAATTAATGCATGAGATAACTGAACCAATATATTAAGACATCATGGACAGATCGACCACAGTTCATATCTTGGAAACTCTTCTGGTCAAAAATCCCATCATTATGACAACTGCTAAGTGTTAAGAAGAAGAAAAAAAGATATTTCAAATCCATTCACTTAGCCACAGACTGCTGATAAGGAGTCAGGAACAGGAGTGAGTGAAGCAAGAGACTAGAGAGAAACCCAGGGTTGGACACCAAATGCGAGAGGGTAATTCACCGTGAAGTACTGAGCGAAAGCAATTCCCCAGAGGCAGTGTTATAGTGTGGGACTGAATACTGTCTCGGACCTACATAAGAGGCTGTCCTCATAAGCAGGAATAAAAGCAGAGAGGAAGAATCACTGTCTTGTGTGTCTTGTGTTGCTGTTGTGATAGGAAAAACAAATTTAATCTGATCTTCCCTAAGCTAGAGAATCCTAACCTTCTTTACTGCAGAATCACAACAAACTATACAACTTTTCAGGTTGAACTATCCTCAGTCATCACAATACTTAAGGACAATGGCTACAAACAGGCATTTTCAGAGCTAAATCCAGTGACAAACATTTTTGTTTGGCCCCCTGCAACTTTTTTTCTTTAAATCTGATTTAGTTGCTCCATTTAAAGTCAAAAGATTTTAAATAAAAATCCTGATTTTGAACTTCTCTTGAAAATCGGAATATCTCCCAACCCTAGAACTGCACTCCAAAACTGAAGCAAGCAGAGTCAAGTAATGACCTCTCACCATGGTTTTTTGTTTTAGTTTTTAATTTTGCAGAGACTAGCTCTCACCACGTTTCCCAGGCTGGTCTTGAACTCCTGGACTCAAGCAATCCTCCCACCTCGGCCTCCCAAAGTGCTGGGATTACAGGCATGAGCCACCCCCGCCGGCCTTGGCTTCTCACTTTGAACAAGGCTTATGCCTTCAGCCTCATCACTGATTTCACACAGACGATATTACTCCTTCCATTCACCTGCCTGACCCTTCTAGGCAACTAACTCTTTATGAGGAAGAAGATGGGAACCCAGAGATTCATAGCTCAAGTTTAATCATTCCCTCATCCCTCAAGCTACAGAACTAGCTGGCTGTAGCACCAAGAACCACTAAGAACTCAAACCCCTTAAAGGCTGGAAGACCAGACTACTCCTTCAACTGGAATCCAGAGATGGGAGAGGCCAATCTCTAATTGACCCAATTCTGCCACACCTTCAAACAAGTATAGGAAAGAAAAATGAGTGTCCTAAATCCAACAGAAAATTAAGCTTTCGGAATTTACCTCTCTTCCCCTCCTCGCTGCTGTATATCCTGCAGTTTCTCAACGAACTCATGAAATTTCATTTCTTCCCTGTTGGACCTCGGCTTAAAGTTCTGGAAATTGGCCATCTTCTTCTCATCATAGTACAAGAACTTGTGGGTGCTGGCACTGTACACAGAGAAGTCTCCATTGCCAATATTCTCTTGCAGGTATTCAAGGTCCCATTTCAGGGCAGGATACACAAGATTTGTGTCGGTCAGCACCACAGGCTCCTAAATGAAAACAACAGGTGAAAAACACCAAATGAAGTAATGCCAAGGAGCCGGTGGGTTGGCCTCCATGATCCCAACTACTTCTCAACTTCAGAATAATTTCTCCTGTTAATCAGCACGAACCCCTAAGTTCCGTATCTCCTCGCCTTTCTCTCCATCTTCCCATAGGCCCTAGTCTAGAGCCCTGCCAGTCTCCCATCTCTTTCACCATTCACCTCTGACCTCTCAACCGGGTACCTTCCTCCTCTCCCTTTAGACGCGGCCCCGCCCCCCACCTCATTCTCAATAAGCTCCTCTGCCCGGGGGTCGCTCTGACTCAGACGCGGAATGGGCCTAGTCGGGAAGCTATAACTGCGCAACTGGGATTCATCCCAGGCGGGGCCGAGGGCTCCAGCCTCCTCCCGGGGCTCTCCAGAGCCAGAGGCCACAGCCTCCGCCGCTGTCGCCGCCATCTCCGCCGCCAGGGACGGCCCCCACCGGAACCGGAAGCTCCGCCTATTCCGGACCCCAAAAAAAAAAAAACAAAAAAACCACACACCCAACGGAAACCATAGAGATGAGCTGCGAGAGAGAGCGGTCCAGAGACATAAAGAACGCGGAGCCGAGGCCTGAGGGTGCGCCTCCTAATGGTAGTATGCAGCTCTACATCCTAGGCTCCACTGCTGAAGAAATGGGGCTAGACACTAGTCCCACGGAATAGGGACGACCTGGTAGAGCAAAACACAAAAAAAGTTGCCCCATGTGCCCGAGTCTACACAAGAGTCAAAGAAGGAAGCAAGTTCAGTTAGGCATTAAACTTTACACTCATGAATGGGGAGAAAAGCAAACTCTTGACCCACCTAAAGAAGTCAGAAGGAAAAGCAGTGATCACATTGGTAGATGTAGAGCAAAGGCTGACTGAAGGCTTAGGCAAAAGATATACAGCAAGTTGAATTCTTTCAAAATCAAAGACAGTTTTCTTTTGTTTAGCATCATTTGATTTTTCTGCCTATATCACCATGTCTCCTACTTGAATATATGTTTGCCGTGAATCGAATGTTATTAGAGGCCAACCATGGACATCTCACATTTTCAAACAATCTATACTGATTATAAAAGGCCATATTAATACCTCTATTGCTTACTTGGACAGTTCTTATGGCTGGCTGTGAGAGGCCCAATTCTAAGATGTATCCCAAGATTTGTACCCTACGGTGTACACATCCTGTATACATTTCTCCCCTTAAAAGAAAACACGACTGTGAATATGATAGAGCATCACTCCTGTAATTAGGTTAGCTTATATGACAAGGATGTAATTAAAGTCCCTAATCAATTAACTTTAAGGCAGTCAAAAAGAGGTGATTTATCCTGGTGGGCTTCATCTTATCACTCTAGCCCTTTAAATCAGGGCTAGAGGTCAGAGACAGAATCTAAGAGATTTGAAGCCACAGCACAGCTGTCCTGTTCACCTTGAAGGAGCAAACTGCCATATGGCAGGAAATGGCAGGTGGACTCTAGGAGCTGAGAAAGGCTCCTGGGTGACAGCCAACAAGAAAGTGGGCACCTTAATCCTACAAATGCAAGTAACTGAATTCTGGCAACAACCACTGAACTTGGGAAAGGACACACACGGAGCCTCAGATGAGATCGCTAACCCAGCCAACACCTTGATTTCAGCCTGATAAGACCCTGAGCTGAGGACTCAGCCAACCAGTACCTGGACTCATGGAATATGTGAGAAAATAAATTGGTGTTTTGGGCTGCTAAATTTACAGTAATTTGTTATGCAGTAATAGAAATGAATGCACTGGCTTAACTATGTAATTATGCTACATAGTAACCATGCTACACCAAACCGATAATAGGGCTACCTCTGTGGAAGTGTTTGAGGCTGCAGGGGGCAATCAAGGCTTTCATTTTATCTGCAGTGTTTGAATTTTTTTTTTTTTTTTGAGCTAGGGTCTCACTCTGTCACCCAGGCTGGAGTGCAGTGATGCAATCTTGGTTCACTGCAACCTCCACCTCCCCAGCTCAAGCAATCCTCCTACCATAGCCTCCCAAGTAGCTGGGACTAAAGGCACACACCACCATGCCGGACTAATTTTTTTTCCTTCTGTAGAGAAAGGGTTTTGCCATGTTGCTCAGGCTGAATGTTTGAATTTTTACAAGAATGTATTAATTCATAACCTTGGGAATTAAAAATAAATTAGGCCAGGCATGGTGGCACATGCCTGTAATCCCAGGACTTTTCAAGGCTGAGGCAGGAGGATTACTTGAGCCTGGGTGTTCCAGATCAGCCTGGGCAACATAGCAAGACCTCATCTCTACAAAAAATTTTAAAAATTAGCTCGGTGCGTTGATGCATGCCTGTAGTCCCAGCTACTAGGGAGGCTGAGGTAGGAGGATTGTTTGAGCCTGGGAGGTGCAGGCTGCAATGAGCCATGATCATGCCACTGCACTCCAGCCTGGATGACAGAGCAAGATCCTGTCTTACTAAAAATAAATAAATTAATTAAGATCAAGAAGATTAAAAGAACTAAAATCAGTAATGAAACAGGGATATTACTGCTGACTTTACCCCCCAAAAAAAGCATATAAGGACATACTGTAAACAATTGTATGTCAAAAAATTACAGAACCTAGATGAAATGGACAGATTCCTAGAAAGGCACAAGCTATAATAGCTGATTCAAGAAGAAATGGAAAATCTGAATAGACCTGTAACAAGAGATTGAATTAGGAATCAAAAACATCCCATAAAGAAAAGCCCAGAAACTGGGCATGGTGGCTTACATCTGTAATCCCTACACTTTGGGAGGCAGAGGCAAGCGAATCACTTGAGCCCAGAAGGTCGCGACCAGACTGGGCAACATGGAGAAACCCCATCTCTACCAAATCCCCCCAGCCAAAAAAAAAAAAAAAAAAAAATTAGCAGGCATGGTGGCACGCCTGTAGTTCCAGCTATTCGGGAAGCTGAAGTGGGAGGATCACTTGAGCCCGGAATGTGGAGGTTGCAGTCAACTGAGATTGCACCACTGCACTCCAGCCTTTTGAGACAGAGCTAGGCCTTGTCTCAAAAGAAAAGAAAAGGCTGGGCACAGTGGCTCATGCCTGTAATCTCAGAACTTTGGGAGGCCGAGGTCGGGGGGACCACCTGAGGTCAGGAGTTCGAGACTAGCCTGGCCAACATGGTAAAACCCCCATCGCTATCAAAAATACAAAAATTAGCCAGGCATGGTGGTGCACGCCTGTAGTCCCAGCTACTTGGGAGGCTGAGGCAGGAGAATCGCTTGAATCCCGGAGGCGGAGGTTGCAGTGAGCTGAGATCGTGCCACTGACTCCAGCCTGGGCAACAGAGCAAGATTCCATCTCAGGAAAAAAAAAAAAGAAAAAGAAAAAGAAAAGCTCAAGACCAGATAGATTTACTGATGAATCCTACCAAACATTTTTTAAAAAATTAACACTGGTCTGGGTGCAGTGGCTCATGTCTGGAATCCCAGCACTTTGGGAGGCCACGGCGGGTGAATCACGAGGTCAGGAGACCGAGACCATCCTGGCTAAAACGGTAAAACCCTGTCGCTACTAAAAATACAAAAAAATTAGCCGGGCATGGTGGCGGGTA
Source organism: Homo sapiens (assembly GCF_000001405.40). Classification (NCBI taxonomy): domain Eukaryota; kingdom Metazoa; phylum Chordata; class Mammalia; order Primates; family Hominidae; genus Homo; species Homo sapiens. The sequence goes on along the minus strand of NC_000010.11, from coordinate 100,532,806 downwards.
CCTGTAGTCCCAGCTACTCAGGAGGCTGAGGCAGGAGAATGGCGTGAACCTGGGAGGCGGAGCTTGCAGTGAGCCGAGATTGCACCACTGCACTCCAACCTGGGCAACAGAGCGATACTCCGTCTCAAAAAAAAAAAAAAAGAAAGAAAGAAAACTATAGACCAATATTTCTTATGAATATAGATGCAAAAATCCTAACAGAATACTAGCAAACTCAGTGTAACACCATATAAAAGAATTATATACTATGACCAAGTGGGATTTATTCCAGGAATGCAAGGTCAGTTCAACATCTCAGAATGATCAATATAACACACCATGTAGTAATCAATATTTTATTGATTAATATTTATAATCAACATAATACACTATATTAGTAAAAGAAAAAACCCTACATGATCATCTCAATAGACACAGAAAAAGCTTTTGACAAACCCCAACACCCCTTCCTGATAAACACAGGGTTCCAAATGATACTGTAAAAAAGCAAAAAAACCTACAGAGTCAGAGAAAATATTTATGAATTGTGTATCTGATCAGGGAATTGTATCTAGAATACATAAAGAATCCTTACAACTCAACAATAAAAAGACAAACCAATTTAAAAATGAACAAAGGGTTTGAACAGATATTCCTCCAAAGAAGGTATACCATGGCCAATAAGCACATGGAAAGATGCTCAGCATTATTAGTCATCAGGGTACTGCAAATGAAAACTGCAATGAAGTACCATTCACAGGCACTTGCATGGTGATACTAAAAAGAGACAATAACAAGTGTTGATAAAGATGTGGAGAAACTGAAACCCTCTCACACACTGCTAATGGGGATGTAACATGTCACAGCTGCTTTGAAAAACAATTTGGCAGTTCTTCAAAAGTTAAACCACAGAGTTACCCTATGACCCAGCAATTCTACTCCTAGGCATATAACCAAAAGAATAGAAAGCATACATCCAGACAAAAACTTATACAAGAATGTTCACAGCAGCATTATTCACAATAGCCAAACAAGCAGAAACAACTCAAATGTCCATTAACTGATAAATGTATAAATAAAATATTGTACTGTACATTCATATAATGGAATATTATACAGCCCAAAAAGGAATGAAGTACTGATATGTGCTACAACACAGACAAACTTTGAAAACATTATTCTAAGTGAAAGAAAATGGACACAAAAGGCCACATATTGCATGATCCATTTATATAAACTGTCTGAATAGGCAAATCCATAGAAACAGAAAGTAAATTAGTGGTTGCCAGTGGGTAGAGGTAGGGGCAACGTGCTAATGTGTATGGGTTTTTTCGGAAGCAATAAAAATGTTTTAGATAGTGATGATGATTGCACAACTTTGTAAATGTACTAAAAATAACTACTGTACACTTTAAAAGGTTTTTTTGTTTTTGTTTTTGTTTGTTTGTTTTTTGTTTTTGAGACAGTCTCACCCTGTCACCCAGGCTGGAGTGCAGTGGCGTGATCTCGGCTCATTGCAACCTCCATCTCCTGTGTTCAAGTGATTCTCTTGCCTCAGCCTCCTGAGTAGCTGGGATTACAAGTGTACACCACCATGCCCAGCTATTTTTGTATTTTTAGTAGAGATGGGTTTTTGCTGTGTTGGCCAGGCTGGTCTTGAACTCCTAACCTCAAGTAATCTTCCCACCTCAGCCTCCCAAAGTGCTGGGATTACAGGCGTGAGCCACCGCACCCGGCCTAAAAGGGTGAATTTATGGTATGTGAATAATATCTTAATAAAAATAAATAAATTAGATCAACTCTGTTTCTTGACCTAAATTGGATCAGGGTTTGCTATTGGTTGAATGCAGATGTTGTGCAATTATTCTGAACATCAACTAGTGATGTCATTTACAAGACAGCAAGTTGCTGTGTAGTCCTTCCCAAAATTTATATATTAAATAGTATATATCCATATTTGTTTACTTTTTATAACTTAAAAAAAAAGAGACGAAGTCTCACTATGTCACCCAGGCTGGTCTCAAACTCCTGGTCTCCAGCCATTCTCCAACCTAGGCCTCCCAAAGTGTTGGGATTACAGGTGTGAGCCACAGCTCCCAGCTTATATGCATTTTTATTGCTCTGATATATACTTGAGAATGTTTATAATAATAGGTTCTGCTCCAAAACAGTGGTCACCTGAAAAGTCACTGGAAATACGTGCATATTTATAATGTGTAAGTTATTCAAATCCCAAGTGAAAACATTCATATGCAAACATAATAATGTCTCCAATTCTTCTGTTGAGTTAGTTTGTTCATTATGGGCCGGTTTGTAATTTGTTTTATCCAAGTCCTACCAACTCTGAGGCTTTAAGCTGTCTCTGGAGAGCTGCCTCTGGTGATAAGTTTAATTTTACATTTGTTGGGTTGAGGTGACTGAGACATGCAGATGGAAACACGGACTGAAACTAAGGAGCCAATTCAGGGCCGAATTGTGTGTTGCACTGGCGTCTAAGTGAAGATCAACCCATTTGGAGAACAGAACAACAAGCAAGACCAACAGGTGAATTTGAAGAATGATCATGTTTGGGGATGGAAGGAAGTGCCCGTGAAGGAGAGGAAAGCAAGCAGCCAGAGAAGAGAGTAAGACAGGCTCATTTCACTAGTACAGCTCCTGGGGGAGGTGGTTAAGCTGTCTACCTGAGTTGCTCAGGTTCCGAGTTCCCATCATCCCTGGATGGGTCTAAGTCAGCTCAGGGAGAAAAAGGACACAACATTCTGAAATGTCAGAGACCTGCCTGGTTTTCCCTTCTTCCCGCTTATCCTTCCCAGCCTCTATCCAACCCTTGGCTTCCCAACTGCGTATTTAAACCCCGCCCCTGTTGAACCCTTCGGCTTTTCTTCACTCCCGGCTTCCTCCGTCACGTTTGGCCCGGCTCAGCCGCCGTGACAGGCCTTTGCGCATGTGCAGAAGGGAAACGTGAAGAAGGTGAAGATGGCGGTGGCCAGGGCCGGGGTCTTGGGAGTCCAGTGGCTGCAAAGGGCATCCCGGAACGTGATGCCGCTGGGCGCACGGACAGGTCCGCGAGAACGGGCGAGACCTCAGTGTGGGAAGGGGGTACCTGAAATTTGGTGTATCGGGAGGGGGGATCGTAGATGCCGCGGCGGCAGCCTCCGGGTAGGGAGTGGAGGTGGCGTTGATATATCCAGAAAATGGGGTGGAGGATCGCACTGATCCTGCGAAGTCCCGGGCTCGGACCTCTGCAGCCCCTGCGACTTGAAGCCTTCGGAGCGGCTGGAGAGCGGGCTCGCTTCTGACCTGTTCTCTTCTGCGTTCTAGCCTCCCACATGACCAAGGACATGTTCCCGGGGCCCTATCCTAGGACCCCAGAAGAACGGGCCGCCGCCGCCAAGAAGTATAATATGCGTGTGGAAGACTACGAACCTTACCCGGATGATGGCATGGGGTGAGACAGAGAGGGTATGCTCGCACCCAAGTAGTGATGGGAGAAGGCCGGCTGGGTTGGGTGGCTTGACTGTGACCCTTTTTCCCGAACCTTCTCGTGACCCCTCAGAGTCAATGGAGTGGGTGCTTTTCTCTGTGGAGGGAGGTGGGAGGGGGGTGGGTGAGCAGCTGCAGCTGAGAGGACTTCAATTTTCTCCTTGGCTCAGGCTGTTTCCTCAAATGAGGAAGCCGAGGTTTTAATGGCTCCCTCGAGGACCCCCGAATAGCAGGAGCCTTCCTTGGCTCTATCCAGAGCGTCGAGTTTCATTTAGATTGAGCATCTGCTGCGCTCAGGTGCTGTCATCCAGGCATGTGACCAGGCTGGAGCTGGACTCCTGTCATGAGAATCTTATTTGTAAACGGAGTACTCTATATTTGTGTGTATGTCTCTTTAAAAAAAATGTTTTTCTGTTAGTGCTGTGGAAATCGTAGCAACTATTAAGCAGATTAAACAGCCAGCCCCCTTACGTACTCCAGTTGATGTTATCCTATCCCTTCCACACTCTTCCGTATCCATACCCACATAACATCCCAATGGTTAATTATCTGAAGTGATTATCATCGCCTTTATTTCCTGTCCTAATGTCACTCTTTCAATCTTGGTTTCAGCAACTTCTATTCTTCTTGTTATACACTCATTTTCTGTAGCATATGTCTAGTTGTCATCATTTCCTGTTTTTTCTTATGTTGTGGACAAGAGCAGCCTTGTTCGAAGCCAGTGTCAGATGAACCTGGATTTGTTGGGGAAAACCCAGCTTAGCAAGAGGTCCCATGAGGTGTTTGAGACGCAGAGATGAATGCCAACTGGGTGGTCAAGAACACAGTTATTACGAGAAGAGTGCTTTTCTAATCTGTACCCTTTTTGTTTTTATTCCAATTAGCTGGGTGACTTTGGATTCAGACTCTAAACTTTAATTTTTCATTTTCTATCTAATGAGGGAATCAGAGTACAGTCATATGTCACTTAACAACAGGGATACATTCTGAGAAATGGGTTGTTAGGTTATCTCCTCATTGTATGAACATTAGGAGTGTACTTACAGAAACCTAGATGGTATGGCCTGCTACACACCTCGGCTTTATGGTATGGCCTGTTGCTCTGAGGCCACAAACCTGTACAGCATATTGCTATACTTAATACTGTGGGAAATTGTAACACAATGGTATTTGTGTATCTAAACATAGAAAAGGTACATAAAAGTATGCTATAAAAGATAAAAAATGGGCCAGGCACAGTGGCTCACGCCTGTAATCCCAGCACTTTGGGAGGCCAAGGCAGGCAGATCACGAGGTCAGGAGATCAAGACCAGCCTGGCTAACGTGGCGAAACCCTGTCTCTGCTAAAAATACAAAAATTAGCTGGGCGTGATGGCAGGTGCCTGTAATCCCAGCTACTTGGGAGGCTGAGGCGGGAGAATTGCTTGAACCCGGGAGGTGGAGGTTGCAGTAAGCTGAGATTGTGCCATTGCCCTCCAGTCTGGGCAACAAGAGCAAGATTCCGTCTCAAAAAAGAGAAAAAGATAAAAAATGGTACATATGTATAGGGCAGCTTTATTATAAACTTATGGGACCCCCTTCGTGTATGTTGTCCGTCATTGACTGAAATGGTATGTGGCACATGACTGTAATTGATTGCTAAATTCCCTTTCATCTCTAATATCACACGATTGTGTGACTTTTTTTCTTTTTATTGAAAGAAGTTTGGGGAAGCTGGGTTTTTTTGTTTTGTTTTGTTTTTTTCAGACAGTTTCACTCTTGTTGCCTAGGCTGGAGTGCAATGGTGCGATCTGGGCACACTGCAACCTCCACTTCTTGGGTTCAAGTGATTCTCCTGCCTCAGCCTCCTGAGTAGCTGATATTACAGGCACCTGCCACCACACCCAGCTAATTTTTGTATTTTTAGTAAAGGTGGGGTTTCACCATGTTGACCAGTCTGGTCTTGAATTCCTGACCTTAGGTGATCTGCCCACCTCAGCCTCTCAAAGTGCTGGGATTATAGGCATGAGCCACCACACCTGGCCCAGGGAAGGCTTATGTACATTAAAATATTTCAGAGTTTGCCATGAACTTTTAAATACAGTGTGGACTTCTATGGTTAATTCTGTGCTTAGTGACTAGAACTTGAGCTCTTGCCTTGAGGTTTAGTTCCTTTGTCCTTAGGTGAGGCAGTTATCTCTGTCACTTTGTTTCTCATCTATAAGATGAGGAGACTCTGAATTGTCTGAGGCTGCTCACAGCCCTTTCCAGAAGTTCTTGCTGTCTTTCAGGTATGGCGACTACCCGAAGCTCCCTGACCGCTCACAGCATGAGAGAGATCCATGGTATAGCTGGGACCAGCCGGGCCTGAGGTTGAACTGGGGTGAACCGGTAAGAGAACCATATCTCATTTGACCTTCCTTCTCTCTTTGTCTTCTTGGCGATTCTTTAGCTCAGATGGCACTTCTTTGACCAAGTAACACTAAGCTTTCCTGCTCAAGGAAGCAAGGTCCAGTGATGTGAGATCTGAGATTGCATGTGGCACACTGAATGGGACGTCTGGGAATCATGAAACTCTGTACTGTGAAAGTTGTGCACTTCCATGATGGAGCTGTCCCTATTCAGCAGAACCTAGACAGAGGCCAGCATCTAATCCTGTAGGGCAGTGTGCCTCAGACCTGGTTCTCAGCATATTGTCCCAGGGCAGTAGAATGCTTCTGTCTAGCCTTGTATCAGGCTCTAATCACTGGGGACTTGCCTGCATTTTGCAGGAAGAGTAGTATGTGACAGCTATTTGTCTTTCTGCCTCAGATGCACTGGCACCTAGACATGTACAACAGGAACCGTGTGGATACATCCCCCACACCTGTTTCTTGGCATGTCATGTGTATGCAGCTCTTCGGTTTCCTGGCTTTCATGATATTCATGTGCTGGGTGGGGGACGTGTACCCTGTCTACCAGCCTGTGGTGAGTATCCGAGAAGTGCTCCCTTAGGCACGCTTGCTTAGCCCCATTTCCTGAGGGAGTGAAGTCTCTGGGGTAGGAATCCAGTCAATACCAAGCTTGGCTTCCTGGAGTCTTAGGAGATAGGAAGATAGGAGGGCCTTGACCCATTGGCCTGCCACAAGTACCACAGCACTTCTCCACCCCTACTTCTTGGACCAGTCTGGGTGAGTAGATACACTTGAAGACTAGATGAGCAATGAGTGTGTGGAAACCAGCTAGTCACCAGAGTTGCCATTTGGGGATTATATTTATTAACAATATTTCATTAAGTGATCTTTCACAGTAGAGTTAAGGAATCTTGAGTGAAAATCTTATCCTTTGTTGGACTTGTGAAGGGCACGTCCTGTAGTATATTGGAAGCAATTAAGAGTCTACTACAGGCATAGACTTACATTTTGGAGAATGTAAAGGACATAGAAAATGAATTCTCTAGCTTTAAGGAAGTTTAGTTAAGAAAATTTAGATAAGTTACATGAGCAACATTTGAACAGATATATGGGAATTCTGTACAATCTATGTGTATATATGTGTATAGTGAATGTATGTGCTTAGTGGTATGAGTTACTGTCAAGGAGAAGGGCTACCTAGATGCTAACACACACACACACACACACACACACACACACACACACACACACACACGTATGTGCTTAGTGGTATGAGTTACTGTCAAGGAGAAGGGCTACCTAGATGCTAACACACACACACACACACACACACACACACACACACACACACACACACGCTTTGGGTGGTGGGAAGTTGGAGAAAACATTTGGGGCAAGAGAAAACAATGAAGGCGGCCAGGTATGGTGGTTTGCGCCTGTAATCCCGGCACATTGGGAGGCTGAGGTGGGCAGATTGCTTGAGCTCAGGAGTTCAAGACCAGCCTGGGCAACATAGTGAAACCCCGTCTCTACAAAGTATACAAAAAAATTAGCCAGGCATGGTGGTGCGTGCCTGTAATCCCAGCTACTTGGGAGGCTGGGGCACAGGAATCCTTTGAACTTGGGAGGCAGAGGTTGCAGTGAGCTGAAATCACACTACTGCCCCCCAGCCTGGGCAACAGAGCAAGACTCTGTCTCGAAAAAAAAAAAAGAAAACAATGAAGGAAAAGGAGGGTGAGTTAGCTGGAGTAGAATAGAGGTATAGAATCGTTCCTAAATAACCGGCTGCATTGGTTTCCTGGAGACTTGCTAAAAACCCAGATTCCCAGGCCCCACTTCTTGGTGCTCCTAATTCAGTAGCATCACAGTAGGGTTCCAGAAGCGGTATTTTTAACAAGCTCCCAGGTAATTCTGATGTGCACCTAGATTTGGAAATCACTGTGTTAAAAAATATTGTGAGGTAAGTTGGTCAGTTAGGTTGGGCAGCTTTTATTTCATTGCTAAGGGATTTGGACTTGATGGTGTAATAAAGCATTAATTGAACAAATATTTATGGAGCCTGTACTATGTACCAGATGCAGACTGTGCTAGCGGTTGGGGATACAGTGATGACTTGGTCTGCCTCTAGGTGGCAGGGAGCCATTTTGGGTTTTCGAACAGAAAAGTGACATAATGAATGCTGAGTTCTTAGGAAGATTAATCCAGGAGTAGTCTCCAGGATGTACTGGAAGGAGAGAAGCTGAAAGCAGGGAGGCTGCTGTGTTTGCAGTTGGCTGCCCAGTGCTACCTCTGCAGAGACAATCAATGTCCTGAAGGTAGCTGGTATGTCTGTGTGCACTGACACGAGCCTTCCTACCAAGCCCCAGGGGCTCCATGCTGGAGAATGCACGTAGGGCTAGGGTGAGCACTAACTTCACTTCAGGAGAGCAAGGAACAGTGTGGCTCTTCCATTTTTCAGTTCTGTAAGCACATCACCCTTTTCTCCTCCCCTTGAGCTGTGTTCTCTGACAGCTGTTTGTTGGTAAAGCCAGCAGCCCCTAAAGCACGTCCCAGCCTTGTCTCCTCTGTGCTTTCCCCCACCACTGCTGCTGCACGCCTCATTTGCTGGGCCACTTTAGTGGTGGAACCATTAGAGGCTGAGTGACTTAAAGGAGATTGAGTCTGTCTCGACCCCGAGAGAGAGTGGGATGGATGGATGCATCGTCTCATTTAGAAAGTGTTGCCTCTGACTCTAACACACTCTTCTCTCTTTCTTTACCTCCCTCCCTGTCTTCCTCCCTTCCCCTCCTTTCCCTAACCCCCTTCCCTCCCCCTTTCTCCTTCTCTCTCACAGTGTAGGCACCACTTCTCTTACAATTTAGGCTTTCTCTCTGCCTTGGGCTGAGTGAGGAAGAGGAGTGCTGTTCCTGCCTTCCTAGCCCAGCTGGGTCTGACCAGAGGCTACTGTGTACCCATTTACCATGCGTGATTGTTAACTCAGAGTGGGGTGTAGCCAGGTATTGACTGAATGTATGTTCTTGCTGACCTGTGTTTTTTTCTGTAGGGACCAAAGCAGTATCCTTACAATAATCTGTACCTGGAACGAGGCGGTGATCCCTCCAAAGAACCAGAGCGGGTGGTTCACTATGAGATCTGAGGAGGCTTCGTGGGCTTTTGGGTCCTCTAACTAGGACTCCCTCATTCCTAGAAATTTAACCTTAATGAAATCCCTAATAAAACTCAGTGCTGTGTTATTTGTGCCTCATTTCCCCAGGAATAGTCACTGCCTTGAGGAACCTCATCCTTTTCCCTTTTTTTCTGCTTGATGTCTGCTGTCTTCCCTGTTTTCTTTTTCTGAAATTTAAAGGATAAGAGGGTGGGGTGGATGGGGACTTAGGCACAAAATGTTAATTTGTTAATTTCACTTGGGTTGTAAAGGTACTTAAGGGTTTTAGCTGTGTGGAGGTGTTAAGGGTCCCTCCTTTTCCCATTTACAGGGTCAAGGAAGAAATGTTCCTAACTTTCCAAGTTGGAACAAGATTTATTTCACATAAAAAACCTTTCTAGTCTGGGTCTGGTAGCTCACGCCTATTATCCCAACACTTTGGGAGGCTGAGGTGGAAGGATTGCTTGAAGCTCAGGACTTTGAGACTAGCCTGGGCAACATGACGAGACCCCATCTCTGCAAAAAAAAATTTCAGAAAATTCACTGGGCACAGCAGTGCGCGCCTGTGGTCCCAGCTGTGCAGCAGGCTGAGCTGGGAGGATCATTTGAGCCCAGGAGCGTGCAGTGAGCCATGTTTGCAACACTGCTCCAGCCTGGGCAACACAGCAAGACCCTGTCTCGAAAAAAACCTTGGCATGGCGTGGTGGCTCAGCCTGTAACCCAGCACTTTGGGAGGCCGAGGCGGGTGAATCACTTGAGGCCAGGAGTTGAAGACTAGCCTGACTAACACAGCAAAACCCCGTCTCTATTAAGAATACAAAATATTAGCCAAGCTTGGTGGTGTATGCTTGTAATCCCAGCTACTCCAGAGGCTGAGGCAGGAGACTCCCTTGAACCCAGGAGGTCAAGGTTGCGGTGAGATGGTGGCACTGCACTCCAGCCTGGGCGACAGAGCCAGACCGTCTCAAAACAAAAAAAAACAAAAAAAACTCCTTAATAATAGTGGTTACTTGGAAAAAAATGTGCTCTAACGTGTTTCAAGTATATTACAGGACTGATAAGTGTTTTTGTCCTGTCTGCCTAAGGCTGCGACTGCCTCTGATCTTATTTCCGTTATAAGAATATTCCTTATTCCAAAGCAGCTTCTGAATCATAGCTTCTTAATAAGTTGACATTACCTGTATTTATGAATTGGAGGACAGTCAGTGAGTTACTACTGAACATGTTCATAGCTTTGATTACTTTTGATGACTCATCCACACTCCTATAACAGTCTTAGAGAAAAACTATGTTTTTGAGAGTCTATCATTCATCTGTTTTTTGTTTTATTTAGAGATAGGATCTTCCTCTGTTCCCCAGGTGGAAGTGCAGTAGCACAATCATAGCTCTCTGTAGCCTCAAACCCCTGGGCTCAAGGGATCCTCCTTACTCAACCTCCCTAGTAGCTAGGATTACTGGGATGTACGAACCTAAGTTTCTTATTTTTTGTTGAGGTGGGATCTTGCTATGTTGCCCAGGCTGGCTCAAACTCCTGGCCTCAAGCAATCCTGCCTCAGCTTCCTAAAGCACTGGGAATACAGGCAGGAGCCACTGTACCCAGCCCTCATGTCTATTTTTAAGTGAACCAACCCATATTCCTTTGGGGACATATTCTTAAGTTACAGTATATTGCCGGAAAACCTGTCCCATAGAAAAGCATACATTTTATGTGACCAAAAGAAGCAAGTTCATTCAAATTAGATGTGGAGTCTTAGTTGTGCAGGCAGTGAGAGACCTTTTGTGAGGTCAGGGAGTGGATACTTGTGGAATGCTATTCTTTGAAGGTCCCCACTGGCTTTTTATCTGTCTTCATTCTCTATAGCATTTGATAATCATTTCCTTAACAAACACCTGTGTGTCTAATATGTATCAAACACTGATAAGCCCTGGAGATATAAAACTGAGCAAGACAAAGTAATCACCTTCAAATATTACATAGGAGACCAGCAGTTATAATACAAAGTGAAAATAATTCTTTATCATTATTACTATTGAGACAGGGTCTCACGCTGTTGCCCAGGCTGCAGTGTAGTGGTGTGATCACAGCTCACTGCAGCCTCTACCTCCCAGGCCCAAGCGGTCCTCTCACTGTAGCCTCCCAAGCAGCTGGGACCACAGGGATGCACCAACACACCTGGCTAATTTTTGTATTTTTTGTAGAGACAGGGTTTCACCATGTTGCCCAGGCTGGTCTTAAACTTGTGGGCTCAAGCAATCCACCTGCCTTGGTCTCCCAAAGTGTTGGGATTATGGGTGTGGGCCACTATGCCAGGCCAAAAAGAATTTTTTTTTTTTTTTTTTGAGACATGGTCTCACTCTGTCACCCAGGCTGGAGTGCAGTGGCATGATCTCAGCTCACTGCAACCTCTGCCTCCCAGGTTCAAGTGATTCTCATGCCTCAGCCTCCCGAGTAGCTGGGATTACAGGCACATGCCACCACGCCCAGCCAATTTTTTCGGTATTTTTTGGTAGAGATGTAGTTTCACCATATTGGTCAGGCTGGTCTTGAACTCCTGACCTCGAGTGATCTGCCCGCCTCAGCCTCCCAAAGTGCTAGGATTACAGGCATGAGCCACTGCTCCCAGCAAGAATTCTTAAGAGGTGTGAGTTGAGAAAGTGCACTTTTAATTTGGCTTAATCATGTCCTACCCGAAACTGTGACTTAAGCTTCTGGTTCAAATTTCTTTAGGAGTATTCCATCAGTAACTCTTCTGCCTCCTTCTCTCAGGTTTAGTTTTTAACCCTGTTTACTTTTCCTCAGGCTTCATTCCCTGTTGTGCCAGCTAAGAAGTTCAGGAAATACTTGAGTACTTAGTAGGTAGGAAGCGTGGGCTAGGCACAGATAATGCACTGAATTACCTTCTGTCTAACTTCAAAATTGCCAGATCCACATGGAAGGGAACTGGAGTCGTGTCACAATGAGTTGGGCTCCATCATGATAACTGGCCCCCCATCTTTGGAGGTGTATCAGGCAGGAATACAGAGAATTCATGCGTTAAGCATAAGTTTCTAAGATTTAAAGCTGCCTACAGAATTTTTTTTTTTTTTTTGAGATGGAGTCTCTGTCACCCAGGCTGGAGTGCAGTGGCGTGATCTCAGCTCACTGCAACCTCCACCTCCCGGGTTCAAGCTATTCTCATGCCTCAGCCTCGTGAGTAGCTGGGACTACAGGCCTGCACCACCATGCCCGGCTAATTTTTATATTTTTGGTAGCGACGGAGTTTCACCATGTTGGCCAGGCTGGTCTCGAACTCCTGACCTTTGGTGATATGCCCACCTTGGCCTCCCAAAGTGCTGGGATTACAGGTGTGAGCCACTGCACCCGACCTGTCTACAGAACATTTTTATTTGGAAGTGGCACAATTTCTTCAACATAAAAAATACATTATCGGCTGGAATATCACCTGTGTTCTTGCAGCTCCAGAGGATAACACCCCTCCTATGTTCCTCAAATATTTCAGGAAGCCCCTGGCCCTGTAGTCTCACCCTCCATACACTTATAGCCCTTAATTCAACCAAGTTTTGGGCACCAGTTTCTGCTGGGCTGCAGTGCAACACTCACTGCCATTTACAGCCTCGATTGCTTTTTACGTTTTCAACTAAATGGATTCCACTGAGGGCTCCTGGGGCCAGGGCCGGGTCTTCTCCCGCTTCAATACATAGATAATGAGTTAGTATTTTCCCTTTTCAGAGACTGGCCCTAGAGCCTGGCTCAAACTGAATAGACCAGAACTTACTGGTCCAGATCTGACCCGCTGCGCAATCACAGGGTAGGTGAGGGAGGCCCGGTTAAAAGCTATAATCCTGTTTGGAAACGTTCTCCGTGGGTCTGTCAGTGTCTCGGGCTCGGCGCCCGCGGAGCGTGTTTCCGACGGTGCCCTGCCGGGGTCCGCGCCGCTTTGGTCCTCCGCAGCCGCCGTCCACAGCGCCCGGCTCCGCGCGAGAGCCCTGCCAGAGGAGCGGCTCCGGCCGCCGCGCCTGACCCTTGTCCGGGGTCTTCCGCACAGGTTGGTTCGCCCCGCCGGTCTGGGGTCCCTGGTAGCAGAGATTGCGCTGGGGACCCGGAGCACTGCTCCTTTCTCGGCAGAGCGCGGAGGGGAGCCCGCTTGCTGCGGAGCCCCCGGCCCGCGCCTGCCCTGCCCGCGGGTCCGGGCCTCGGGGGCCTCCACTACGTCTACCCTTGAATTGGATCCGGCTCTACTGTCCCTGCCGCACGGGAACCCCCAGCCGGATGAGGGTCTCCCTGTTCACTGCTGCCTTGCGCCTTCCCATCCGCCTTGGTCCTGACCTGGCCCAGCCGAGGCCGTCCGGTGTCGCTGCGTTTGGGCTGGGCGGGAAGGTCTGTCATTGCTGACCCTGGCGCGCCGCGCTTCGGCGACAGCGGGAAAGAGGCTGTGCTGACCGTCCTCCCTAGGGACTGGACTGCCAAGGGTAGCTGGTGCCCTCCTGCACGGCAGGTCTGTCGAGCATTTCATTGGTCATCTCCCCCTCACGCCCCCATGGCCAATCTGACCCCAGCGGGGGCCCTTTTTTTGTGAATAGATGCCTCTTAACAATGTGAATTAAGAGCCCATTTTCCCAGTTCCTAGACTGTCAGCGATTAAAACACTTTCTAGGGTTTACTTGCGACTAGTACAGTGGTTAGAAATACGGGCTCTTGATGCTGATGGGGGTTCACATCCCGGCCTAGCCAGTTGTCATCTCTAGAAAATGGGGATAATCATAGTACTTACCTGATAAGACCACTGAGAGAATTAACTGAGATATGCACATCAAATGCACAGCTGCTTATCGCAGCTCCTATTTTTGTTGTTAGGGAATCTTTTCCCAGAAACATTAAAATGGCTGTGACCAGCAGGTGGCACTGGTGACTGTATAGTAGAGTGTTGAGCTGGTCACAGAATACGTGATAGTAGCCACAAGTGTTTAAAGGTGCTTTGGAAATCTTGGCTTAATGGGCAGGCTTAAACTTTCTTCACGCTAGAAAGTACCTTAGAGATTAAGTAATACTATCTCCTGTTTTTGTAGGTGAGACTGATCTGACTATAGCTTACTCAAGCAGGTCACAGTAGGTCCCAAGCTTTCTCCTCAAGTTCAGTGTAATTTTTAAAAATCATTTCTACCTGTTTGCTAGCCTGTTGGGATGGGACCTTGAATATACATTGGAATTAGATCAGAAACCACAGAGTTAAAATGGATGTCCACATTCGAGCTTTTACCATATGCCAGACATTCGTTTGGAAACTAGTTACAACATGGTGAACAAAAGCCGACACAGTGTCAGCTCTCATGGAGCTTGCATATTAGTGGAAGAGACTGACAATGTCAATATAAATAAATATGTAATTATAAATTACTAGGAAGAAAAAAACTGAGGCTTTTTGTGATTGGGTAGTTCACTTATTTGGGGAAGTAAGCTGAGCCCAGAAAGATATAAGGAGCCAGTCATGTCGAAAGTGAAGGGAAGAGCATTCAAAGTATAGGGAACAGCATTTGTAAAGGCTCTAAGGAAGGAAAATGTCAGGAAATTAAAGGCTAGTGTGGCTGAAGCACAATGAATGAGAAAAGTATTAAAAGATGAAGTTGAAGTGGTAGGCTGGAGCCTTTGGGCAGGGCTCAAAGAAGTTTGAATTTTATTCTGTGTGTGATAGAAATCATTGAAAGATTTTAAGCATGGAATGCCAAAATCATTTTTTATTTTAGAAGTTCACTCCTGCTGCTGTGTAAAGAACGAATTGGGTAATGGCTTGAGTAGAAAGGGGATAGCTAGTTGGGAGGTTGTTGGAGTACTCCAGGTGAGAGATGATACAATCAAAAAGGCTGTTGGCAGCGAAAATAGAGAAAAGTAGACAGATTGAGATATATTTTGGAGGTTAAATCAAGGAGACTAAATGATGGATTAGAAGAGAATGAGGGAGAAGGAGGGATCAAGAGGGATTTTCAGGCTTCTGGGTTGAGCAATTGGGTGGATAGTGGAACCATTTACCAAGATGAAAAAAACTGGAGGAAGAACAGAAGAGATTGTGACTTTGCTCCTTTCTGAAAAAAACAAATAAAAAAAGACCATAAAAGATGGTAGAATAGAGAACTCCATTTTAGACAGACTAAAATGGGAGTTCCCTCCCCCATTAAGTATCTACTATATCCAAGTGAAATATTTGATTGGAAATTGCGTATAAGCAGCTGATCACTTGAGGTCAGGAGTTCGAGACCAGCCTGGCCAACACGGTAAAACTACGTCTCTACTAAAAATACAAAAATTAGCCAGGCATGGTGGCACATGCCTGTTATCCCAGCCACTCGGGAGGCTGAGGCAGGAGAATCACTTGAACCCAGGAGGCAGGGGTTGCAGTGAGCTGAGATCGTGTCACTGCACTCCAGCCTGGGTGACAGAGCAAGACTTGGTCTAAAAAACGAAAAGAAATTGCATATAAGAACTTGGAGCTTAGAGGAGAGATTTGTGATGGTGATATAAATTTGGGGATCATCAGCATATGGGTGCTATTTAAAGCCAAGGAAATGGACAAACATCACTGAGAGATTGTCTGGTTTGATGGTTATCACCACTGGACCTGTGGTAGCCATTGTGGTTGAGTATCATTTGAGGTTTAAAGCATTACATTTCAGTAATTGGGTGAATGAACTATCTTTAGATCTGCAGATGGTCATGTATTTGTCACTCTGTGTTGCCCTGAAATGCCCTATCTTGTGATGGAGAAAGACAAACAAGAACTCTTGTCCGCAGATGCTCCCTGGATCTGGCTGTTAAGTTTGCTGGTTTCTATTTTCAGTGGGCTGAGGGCCATGTCAGTTTTCTGCCACCTACAGGATAGACCATGAAGCTGAAGGAACTTGAGCGGCCAGCTGTCCAGGCATGGAGCCCAGCCAGCCAATACCCTTTGTATCTGGCCACAGGTATGGTGACACTGTGAATTAGGATCCACTGGGAGTACATAAGTTGAGGGGAAACTTAGTATCTAGAATTATTTATTGAACATCAGAGAAAGCTCTCAGATCATAGAAAGATAGGGTGGCTCACAGCATAAGCAAGGAGATATTAGGTGTTTTGGGTACCTGAGGGCTGCCTAGGACTATGGCTCAAGGTTAGGTACGTCTTTTTTTTTTTTTTTTTTTTTTTTTGAGACAGAGTCTCACTCTGTCGCTCAGGCTGGAGTGCAGTGGCGCGATCTTGGCTCACTGCAAGCTCCGCCTCCTGGGTTCATGCCATTCTCCTGCCTCAGCCTCCTGAGTAGCTGGGACTACAGGTACCCACCACCACATCTGGCTAATTTTTTTTGTAGTTTTAGTAGAGACAGGGTTTCACCATGTTAGCCAGGATGGTCTCGATCTCCTGACCTTGTGATCTGCCCACCTCGGCGTCCCAAAATGTTGGGATTACAGGCGTGAGCCACCGCGCCCAGCCAACGTTTTCTTGCTTTTGTGGAGTTACCTTTGAGAAAGGGTATACCCAGCCCTCTTCTGTTCCTTCTCTTCTTCACTCCTTAACCTTCTTATACCTGAAATCCATGCATATATTGTTGCTCATATGCTGCCTTTTCTTGTGCCTAGGAACATCTGCCCAACAGCTAGATTCCTCCTTCAGCACAAATGGCACATTGGAAATATTTGAGGTTGATTTCAGGGACCCTTCTCTGGACTTGAAACACAGAGGAGTCCTTTCTGCCTTGAGCAGGTATTGTCTGATCTATTGATGGGTATACAGGGTAGATACTGACGTGGAATCCTGGGAGCAGTGTGTGTTTCTTAGGGCTCATGAGGAGCCAAGTGAGGGAAGAAGGAGCTTTGCCAAGTTGGAGAAAAGTTAATTCTGGGCTTATTTTGCAAAAGGATTTAAAAAACAACCACCCCCCCCCTTTCCAGTCAGCAGCAATAGCAGTGTCAGGCTGAATGCATGTGATAGAGATGCCTCAGACAAGCCTGGACCCACGTGTACCTGGTCTGTCTTTGAACCCAGAGATATTGGCTCCTTCCTCCCTTGGCTCTTGTGAAGATAAACACCTTACACAATATCACCCTCTCTGCCAACAAGGAAGAGAACGAATGATCCTCTCCTTATTGCTTTTAGACACTGATTGGTTCTCATGGATTTCATGGCTCTTGCAGGCTTCCAGCGCTAGATACTATCATTCATTGAGCACATGTATACATGCCAGACACTGTGCTAGGGGCTCTGTACATTTTATTTATTCCTCATAATAAACCTAAGTGATAAGTACCATATTTCCATTTTACATAGGAGGGAACTGAAACTCTGAGAAGCTAGGATTTAAGTCAAGGCCTATCTGTGTCCAAAGCCTACCTTCTTTCCATCATTCTGCCCTTCTTCTAAAGGTCTTGTAAAGTTGAGGCTTACAATCTGAAGCAATGGTCTCCAAATGTTTATATCATCAGAAAAAATGTGAATATTCATTATACTCAAGTTATATATTCAATATAAATGTATACATGTACTACTATACCGTTTTTGTTTTTGTTTGGAACAGGGTCTTACTCTGTCGCCCAGGCTGGATTGCAGTGGCACGATCACGGCTCACTGCAACCTCCACCTCCTGGGCTCAAGCAATCCTCCCGCCTCAGCCCCCTGAGTAGCTGGGACTGCAGGCATATGCCACCACACCGAGCTAATTTTTTATATTTTTAGAAGAGATGGGGTTTTGCCATGTTGCCCAGGCTGGTCTTGAACTCCTGAGCTCAAGCGATCAGCCCCCTTGGCCTCCCAAAGTGCTGGGACTATAGGTGTGAGCCACTGAGCCAGCTGGCTCTACTATTTTTTTTTTTTTTTTTTTTGAGATGGAGTCTCACTCTCTCGCCCAGTCTGGAGTGCAGTGGGGTGATCTCAGATCACTGCAACCTCTGTTTCCCAGGTTCAAGGGATTCTCCTGCCTCAGCCGCCCGAGTAGCTGGGACTACAGGTGCGCGCCACCACACCTGGCTAATTTTTTTGTTATACTACTAATAAAGTGTAATTTCTGTTAATTTTTTTTATATTAGAGGTTACTGGTCTAGAAGGCAACATTCCTTCTGATGATTGATGAACTCCTTGTGCATTTCTTGGTCCCTCTAAGAGATTAGTTAAAATATTGAGGTGGAAGTACCCTCTTTCTTTTCATAGTTTAACTTCATAATGAAAAGTTAGTTGTCGTTTTCCCTTTCTTGAGCTCCTGCATCACTTTATGAGAGCATCTCTTATTTTGCAGGTTTTTTTTTTTTTACATCTCTTTGTATTTCCAGTACCTGTATCCTTTGAAGAGCAGGCACTTGAGGATTTACTGATGATGATTAGATACTCTTAGCCCCTAACCAAACATTTCAGAAGGGTCCCCTCAAAGGGGTGAGCTAATTCAAGATGTTTATATGCTAGAGCTTAAAAAAGGGGTTCAACCTGAGAAAGCTAATAGGAAAAGAAAAAAGGGTGAGGGGGCACTAGTTCTAATCCTCAGCAAGCAAAGCAACAGCTTCAGCGTAGTAGTGGCTCCTTAGGGCTAAGGGTTCTTAAGAAAGAGGCAGTATAATCTTATAAACTGAATTTTGAGATCCATGTGGGCAGAGATTTTAATGGCTTTTTGTTTTGTTTTGTTTTCTGGAGACAGAATCTCACTCTGTCACCCAGGCTGGAGTGTGGTGGCTCGATCTTGGCTCACTGCAACCTCCACCTCCTGCATTCAAGCAGTTCTCCTGCCTCAGCCTCCCGAGTAGCTGGGATTACAGGGGTGCGCCACCATGCCCAGCTAATTTTTGTATTATTAGTCAAGATGGGGTTTCACCATGTTGGCCAGGCTGGTCTCGAACTCCTGACCTCAGGTGATCCAACCACCTCGGCCTCCCAAAGTGCTGGGATTATAGGCGTGAGCTACTGTACCCGGCCGAGATTTTAATGTTTTACTCATTGCTGTATCTCCAGGCACTTAGAGCAGTGCCTGGCATTATATTTAATAAATATTTGTATTTAATAAATATTTGTTATATGAATGAGTGATATTAGAAACTTTTAGGTTACCAGCCAGGTGCGGTGGCTCATGCTTGTAATCCCAGCACTTTGGGAGGCTGAGACGGGTGGATCGCTTGAGGCCAGGAGTTCAAGACCAGCCTGGCCAACATAGTGAAACCCCGTCTCTACTAAAAATGCAAAAATTAGCTGGGCGTGGTGGCACACACCTGTAATCCCAGCTACTCGGGAGGCTGAGGCACCAGAATCGCTTGCACGTGGGAGGCGGAGGTTGCAGTGAGCCAACAAGATGGTACCACTGCACTCCAGCCTGGGTGACAGAGCAAGACCCTGCCTAAAAAAAAGAAAAAGAAGAAGAAACTTCTGGGTTACCAAACAGCATTCAAATCCAGCACTTCAGTTACAGTTAGTCTTAGTGTCTTAAGGGTTTTTCAAGCTGTTAGTTTGAATTTGGGAGTCATGAACTTTACCTCATACTCCTGCTCCACTCTGTAGGGATTTGGGGCCAGTAATCAGAATAAATAGCACAGTTAACCCTACTGATAAGTATTTTATCTCTGCTTTCTTTTCCCACCTCTGTAACTGTGTTGGAAGATTAAATCACATTCCCAAAGACCTCAATCCCAAAGGGATTACCTTTGACACAGCCCTGTTGGGGCCTTTCTGAAGAAATCATCTTAGACACCCAGGGTCTAAGACACCCACTTCATTCTGTTCCAGTCTAGGTTAGGTCACATGCTCAACAGTCAGTATCATAAACTATTGACCTAGATGATTAGGGAAGATAGAGGGACACTCGTCCTTTGCTTTCTGTCTTCCTCTCTCTTTTTTTCTGTGTCTTCTGCATGCTGTGGCATAAGGCACAGTTGTGTGGGGCAGTAGCATTGGCCATAATACTAATAGAGCTGTGTGACTTGGGCAAATCAAGTCAGTTATCTTAGGTTCCCTCACTTATGTATAAAGAAGAGATTGTACCAGATAACTTCTAAGAAACTAGCTGAGATCTGAATTCAGGTTTCATGTTCAGTCTCTTATTCCCTTTTATTTTCTAGTAGTCTTCCTCATTTTTCCATTTTTAAACCTCTTCCTATATCTCTTTTTTATCAACTAAACATGCACCTTTCAAAATCTTCCCCATTCTCTGCCTGCTCTTTTCTCCAAACCCATGCCTCAACCAAATTTGGATCCTGAAGATCCCCTTATCCTCAATCTTTGATGCATCAGAGAAATATTATCTACCTAGAAATATTTGACTGAAAGAAAAATGTTCTGAAACACCAGTATGGGTATAGATAAGGGACAGCCTCAAGCTATAAATAGACTGAAGAGAGTGCATGGATAAATGCCTCTGGATGCAGTCAGAATCAATATGGATTAACATGTGCAGTGAAGCAAACAGTGTTGGGTTTGTTAGATGAATTTCACTCAAAAAGAAAGGTTTCTGGGAGAATATCACACTGTTTATATCATCGACTGAGGACATAGCTGCTGTGGGTAAATGAGGTGAGAGATCAATGTGTGGTCTGCTGTACCTTACCCTCTCTATACACTGAGTTTCTAGCTCTCTGGAGTGGCCCCCATAACCTCTGGAAGAACCATCCTCAAGTAACATGGAGAAAGTAGAGGATCTGTCTTCTGTCATTCTACCTTTATCTCAATTCTAGTTACTTGGGGAGCACTGTGTCCTCTCTTTGGGGGCCTTCTGTAAGGGACAACATCAAGCAGAAAAAAATCATTTGTGTACTTCTCTCAGTTTTCCTGTTCTCAAGACTTGCCTTCTTTCTAGAGGCATTAAGATAATAGAGCATGGGTTAGTTGTTGGATAGACCTGAGTTTATATCCCAGCTCTGCTACTTGCTGTCCTCTTGGACACTTTAACTTCTCTGAACCTTTTTTTCCCACTGTAAATTGAGGATTCATAGTAGATGCGTAGGCATTCAGAAAAGTAGCTTTCCTCTCAAACAACCAATGCTCCATTCATTCTCCAGCTTGGAGTACTGCCTTAATCACTCTGTTTGACTTCTAGGGAGGCTTGAGTTTCCCAAGTTATTTTGGCTTGAATGTGGACAAACTCTTTTCACTTTAGTTCACTAACATGAAGCTAGGATTTTTTTTGAAAAGAATCTTACTAAGAAAATGAAATAATCCAAACCAAAGGAATGAATAAATCATGGAAACAATTTATACAGCAGATATTTCTTTCTTTTTTAAAAAAATAGACATAGGGTCTCACTTTATTGACCAGGCTGGCTTCCATCTCCTGGGCACAAGTGATCCTCCTGCCCCAGCCTCCTGAGTAGCTGGGATTATAGGTGTGAGCCACTGTGCCCAGCTAGACCACCCTTTTTGTTTTTCAACTTCTTATTTTTTAAAAATCCAAACTTACAGGAAAGTTGCAGAATAGTACGCACCCACCCATCTCTTGTTCCCGTTTTCATTTGCAGAGTAGAGATGGGAACACTCCCTGAGCACCCTGAACCATCAAGTCTCCTTCCTCACTTAACTCCACCTAGGTGTTAAGCCCATTCGCCCAGGTTTGCTCTCTATCACAACCTATTCAGGCGCCAGCTTTACCCTTGCTAGTGATGTGGTTAACCACAGAAATGTGCTTTCTATATGCATACAGAAAGAAAATCATTTTGTCACACCCTGTATGTGGCAAACTGAAGTAACTGCCACTCTGAAGTAACTGCCCTCTTTTCCAGCCCTTTGGTGACTCCCCCTTGAGGTCTCAGGTACCTTTTACTGTGCTCTGTATGTCATGTGTTCCGACCATGCTGAGGTCGCTGCACCCTCTGCATCTTCATGTGGGTTTTTCACTGCACATACCCTCCGCTGGTTCCTGTGTGACCTACTGTGGGCTTCTCTAGCTACTCAGTTGACATGCCCTCTACCCCTGCTGAGCTCCAGTCCCTGGATGACATGGCAGCCTCTTCAGCCTGTATGGAAAAACATCCTTCTGCTGTATTAAGATCATTGCAACCTTAGAAAACAGCCTTTCTGGCAGTAGCCTCTTAGCTAGCATTGTGTTGGCTCTGCTGTTTTGCTTCAGATGCTGACCTGGTCTGAGCTGGTTCTCCATACTTTGCTTCTGACCAGTTGGCTCTGCTCCAGTGACTGGCCTAACAAGTTCCTGCCTATCACCTACTCAGTTGCTTTGCTGACTGTTCGCAGGGAATATTTCTTTGCAGTTGGAGATCTTGTAACCTCATTTGGCGTGATATCTGGCTTCTCCAAAGGGCTGTGGAAATGTCCTTGGCTAGCAGCTATGAAGTGAGAGACAGACCACCTATGAGGCTTCAGGGATTTCACATGTCTTCCGTAGGGGCTTTGCAGAGGACCCAAACTTGTCTAGAAGGGATCCAGGGATCCAAAGGGATCTTTTTCTCTGGGGCAAGACATTGGCATTATCTTGTTAGAAGCATCCTCAGAAATCCAGAAAAGTATTTCCTGAGTGGGAGTGTATCCTTTCATGCCTCTGTCTCCAGGTCTGGCCCTTTGCAGCCACATGGCCACTCCAGTGGGCCAGCCACATGGGAGAGGCATGGGGTGGGGAGGCCATTGGGTCTTTTCTCATTTCCAGTTTGAGAGTGAATTGTTGGTCTAGGGAGCCTGCTTCTAATAGTTACAGAAGAGTTTGAATCTTTCTCTCAATAGGAGACAGTATTTTATGATGTTAAGAGCTCAGGCTCTGGAATAAGATGGGCCTGACTTTGAACCTTGACCCTGCTACTTCCTAGCATTTATCCTAAAATGGGGATAAAATTACTACCTCTGTGTATAGAAATTTTATAACTTCTTTGTGCCTCAGTTTTCTCAATTGAAAATGGAAATAATAGTAATACTTCATGAGGTTGTTAAATGTTCAGACAGCTAATACACCTAGAGCACTTAAAACAGTGTCTGATACATAGCAAGTATTCAGTCAGTGTAAGTGGTTGCTATTATTACCTGACTATTTGAGTTGTGAGGATTATGTGAAGTAATCTATTTGAAGTATATATCACCAGCCTATATAACCCCAATGTTAACTTAAAAATGTACATATATATGTATATATATACACCTCCACACAACTCAGAGGCAGTGGCTTCCTGGCTTCTGGTGTAACGTAGATGAAACATTTTTTCAGAGAAAGGGCAGGACTGGGCGGAGGATACATCCCTTCTGTCTGGGAAATGAAGGAGACAGGCAAGTTCCAGCTAGGGGTGGGGCTGCCTGCATAATGGCAGAAGCTGACAGAGATGCCCATCCTGTGCTTACTGACATGAACCTAAGTTTGTACTGATGCCAGTTCCTCCTCTTTATAGGTTTCACAAGCTGGTCTGGGGGAGCTTTGGCAGTGGGCTTCTGGAAAGCTCCGGGGTTATTGTTGGCGGCGGGGACAATGGCATGCTTATTCTATACAATGTGACCCACATCCTGTCTTCGGGGAAGGAGCCTGTGATTGCTCAGAAACAGAAGCACACGGGGGCTGTCAGAGCCCTCGACTTGAATCCTTTCCAGGTACTACATTTCAGTTAGTCAAACATGGCCAAGCCAGGGAGCAACAGATCTGAGTGGAAGCATTCATTTGTGGCCTCCAGTCTGTAACTCTGACCCCTTTCCAGGCTGTTTCAGGGGAGGCTTTTGATAGCCCCAAATTTGGGCTTCTTTCCTCCTTTCTTGCTCTGTTTCTTCCTAGGGTGGTATGTCTCCAAACACTTTTTATTCATACAGGGCAACCTCCTGGCTTCAGGGGCCAGCGATTCTGAAATCTTCATTTGGGATCTGAATAACTTGAATGTGCCAATGACCCTGGGATCCAAGTCACAGGTGAGCAGCACCCCCACTACCCAACCCTGGAGTGTGCAGCTGATTCTCCTAAGTAAAAGTCTTGAGTTCTGGAGCCAATCAGAGCTCAAGAGATATCAAACTTTACCACTGGAGGGCAATAAAGCTCCACAGACTAACATGCTACCAGCCAGATAAGAGTTAGGATGGCTGGTGGGTGGAGGGTGTATATGGGGTAGTTGGTTTGTGCTCATTACTCGTTCTAAGAGTTTCTGGGAGGCAGATGAAAGTTGGGGAGAGCAAAAGACACCACAAGAAGGGATGGGAGTGCTGTTTATCACAGTAGAGCTTTCGCAGGGTTGGGTAGGGCATTGGGCCCAGCAAAGAGGGAGGAAGAGTAGGACCCCAGACATACCATTGTCCTTTTTATGGAGGGGGGGGTCAGCTTTGTTCTCCCTGTATGTGGCTCTGCCATGCAGTTGGGGGTCTGGTCTTCTGTCTTGGAGAGGCTGTCTGTCAATCTGTAACTGGGCCCATCTTTTTGCTTCCTGGCCTTTTCTCTTTCTTCTGTGCTTACAGTATCATGAGGTAAGTTAAGTTTCAATTTGATAGCATCTTGTGGTTTTTCTCTCGGCCTCACTCTCTCTTGGGGTCTTGGGTATCTGTTTTCCTCCCTCCCTCATCTTCCTCCTTCTCTCCCTCTTTTTTTGTCCTAGACAAGAGGGCTGTTTTTTAAAATCTTGACTCTATCCTCTTAGTAAAACCTTGGGTAGGAGTAAAACTTAGATGTGCCTGCCATCCCCTCTGCTTCTACACTGATACCCTAAAGGATCCTCCCTGGAAAATTCAACTCCCAGCTTCGCAACACTGTCTTAGTTTGGGTAGCCCCATGTCTATTCTTGGACTTGCTGTGGGTGGCTGGGAGCAGTGGAACAGCAGATGTCACTTTGTCCAGGGGGTGACAAGTTGTCATCTTTCTGTCCCCATCCTGCCTTAGCAGCCTCCAGAGGACATCAAGGCACTGTCTTGGAACCGGCAAGCCCAACACATTCTGTCTTCTGCTCACCCCAGTGGCAAGGCAGTTGTGTGGGATCTCAGGAAGAATGAACCTATCATCAAAGTCAGTGATCACAGCAACAGGGTGAGTATTGGAGGCCAGAACACAGGCTTGGGCTCTGGCTTCTCTCTCCTGCCTAGCAGTTAGAGCTGCTCTGCCCCAGGCCAGAGTCCTGCTTTCAGCTGTCGGACATGTGGAGTCAGCCGCTTAGCACATTTCCTATTGAGAGTGAAAACTTAGGGAAGCTAAACAGAGCTGATCTGGAAGCTTCTGCCATTCCTTACTTATTCCTGGCCATCACTCTCTGATGCCTGTGGTGTTCCCAGTCACAAAAGAGACAGAAAACTTGCTCTCAGAGTGGTCCCATTTCAACTGGGCAAAAGAGTCAGGTTACAGCACCCATTGGGATCTGCTTTGTTCACAGATGCACTGCTCAGGCCTGGCCTGGCATCCTGACATAGCCACCCAGTTAGTGCTGTGCTCAGAGGATGATCGACTTCCCGTGATTCAGCTGTGGGACTTGCGCTTTGCCTCCTCGCCCTTGAAGGTGCTGGAGAGCCACAGCAGGTAGCATCTCAGACGTCATCCATATCCTTGGGGGGATGGTGGATATAACTGGGCTGGGTAGGAGGCAATGTATCCCTCACTTTAGCTACTAAACATCCTCCCTGGCTTTAAAGCCATTCCGGTCAACATATAGTCACCCAATACCTACTCCAGCCTTAACCAAGAGGAGGCCCTTAGACCCTGAGGTTATGGAGAGGAGGCTGAGATTCCATCTAAATTCCAGAGATGGGAATGGAATGGGGTAATGAGAAATACTGGAACCAGTGTTTAGCCTCCAGGCTCTGATATGAGGATAATGTTCATTTCTTTAGGTGATGAGCTTGCCTCCTCCAGGATTTCTTCATAAAAACAACTTGACTCCTGTCTATCCTGTGGAGGCCTCTATCCAGCCTCCACAATCTCTTCTTTCTAACCAAAGGGCCATGGTGCCTTTGTATCTCCTTGGGTACCTTTATTTTTTTAGACCAGTTCTTGCTCTGTCACCCAGGCTGGAGTGCAGTAGCGTGATCAAGGCTCACTGTGACCTCGATCTCCTGGGCTCAAGTGATCCTCCCCGCTCGGCCTTGCACAGTGTTGGGATTACAAGCATGAGCCACTGTGCCTGGCCTCCTTGGGGACTTTAGATGGTTAGGTCTTTACTACCTCCTGGGCTAAAAGCACCCATAGTGATGAGTGTTTGTGTGATTCATACTGATTCATAATCTCTACTGTCTAATCAGTGAAAAGAAGCAGGTCATCCTGCAGTGATCTAAGAGAGGCAGAGTGGTACATTGCATAGTGCACAGGCTCTGAGGTTTGGTTTGGGTTCTGACTCTGCAACTGTTGGAAAGTTACTTAATTTTTCAAAACCTCATTTTATTCATTTGTAAGATAATATCAGACCATGCATTTTATAGGGCATGGATGGTCTGATATGCCCTATAAAATGTATAAAAGACATATAAGGCACCCTACTCATAGTAGGCATTCAACAAATGCTAGTTCCTCTTCCCTTCTCTTTTTAGGGGGATCTTGTCAGTGTCATGGAGCCAGGCTGATGCTGAGCTGCTGCTCACTAGTGCTAAGGACAGCCAGATCTTGTGCCGGAACCTGGGGAGCAGTGAGGTAGGCTGGCCCTTCTGTGGGCATGCTGGGATGGGAGAGAGAGGGTAGAAGAATCTCAGCTGCAGCCATGTGTTTTGGGTTTCATGGACTGTCCCTAATGGTGTGTTCCCTCATATTAGGTGGTATATAAGCTACCAACACAGAGCAGCTGGTGCTTTGATGTGCAGTGGTGCCCTCGGGACCCTTCAGTGTTCTCTGCTGCCTCCTTCAACGGCTGGATCAGTTTGTACTCTGTGATGGGTAGGAGCTGGGAAGTCCAGCATATGAGACAGGCTGACAAGGTTTGAAGGGCTTGGTAGAGAATGCTGGAGGGAAGGGGCTGTCTCTGTTTGTGGGAGAGAGACATATGGCTTGAGAAGCGGAGATATTGGAGATTGGGAGACCAGGGCCCGGGGTTTGGGAGGGCTGCACCTTTGCCCTAGTGCCCATCTTCCTGAAAGGATGTTAGTTTCTGCCACAATGTGAAGAAGGCCTTCACCTTGACTCTTGTTATTGGATGGGCCCTGTAGTATTTCAGGGACCGTGGGACCCCTTTGCTGGGACAGTTATTTCAAGAGTATGACTCTTATCTTTCTCTCTTCTATAGATCCATTTTGTGCCACACTCCATTGTAGACTTTGAATGTAGTAGTCTTTCCAAGAGCCTACTTGCATGGGAGTCCCACCCTCGCTACCACTCACTTCCCCATCCCCTGGAATATGGGAGTCTGACCTTTCTAGGTCAAATTGGGTGTCTCAAGGATTCCTCCCAAAATGGAGTTTGTAGGTGGAGTTCCTGACTAAACTGCCACTTTAGGATGGCGATGCAGGTGTCTTTTCCCCCCAGATCTCCTCTTCCTTCAGCAAAGGCCAGCCTCTCCCACCACTGCAGGTGCCAGAGCAAGTGGCACAAGCACCACTGATACCTCCCCTGAAAAAACCCCCCAAATGGATTAGAAGACCAACAGGTGTTTCATTTGCTGTAAGTGTAGTGGATGTATAGGTGTGTGTGTGTTTGTGTGTGTGTGTGTGTGTGTGTGTGTTTGTGAAGCCTACCATGTGCCCAGCATGGAGCTAAGTTTTGTAGCAGACGTATTCCCACTGCCTCTGTCTCAGAATGGATCCCACTTTACCTCTCAAGGAGAGAGTTACTATAGCTTCCTTCTCTTCACTTCACCCATTCTATATCTTCTGCCAGTCCTGTCTAAAAGGAGCTGACTGCCTTAGAACTCTTGGTTGTGGAGAAATAGCCTGAGATTCCATCTTTTCTCTAACCCTTACGTGTCTGGACTGGTAGTAAGGAACTACAAAGAAGGCAAAAAAAAAACCATTTTATTCTGTCATTTCTCTGTTCAAAACGTTTGAGCCTCCCATTGCTTTATAGACAAGGCTAAATTTGCACAGGGCTCCACTTACCTTTCCATTTCTGTCTCATTCTCATATGTTCTCTATGTTCCAGTTACATATGACTTCTTTCTGTTTTGTAAATAACTCCTCAACTCTTCCTGTCTCTGCTTGTACCCTAACCTTCAGCTTCTCTCCTGGGCCCATTGAATGCTACCACAGCCTTTCAAGGCCCCTCTCTTAAATACTATCTCCTCCTTGATGCCTGTCTTTAACCCAAGTCAAAATTAACCTCTCTCTATAATCCCACAGACTTATACTTTGGTAACGATACATTCTAACTATACTAAAGTTATTTATATACATATATGCATATTACCCTACTAAGTAATAGACTCCTTAAGGATAGGGACTATGTCTTGCTGATTTTTATATCCCCAAAGCGGTGCTTCACAAACTATTAATGTGCATCCACATCACTTGGGGATCTTATTAAAATTCAGAAACTGGTTCATTGAGTTGGAAGTAAGGCCCAAGATTCTGATTTTTCAGCAGGCTCCCAGTTGATGTCCTTGCAGCTGGTCGGAGGACTAGCACTTTGAATGACAAGGCCCTGAAGCACTTGGTACAATGCTTTAAATATTAGGTTTGAATTGAAAACAGATGTATAAAAGCGGAAGTTCTTGTTTTCAAAGCCAACGGTTTTACTGGGGAGGCAAGACTAACACATTCAATAGGCTGTGAGCTTAAAAAGAAAAAGAAGTAGGGAGGTAAAGAATTCTGAGGTCAAGAGGCCTGAATTCTTATCATAGCTCTGTCATTTATTAGCTGGGTAACCTTGAACAATTCATTTAACCTCTCAGGACTTAACCGTTCTTATCGGTAAAACAGGGATAGTGATGCCTGCCCAGAAAATTAACATGAACCACAAATAAGAATATATGTACACACTTTGTAAAACTATCAAGTACTATATAAATCAAAAGTTAAAATGGTTTTGTTTAGCACTAATCTGTGGTGTAGATTTTGTGCTGCAGAAGTCACGGTAAATAAGAATTCTGACTGGGAGAGTTCATTAGGAGGTGGATATTGGGAAAAGAAATGGTGAATAGTTAGGGAGTAAAGCAATAGTTATCAACGCCAAATAATCTGTACAACAAACCCCCATGACACAAGTTTACCATATAACAAACATGGACATTTACTGCATTGGATTGAATTTTTTTAACCTAAAGTAAAAATTAAAAAAAAAAAAAAGTTGTCGGCCAGGCGCTGGTGGCTTACTCCTGTAATCCCAGCACTTTGGGAGGCCGAGGCAGGTGGATCACCTGAGGTCGGGGAGTTCGAGACCAGCCTGACCAACATGGAGAAACCCCTGTCTCTACTAAAAATACAAAATTAGCCGGGCGTGGTGGTGCATACCTGTAATCCCAGCTACTTGGGAGGCTGAGGCAGGAGAATCGAGTGAACCTGGGAGGCGGAGGTTACGGTGAGCCGAGATTGCGCCATTATACTCCAGCCTGGGCAACAAGAACAAAACTCCATCTCAAAAAAAAAAAAAAAAGTTGTCAGCCTTGGATACACATTGGAATAACCTGAATAATTCAAAAAATACTGATGCCTAGTCCCATCCCCAGAGTTTCTGATTGTATTGTCTGG
This sequence comes from Homo sapiens, assembly GCF_000001405.40. Lineage (NCBI taxonomy): Eukaryota > Metazoa > Chordata > Mammalia > Primates > Hominidae > Homo > Homo sapiens. The sequence continues at coordinate 100,503,339 of NC_000010.11, read as the reverse complement.
GGTGTGGCCTGGCAAGTCTGGATTGTTCTCCATGTGGTTTTAATATGCAGCCAATGTTGAGAACTGCTGGAGTAAAAAGGGTTTTTCTAAGGTCCTGTTTTGTGCCAGATGCTTTATATAAGGCATCTAATTTGGTGAGACGGATACTCCAGGTGGGGGTGTTGTGGGTAAAGGCACAGAAGCAGGAACACACCAGGCATTTTAGGGATGTGGAGCAATTATAATAAACAAGCAGGGAGAGAGATGCTGGGAAAGATAGGTTTGGCCCTGATTTTGCAGAGGTTTGTGCACTGCAGGAAGGGGAGCTTAAGCTCTTTCCTGTGGCCTTGTGAAACCACACAGGCTCCTGAATAGCAGCAGGTTGGTACAAGCAATAGAGGGATAGTCTAAGGCTTAATTAGAGGAGGGAAAAGAACAGAAGGCTAGCAAACTATTTTAGTAATCTGGGGGTACTGGCACTGGGAATGGGATGGAGGGGACCTGCATGAAAGACAGTGAACAAGAATAGGTAGGACTTTGTCGTTGCTTGGCTATAGGGGGTATGAAGACTTTGCTAATGCTGAGGTATTTAGCCCAGGTGACTGGGAGAATGGTGGTACCAGGACAGGTTAGCAGAAGGTGAGTCTTGTGTGGTGAAGTTTGAAGTGGGTGGTCCTAAGAGTGCAGAAGTGGTTTTGGTAGGGAGACGAATTCAATACTAAATTCCTGATCCTATTCCACCCCCCAGGAACTCTCTTATTTTATTTATTTCCTAGCCTAGGGTCAGCCATTAGATAGCCTTCTCTGTGAATCTGACTTAGTGTTACTTTTTGACTTGAAGGTATAACCTTTACCCTTCTTGCTTTTCCTCACCAGTTTGGAGGGAAGCTGGTTACTTTTGGCCTCCCCAGCACCCCTGCCCATCTGGTGCCACAGCCTTGCCCCCGCCTAGTCTTCATCAGTCAAGTCACCACAGAATCTGAATTCCTGATGCGATCAGCTGAGCTGCAGGAGGCCTTGGGATCAGGAAATCTACTGAATTACTGTCAGAACAAGAGCCAGCAAGCTTTACTGCAAAGTGAAAAGATGCTGTGGCAGTTCCTGAAGGTGGGAAGCCTGAAGGCTAGCTGCTCAGAAGTGTCTCCCCAAAGCCTGGAACTCCAACCTCTGTCAACTGCAGGAGAAGCACAAGCACACTGGGACCCAGATCACAGAGGCCTTAACTCCCATTAGTTTTTCCCCCACACTATACCCACCATCTAGACACAAAACGTTCACCCTTTACCAGAGGCTCAAAGGCCATTTGGGAAGAGGCTAGGAAAGATGGGGAATACACGAGATGTTTTCTTTTGTTGCTACTATGGTTGATGTCCTAGGTATTTTACCAGGGCCAAGGCAAAGACCTTCACGGTATCATGCCAAAGGGCAGATAAGGTAATGGGAAGGAAGAAAAAAGGGAGGAAAGAGAAAAAGAGGAGAAAGGAAAAACATTAGTTAGAAGGACATATTGTCATAAGAAGGCTTTGAGTTGGTTTCAAGTAACCCAAGGCAAGTCCTTGGAGTGGGTCCTAGGGTTCAGGTGCCACTGTACACTGGAGGCATGGGTTCAGTTCCAGTTCTCATTTAATTTCAAGTTTCCTGTGACACCAGGAGGAGTACTATACCTATCAAAGGAAATGAGCAAGTGAGAGATCTGAAGGAAGAAAGGCAAGTAGCTGACTGGTCAGTCAGTGGGATGATTGTGCAAGTTTTTGGAATTGTTTAGAAGAAAGCAAAAAGGATTGGGCCTGTACCAGGGCATCTGAGAGGGACTTGAAATTTGAGCTTTAGGCATAGTAGAGCTTTATGAAGGTGGACATCAGGAAGTTAGAGAAAGAGGATTTGAGAAAGATCTTGACTATACAGTGAAGCCAGAGAATGATGTGGGAAGAAAAGAATAAGAAATGATGCTTTTGTCATAAGCAGGATACAAGTTCCAGGAATGGTGAGATGGTAAAGAGAGGGAGTGGTCAGGAGTTCAGCCTTTACTCCGCTAAACAAAGGAGACAGTGGTACCTATAGGACAGAGGGACCTATAGGACAGGGCATTCTGGGTTTTTTTGTTTTTGTTTTTTTGAGACAGAGTTTCACTCTTGTCGCTCAGGCTGGAGTACAATGGCATGATCTTGGCTTACTGCAACTTCTGCCTCCCGGGTTCAAGCAATTCTCCTGCCTCAGCCTCCTAAATAGCTGGGATTACAGGCACCTGCCACCACGCCTGTATTTTTTTTTAGAGACAGGGTTTTTTTTTTTTTGTATTTTTTGTATTTTTTTTGTAGTAGAGACAGGGTTTCACCATGTTGGCCAGGCTAGTCTCGAACTCCTGAACTCAGGTGATCCACCCACCTCAGCCTCCCAAAGTGCTGGCATTATAGGCGTGAGCCACCGCGCCTGGCCAGGCATTCTGGTTTAAAAGCTACCCAAGAGCTGTCCATCATGATGGTTCCTGGTTGGGTGTGGTGAACATTTCCAAGGGAAGGGCATGGAAGGAGAAGGGTGCCCAGAGAGACTATGAGAAAGGTATGGTTAGAAATCATGTTTCAGTGTGGAATAAATTAAGGGCCTGGGACAGCTAACCAAGATTACGGGGGCTTCAGAAAGGTTTGCTCCTTGGTATTTGGGACATTGAGTGGGAAGCTGACTTTGTTTACTGTACCTGTGCAACTTCTACCAGAGGTCTTCTCAAAGAAACATTTAGACTCACAAGGCTGGGTGCGGTGGCTCACGCCTGTAATCCCAGCAATTTGGGAGGCTGAGGTGGGTGGATCACCTGGGGTCAGGAGTTCGAGACCAGCCTGGCCAACATGGTGAAACCCTGTCTCTACTAAAAATACAAAAAATTAGCCGGGCGTGGTTGAGGGCGCCTGTAATTCCAGCTACTTAGGAGGCTGAGACAGGAGAATCACTTGAACCCTGAGGGTGGAGGTTGCAGTGAGCCGACATGGCGCCACTGTACTCCAGCCTGGTTGAGACAGCAAGAGTCTGTCTAAAAAAAAAAAAGAAAAGAAACATTTAGACTCACAAGACTACTGTAGGCTACACTTGGCAGCAGTCTCCTCGGAAGGATATGGGATAGGGACCACAGCAGGGTAGCATCAGGCAGGTGTCTTCTGTGGGAGCCCTTTCAGCAGTCATGCAGTAATTCAGAGTTCTCTTCTTCAGCCCGCCAGAGACAGCTCAGGTGCAAGGAGATGAGACTATACATCAGGCAGGTATGTAAGTTGCCCTGACTTAGAAGCTTCTTGCCCACAAGAGCCAATATCTCTTGTACCAATTCTAAAAGCATAGCTTCCGGAGTCCCTGCAAGGAATCTGTCCAGTTACAAGAGCCACTGCAAACAGGGAAATGCATAGCATGTTGTTCACATTAATTATTTCTAGGTTACATAGTTCCAGTCCAGATGCAAGTTACCAATCACAAGCATATTGCCTAGGAACAGCTGACATTTTACTCTCACCAGACTACCAGGGTAACAGAGCTAGGAAGTCAATGAAAGGTCAAATTCTCATGTGCAAAGGGCAGGGGGCTATGTTAACACTGCTGATAGCCCATCAGTAAGTCAGATCCAGGGAGGAAAAAGAGATGGCATTGGACTGCTGAGGGCACTTCTAGTAGTACAAAGAACTATATTGGGTATACTGGCACAGATACCCAGCTTGTTGTAGGAAGAGCGTCATTTATGTTCATTTAATGGAATCTTTTCTGTGTTCTGTGGTTTCTTAGGTGACCTTAGAGCAAGACTCCAGAATGAAATTCCTAAAGCTTTTAGGATACAGTAAAGATGAGCTTCAGAAGAAGGTAAGCTGCTTTTCACATCAGAAACATGTACTTGTTGAAGAGAAGAAGAGAATGTTGCCAGAGTAAACCACCTCAGAATACCTCTTCCTGGCCTTATTATTGCATATGTGAGCATTTTACATCCTGGAGTTTGTTTTTTTCTCAGAAAAAAATAGATCAGGGATCTTAGAGAGTACAGTTGGTGGGGTATGGAGATAGGAAAAGAGGATAATGCTTATTTGATCTTACGCTTGAAAGAGCGGTTTTCAGAGGTCTCTCCCTGCAGGTGGCCACATGGTTGAAGAGTGACGTGGGGCTAGGTGAGAGTCCTCAGCCCAAGGGAAATGACCTCAACAGTGACAGACAACAGGCCTTCTGCAGCCAGGTGTGGTAGGAGTCCAGTCAGCCTGACCTATGGTAACACAGGAAACCTGCCTTTTGGGCATCTTTCCCTTCCTGGCCCTTTTCTTTGCTGTCTGTAAGTGTTTAGCGTCTGTAGAAGTCTTCAGACTCCTCACTCTCTTAGAACCAGAGTGAGACACAGAGTCCCTAAGCTTTTGGGCTGGGAGTGGAGAGCTGTGTCTTAACCATGAACTATGGCCCTCCCCAAACCTTACCTGGCTATTTTTTTAGTTTTACCCATTAACGGCCAAATAGTAGAGCTCTCAGGGCTACTAAGCCAGCTCTCTGTCTGTCTTGGGTTCATCCCTAAGTAGTCACCTCTGTCCTTCCTCATACAGGCCTCCAAACACACCACAAAGGAAGCCTCTGCTTCCTCAGCCTTCTTTGATGAGCTGGTCCCTCAGAACATGACTCCTTGGGAGATCCCCATCACAAAAGGTACCCTGACCCTGAGGGAGAGGGAGAGTCTCTGCTTAGGACTAGGTGGGCACGGAGGTTTTGGACTTGAGACATTCCCTTCTTGTCCCCTGCCTCGTGCCTTCCTCCCACCGTCTCAAATGCTGAGTGAGTCGCTTACCAGTTAGAGCTCTCTCTGGTTGTAGATTTTCATGGATACGTCCTTCCTATGGAAGGCCTTCTACCAACAGATTTTCTTCTATCCTTCTTGCTGAAAGGACTGTGGCCCTGCCCACTGTGATCAAGCACACCTCACACTGTGCTACTGCCACATCAGTTCCCTCCCTTGTCTTGGGCCCTGTCTTTAGACCTGGGCACCAAAATACATTTTATTGCCAAGGAGTGAAACTTGAGGATTTAGTTTGGAGCCAAGCACACTGAGTGATATAGAGATATAGAGGGTGTGCTGTGGGCCCTGCAGGGGGCAGGAAGTTGGGGTTTGAGAGCAACTAATGCACAGGGGATGCTTCTGCCTGCAGATATTGATGGACTCCTAAGCCAGGCTCTCCTGCTTGGGGAACTGGGTCCGGCCGTGGAGCTGTGTCTGAAGGAGGAGCGCTTTGCTGATGCCATTATCCTGGCCCAGGCTGGGGGTACAGATCTGCTGAAGCAAACACAGGAGCGCTACTTGGCCAAGAAGAAAACCAAAATCTCCTCGGTAACTGCCCATCATGCAGGAGAAGAAGGGAGGGGATTACTTGGACCTTGTGAGGTGGATACCCACACCTTGGGACCCATGTTTGAGTATCTGCCTGCCTCTCTCTTTCTACTCTAACCACCCCCACCTCATCCCTTGCCCCTACTCAGTGCTCTAACAGGAGGCCTGTGCAGGAATCCTGCTGCCTATGCTGGATGGATGGCTGATGGTCTCTTTCCCTCTCTGCCCATTACAGCTTCTAGCCTGTGTTGTGCAAAAGAATTGGAAGGATGTGGTGTGTACCTGTAGCCTGAAGAACTGGAGAGAGGCACTGGCTTTGCTACTGACATACTCAGGCACAGAGAAATTTCCCGAGCTCTGTGGTAAGTGTGGTCCCAGGCTTCAGGATGAAATGGTGTGACTCCAGCATGGAGTCAAAGGATGCATGCAGGAGGGAGGTGGAGGAGCAGACTGAGCTGTGGGAGGCGAGGCAATGTTGTCAGGGCTAGAATCTGGCTCAGCCAGGAGGCAGGGACCACAGTGCATGCCCCTATTTTCAGAGGGGATCCTTTGTTGTCCTGTTTTACCTTGTCTTGTCACACCATGATGTGAGAACTTTCCCCTTCTCTGTACAGCAAGGTGAGTCTCAGTGTTGTCTTAAACTGCAGCTACTTGTCCCAGGCTCATGGTCCTCTCCCTGTTTCCAAACAGGAGAAGGAGAGGCACACAGGGCAGCTGTGCCATTAATGAAATTACCCTCTCTCTGCAGACATGCTGGGAACTCGCATGGAACAGGAGGGCAGCAGGGCACTAACCTCCGAAGCCAGACTCTGTTATGTGTGCTCAGGGAGTGTGGAGCGGCTGGTGGAGTGCTGGGCAAAATGCCACCAGGCTTTGTCCCCCATGGCTCTGCAGGTACCCCTTCTCTGCAGGGTACTGGCCACTCCACACCAGGCCCTTAGGAGGCTAGTGGTGGAGATGTGCAGAGCTAGCAGAGGCGAATCTTCTGGGACAGGCTGGAACCACGGTGTTAGGGAGGAGCGAAAGGTCCTGAATGTCTGGGATCTTCTCCTCTTCCCTCAGAGAAGACTAAGCAGCAGCTGCTTCAGTGTTAGTCTTCATAATTTTTTTCCTATTTCAGGTTTGGTTTTACAGATGTATTCAGTACTTGAGTAATTGTGGCTTGGCCCTTCTATTAGCTACTGTGGAAAGTTCTGTGGATCTAAACTTCCAGGTGTTCTGTGGGTGACCACAGAAAGTGGGGGTCACAGACTCATGGAGAGACAAAAGTCGCACATGAAACAATTAGTCTGACAGAGTCTGTGGTTGGTGATGTATAAGCAGAAAGGGTAAAAAAGCAAAAGGAAGAGGTAGAGATGTACAAAAATCTAAGACCCAGATGGGTCCAGTTAAATCCAATCCTAACAGCTTGGGAGGTGAGGCCAGGTGGCCCTTCTCTGTCACAGTTCTTACGTGTCATCATCTGCTGCCTTCACCTAGGTATGGTCAGGTGCCCTCATCTGTACCCATAGTGGGAGATCCCTGAATGAGCTGCGTGGACTTAGAGAGCAGGATATGCCTCATTGAAGGCTTACCACCCTCATCCTTGCCCTTACAGGACCTGATGGAGAAGGTGATGGTTCTTAACAGGAGCTTGGAGCAACTGCGGGGTCCTCATGGGGTGAGCCCAGGCCCTGCCACAACCTACAGGGTCACTCAGTATGCCAACCTCCTGGCAGCCCAGGGCAGCCTGGCCACTGCCATGAGCTTTCTACCCAGGGACTGTGCTCAGGTAAGTGGGGCCATGTGGAGAGAGCAAACCATTTCATTCAGTCATCTAACATTGATTGAGCACTTCCATATTCCAGGCACTATGCTAATGCTGAAGCTCCTAGGATAGATAAGATGGAATCCCTTAAGCACCTCACAATCTACTGGGGGAAGATCAGATGTTGATGACTTATAGTGCCATAACAGAAGCTTATACTGAGCACTGTGGGAGTCCAGGGAAGGGACTGATTTTTGCCTGGAGAAGTCAAGGAAGGCTTCTCAATGGTTAAAACAGCTGAGCTGGACCTTCAAAGAGAAGTAGCTTACCAGCAGATATAGAGCATTCTAAGCAGAAAGAATAGCAAGGAGGGAGGCATGCAAGTGTTTGGCAGGGATTCAGGAACCTTGAGTCATCTCTAAGGGGGCTAGAGTATAGAGCGGGGGTGTCCAAGGGTCAGAATACAGTCGTGGGTGCTTAGTTTCTGTTTCTGGTTGGGCCAGTAAAGCCCCTTCCTCATCCCGGTTTTCCACTTATCACTAGAGACAAACCAAAAACCATGGCTTCAGGCTGCTAAAAACCTAAAACAAAACAAAACAGAACAGAACAACAACAACAACAAAATAACACAGGTTGGACAAGCTTGGTGTAGAGGGTCAGCTGAAATTTGACTGCTACCTGGGGCCTTGATTGTTTTAATTTCTTGACACAGCTCTTCCTCATTAAAACTTATAGCCACCAGTTCAGCAGCTAAGAGATCGGCTTTTTCATGCTCAAGGTTCTGCTGTCTTGGGCCAACAGTCTCCCCCTTTCCCCTTCCCCCGGATTGTTGTGGGAGCTACCCTCCACTCTAAAGAGACATCATCTTACAGATTGGGATCCCAGCCTTCTCACCAGGTAAGACCTCGTTTGTTCATTCATTTGTTCATTCAATAATACGTGCCAAGCATGGTTCTGGGCACTTGGAATATATTGTGAACAAAACTGATGAAAATTCCCAACTTCCATAGAACATAGATTCAGTTCTTTTTATAATAAATAACTGTTTATTGAACTACTAGGCTCTTAGGACATAAAGGTGCAAAAATTGTGATACTTGCCCTCAAGTAGCTCATAGTGTAGTCGAAAGATAGATATGTAAAAAATAGCTACAGTAGGCCTGGCGTGGTGGCTCACGCCTGTAATCCCAGCACTTTGGGAGGCCAAAGCGGGCAGATCATGAGGTTTGGAGTTCGAGACCATCCTAGCCAACATGGTGAAACCCCATCTCTACTGAAAATACAAAATAATGATCTGGGCATGGTGGCACGTGCCTGTAGTCCCAGCTACTCGGGAGGCTGAGGCAGGAGTATCACTTGAACCTGGGAGGTGGAGGTTGAAGTGAGCCCAGATCATACCACTGCACTCCAGCCTGGCAACGGAGCGAGACTCCGTCTCAAAAAAAAAAAAAAAAAAATAGCTACAGTAAAATTCATAAATACCATGATTGGGGTATGGCAAGGGGCTATAAGATCACACAGATGAAAGTAGTTTACTCTGTATGGTGAGGTTGTGGGGGCAGTCCAGGGAGTGTTTCAGAACAAGTCGGATGTTTGATCAGAGTTTCAAAGATTAAAAGGTTTTAGGCAAAGGGATGAGCAAGTGAAGACTGTTTCAGGCACAGAGAATAGCATGTACAAAGGCACTGAAGCAAGAGTAAGCCGAAGCCTTTTGAGAATTACTATTATTTAATTGGGGCTGCAACACAGGTGTTTGTGGCTGTGAAGTTAGATGAAGCTGGAACAACAGGTAGGAGTTAGATCACTAAGGACCTAGCATTCTGTGCTAAAGAACTTAAACTTGACAGGGAGGAGCTATTGAACAGTTTTAGGAAGAGTGACATAATTAGCTGTATGTTAGGAAGGGCCAGGCTGGAGGGAGTTAGGCTATAGTAAGGGATGATGAAGACATGAAATAACTAAAGCTAGCCAGTGAGGTTGGATTTGAAATACTTAGTACTTAGTAGATAGAACTGACAGAATTGCTGATAGTTTGGAGAGGTGTGTGTGTGGTTGGGGGTACTGAGGGAGAGGAAAGAGGTTCTGGCCAAAGTGCCCGGGGGGATTGGATACTGTTAAGATGTGAGGCCAGAAGCTTGCTAGAGCTGCCGGAGAACAGAATCCAGGGAGATTTGGATACAGTTACCAGGCAGAAGCTCTGATGGCTCATCTTGTCCCACCTTCAATCCCCACCCTAATTCCTTTTCTTTTTTTCCCTCCCTTTCCTCCCTCCCTTTCTTCCCTCCCTTGTCTCCCCTTTTCCCCTTCCCCTCCTCTCCTCTCTCTCTCCCTCTCCCCGTCTCTTTTCATTTAAAAATAACCATAGATTCACAGGAGGTGGCAAAGAAATGTACTGGGATGTCTCCTGCATCCCAACAACACCCCGCCCCGTGTCGGCATCTCACACAACCACAGTACGCTATCAAAACCAAGAAATTGCCATTAGTACAATCCATGGATTCAGATTTCAGATTCAGTCTCCACCAGTTTTACATATTGTTAGGTGTGTGTTTATGTGTGTTTATGCAGTTTTGTCACATTGTGGTGTGTAACCACCACCAAAATCAAGATACTCAATTTTACCATCACCACAAGACTCTCTTGTGTTACCTCTTTTATAGCTGCACTTATTCTGCCTCCCTCATCCTTGGCTTCACCAATATGTTCTCCAGCTCTATCATTGTTATTTAACGATTGTTACTTAAATAGAATCATGGCAATATGTATCCTTTTGAGATTGGCTTTTCTCCCTTAGCATAACTTCTTTGAGGTTCATTCAAGTTGTTCTGTGTACCAGTAGTTCACTCATTCTTATTGCAGAGTAGTATTCCATGGTGTGAATGTACCATGGTTTTAATTTTTTTTTTTTTTGAGATGGAGTCTTGCTTTGTTGCCCAGGCTGGAGTGCAGTGGCGCGATCTTGGCTCACTGCAAGCTCTGCCTCCCAGGTTCACGCCATTCTCCTGCCTCAGCCTCCCGAGTAGCTTGTACTACAGGCGCCCGCCACCACGCCCGGATAATTTTTTGTATTTTTAGTGGAGATGGGGTTTCACCATGTTAGCCAGGATGGTCTTGATCTCCCGACCTCGTGATCCGCCCGCCTCGGCCTCCCAAAGCGCTGGGATTATAGGCATGAGCCACCGCGCCCGGCCCCAGTTTTAATTTTTTTAGCCATTCAAACTTTGAAGGACATTCGGATAGTTTCCAATTTGGGGTATTATGAGTAAAGCTGCTATGAGTATTCAAATACAAGTTCCTAACTGACATCTTTACTAGGTTCAGTCTTTCAGTCCATGAATGTGGCATGTTTCTCCATCAGCGTTTTATAATTTTTGTCACACCAATCCTGTACATATTTTGTCCAATTCATACTTAAGTATTTAATTTTTTATATCACCTGTCAGCTCATGCCTACTAAGTATTTAATTTTTTTCTTCAGCAGTTTAAAATCAAATTTCTTGGTTTCCACTTGTTCATTGTGAGTATATAGAAATGCAGTTGATTTTTATGTGTTGATCTGGTTATATCCTGTGACTTTCCTGAATAGTTATAGAAGTTTTTTGTGGATTCCATGGGGTTTTCTAATAGACAGTCATGCTGTCTACAAATCTGCAAATAGATAGTTTTCTTTCTTTTCAATCTATATGCATTTAATTTCTTTCTTATGCCTTATTGTAGTGACTAGGACTTCCAGTCTCTGTTAAATAAGAATAGTGAACATAAGCCAGGCGCTGTGGCTCATACCTGTAATCCCAGCACTTTGGGAAACTGAGGTGGGTGGATCACCTAAGGTCAGGAGTTGAGACCAGCCTGGCCAACATGGTGAGACCCCATCTCTACTAAAAATATAAAATTAACCGGGCATGGTGGCGCATGCCTGTAATCCCAGCTACTCAGGAGGCAAGGCTGGAGAGTCGCTTGAACCCGGGAGGTGGAGGTTGCAGTGAGCTGAGATTGTGCCATTGCACTCCAGCCTGGGCACCAAGAGCGAAACTCTGTCTCAAAAAAAATAAATAAATAGTGAACATGAATGTTCTTGCCTTGTTTCCAGTCTTAGAGGAAAAACATTCAATATTTCAGCATTAAGCATGATGTTAGCTTTAGGTTTTTCACAGATGCTCTTTATGAGACCAAGGACATTTCCCTCTATTCCTTGTGTCTTAATCCATTTTGTGCCACTATAACAGAATACCACAGACTGGGAAATTTATAAAGAACAGAAATTTATTTCTTATGGTTCTGGAGTCCAAGATCAAGGCACCAGCAGGTATGGTTCCAGCAGGTACGGTTCCACCCTCTAGTTGCAAGATGGTGCCTTGCTGCTGTGTTCTCACATGGCAGATAGCAGATGTGCAAGAGAAAGCAAACCCACTCCTGCAAGTCATTTTTGTAGTGGCATTAATCCATTAATGAGGGCAGAGCCCTCATGACCTAAACACTTACAAAAAGTCCCACTTTCCCAACACTGTTGCATTGAGGATTCAGTTTTCAACACATGACTTTGGGGAGCATATTCAGACCATAACACCTTGTGTACTAGATCATGAATCGGTGTTGAATTTTGTCAAATGTTTTTTCTGCATCATTTCTGTCATCATGTTATTTTCATTCTTTAGTTTGTTGGTATAGGGGATTAAATTGATTGGTTTTTAAATATCTTGGATCAGCTTTGTATGACCTGGAATCAATCCCACTTTCTTGTGGAATATTATTTTTTATATACATTATTTGATTTGCTAAAATTTTGTTGAGGATTTTTGTGTCTAAGTTCATGAGAAATATTGATGTGTAGTTTTATTTTCTGCTATCTTTTTCTGTTGCTGGCATCAGGGTAATACTGGCCTCATGAAATTAGTTAGGAAGTGTTCCTTCTATTTTCTGGAAGAGATTACATAAACTTTGCATTAATTCTTTGACTGGTGAAATTCTCCAGTGAAACCATCTAGGCCTGGAGATTTCTTTTTTGGGAGCTTTTAAATTACAAACTCAATTTCTTTAATGGTTATAGGACTATCCAGATCTTCTTTCATTGTGACTGAGTTTTGGTAGTTTATGGTTCTTGAGGAATGGGTCCATTTCTGATAAGTTGTCAGATTTATGAATGTAAAGTTTTCTGTAGTATTCGTTTATATTTTTAATGGCTTCAGGGTCTGTTGTAATAGTCCCTGTTTCATCTCTGATGATGATTTATATCTTCTTGCTTTTTATCTTTATCAGTTTTTAGATGTTTATCAATTTTATTGATTTTTTTCCTCAAAGAACTAGTTTTTGTTTCATTAATTTTCCCTATTATTTTTCTGTTTTCTATTATTTACCTTTCTCTTTCCTTTCCAAGAGCTGATGTTTTTTTCTCTTCATAGGTCCCAACTCCATCTCCAAGGCCAAGGGTTTTCACCCCTCAGTCATCACCAGCGATGCCCTTGGCACCTTCCCATCCTAGCCCTTATCAGGGTCCCAGGACACAGAATATAAGTGACTACAGGGCACCTGGGCCCCAGGCCATCCAGCCTTTGCCTTTGAGCCCTGGGGTAAGGCCTGGTGAGTGAGTCACTGAAGATCTATCTGGGCAGAGCACAGAGGTCTCAGGAAAGCAATTGGCATGGCCAGCATGGATTTGGGAAGCTGTATGTCTGTCTAGTGAGAGGAGCTTGGAAGTTGAAGTCTGAATTCCTAATGCTATCACTGGCTTCGTACCTTTGGCAATATACCAAAGTGTTGTGTTGCTTATTTCAATGCTATGGGATTGTTTTGAAGGTCAAATAAGGAATATAGTTAAAAGTATTTTGTAAATTATAGATTTCCATATACATGTATTAATCATTTATTATTTTTTTATTGCAATCCTGTTTCTCCCTGATATGCTCTGAGTTGCTCCTGAAATGAAGTTTAGTGACAAATGACCTATTTCTGTTCTGCTTCAGCTTCATCTCAGCCACAGCTATTAGGAGGGCAAAGGGTGCAAGTTCCTAACCCGGTGGGATTCCCTGGGACATGGCCTCTTCCTGGTTCCCCTCTACCCATGGCATGCCCAGGCATCATGCGACCTGGCTCTACCTCCCTGCCTGAGACTCCTAGACTGTTCCCTCTGCTTCCTCTGAGACCACTAGGTCCCGGCCGCATGGTCTCCCACACCCCAGCCCCTCCTGCAAGCTTCCCTGTGCCATACCTTCCAGGGGACCCAGGTGCCCCATGCTCTAGTGTCCTCCCAACCACTGGCATCTTGACTCCTCACCCAGGTCAGTCTTCCTTCCATGGATCCCTCTTCTGGGTTATTGCCTCCCCTGCTCCTCTCACTACTTTGGGAGTCTTTCCTCAAGTCAGAGGGCTAGGGCCCTGTTGGGTGGAGGGTGGCTGGGAGTGTAGATGGTCTGCAGAGGGAGGTATGGTGAACTCCAACTCAAAGAATGCTTCCAGCCTTCAGATAAAAAACTTCCAGTGTTTTTCACTATGCGCCGAAAAACCTCTATCTTTTTATTCTATAGGACCTCAAGATTCCTGGAAAGAAGCCCCAGCCCCCAGGGGAAACCTCCAGAGGAACAAGGTCAATGCATCTTTCCCTACCCACTCCCTCGCACATTCACCAATGACCACGTTCTAATTCCTTGGAGGATTCAGTCAGTCCTTCCCCTTCTCAGACTGTCCCCGCCCTCCTCCCACTTACTCTTCTTTCCTCAGAACCCTCTTCTTTCTCTTTCCCTCTTACACACATACACCAGTCTCCTCACTTCCCAGTTTCCCACACTCACTCTTCTGTCTCCTTGTTCACTGTCATTCCTGCCACTCCCCAAAACCAGAGCCATGGAGTCTCTCAGGTTAGACTCATGTCTTTCCTTCTGTCTCTTTAGCTGCCAGAGACATTTATGCCCCCAGCACCAATTACTGCTCCAGTTATGAGCCTCACCCCTGAGCTACAAGGGATTCTTCCCTCACAGCCCCCTGTCTCCAGTGTGAGTCATGCTCCCCCAGGAGTTCCAGGAGAACTCAGCCTGCAGGTGACAAGGACAATGTATTCCCCTCCCTTGGGAAACCTTCCAGCCCTCCTTGGGTGCAGGTCATGGTAGATGGGCCTCATTCCTCAAGGCATGTGCTGAGGGAGACTGGGGGCAGGTACCAGGTGTCCTTACTGCAGAGAAAGGGAGGCTGCTCATCTCCCCAACTCTGCTGTAATGGGAACAGTGTGACTGTGAGTCACTGGGGACTAGTCCTTAGGGAAGCCATGAGAAGGACAGCTTGCCCCTCTGGCCTTTCTCCCTGCTTCTTTATCAGCAGCTTCAGCACCTGCCACCTGAGAAGATGGAAAGGAAGGAGCTGCCCCCAGAGCATCAGTCCTTGAAGAGCAGCTTTGAGGCGCTTCTCCAACGCTGCTCCCTGTCTGCAACTGACTTAGTAAGTCTGAACCTTCTTCACAGTGCCCTCCTCGCACCCCTCGCTGGCTCCAGGACCCCTCAGCTGTGGACCAGTTCCTTGTGTGACTCTCTTCTCACTGCCCCTGGACATGCTGTCTCTATCTTGTACTTAATTGACGTCCATGTGGAGCTGGGGAGAGACTTTTGAGTCTGGTCTGAAGTCCAGCTCCTTGGTGGTAGGACCCAGCAGCATTGAGACCTAAAGGCAGCAGGGGTACTGGAAGGAGGGTGGAGCCAGGAGTGAGGAAGTCTGCCATTCCCCTGCTGGCTGTGTCGGCTTGAGCAAGTCACTTACCCTTCTTGGGCCTTCATTCCCTCCTCTGTGAAATGAAGCCATTCTAGCTCTAATATGCTGTGATTTTTTTTTTTTTTTTTTTTTGAGATGGAGTCTCGCTTTGTCGCCCAGGCTGGAGTGCAGTGGCGCGATCTCGGCTCACTGCAAGCTCTGCCTCCCGGGTTCAAGCCATTCTCCCGCCTCAGCCTCCCGAGTAGCTGGGACTACAGGTGCCCACCTCCATACCCGGCTAATTTTTTGTATTTTTAATGGAGACGGGGTTTCACCGTGTCAGCCAGGATGGTCTCCATCTCCTGACCTCATGATCCACCCGCCTTGGCCTCCCAAGGTGCTGGGATTACAGGCGTGAGCCACCATGCCCGGCCTAATATGCTGTGATTCTTTATGGCCCTGTGTGGTGTTAGACTTAGGGGCTGGGGTTGGAATCCATTTCTTTCCCTGCAGAAGACAAAAAGGAAGCTGGAAGAGGCAGCCCAGCGTCTGGAGTATCTATATGAGAAGCTCTGTGAGGGGACAGTAAGTACAGCTAGCTGTGCTCCCACTGCCTCCTACACTTCCACCATCACCATGGCCAAAGGAAGCCCAGTGTCTTTTCTTCCCATAGGTGTCACTGACCTGGGTTCCCCACAAAATACGTGCATCTTGCCTGGACTGGGCCCCAGAACTTAAGTCTTCCCTTATCCCTTCCATGCTGCCAGGGTAGGAGCTGGGTTGGGCTCACTAACCTAAGGGTCATTCCCTCCACAGCTCTCACCTCATGTCGTGGCTGGGCTCCATGAGGTTGCCCGATGTGTGGATGCAGGAAGCTTTGAGCAGGGCCTTGCAGTGCATGCCCAGGTGGCGGGCTGTAGCAGCTTCAGCGAGGTGTCCAGCTTCATGCCTATCCTGAAGGCTGTCCTCATCATCGCTCATAAGCTGCTGGTCTAAACCAGGCAGCCTCTCTTGCTAGGAGGCCACTTCTGCTGTTACATAACTCCTCCCTGCAGAAGAGGGGACTTCTGCAACAGATTCTGTTTCTTTTTCCCGACTCTTTTCCTTGCTGCCAGGTATGTGATGCTGTAGGCTTGGCTCCAAACCAGCTGAGTGCCTGCTTTTTACTCCTTTATGTCTGGCCTTCTAGGATCTGTCCAAGACACTCTCAGGCCTGGAGGCAGGGCATAGAATCAGTTCTTCACTCTCCCTAATACTACACTCTGTAAGGACCTGGGGCAGGATATCTTCTCCCCCAGGGATCTTCTATTTAAGTGGCTTCTGAGAGGGTGAACAGGATTGTTACTTTTAAGCCTACCTCTGCTGTGACCCATCATGTGGGTCTTTTGTTTCTCCCTTCTGTGGTTTATGAGCCTGCCCTTACCTTTTCCCTGCCTCTGACTTGGTATTTCCAGGTCCGTATTTCTCTGTAGCCCAGGGTCTGGGGTAGAGCTGACTGCTGTTCACCCTTTGAACAACTCATGGACGTGAGGGATGGGTGCTGAGCAGAACCAAGAGAGGAAACTTTGGCGCTGTTAAAATGGAATTTCTCATCTGCCGGCATTATTAAGGGTGGGCTAGGTTGGATGGAAGGTGAAAGGGATGAACTGCCTTTTGCTGGAAGCTGTCTTAGGCTGTGAGACAGGAGCAGGGGAACCACAGCCTATGGGGAACTGCCCTTGACTCCACCTATGTTGGAGCCTTAGCCCAAGGCCATTCCTTCTGTGATGATAAAGCCCAGTTCTGGAATTGGAGCCATATTAAGGAATGATTCTCTTCCAGCGCTGCTCCTCAAGGGTTGGGGGTCCTTCTCCCTCGCAGCCACCACATGTCTCAGGGCTACCTTCTCCGATTGGATTTGCATTTGTGGCACTGTCTTTGATGCAGTGATGTACTTAATGGTGCAATAAAGCTGCTTCGATTTGGTTTCCTCTGTCATCTCCCAGTCATTGCCTCCTCTGGGTTCTATTTTGCCATTACCTTTCTAGTCCTCTTTATTCTTGCTTCCTGCACCCTAGTAAGGCAGGGGAGAGGCTTAGGGAGAGATAAATCAAGAAAGTTAAAGGAAGGTGTCCATTCCCACTGAATTAGGTTCTCTCCTTGCAGCATTTGTGGTCACTCTGCTGGGTGTGTTGAGGGTGGGGGGATTGTCTCCCTTCATCCGTGCCTGGTGTTCAGTTCCAGGGTTTTCCCTACCCCACTTCAGGGCTGAGCTCAGCTATACAAAGGGACTGGGTGTGAAGCCAGGGGATGCTAGCCCTAATCCTGTTGTAGATCCCATCATGTCTGCGGGCTAGATGTGTGTGTGTTTGGGAGGGAGGGATTGTTAGGCAGTATTTGTTTGTAAAGCCACTTGCTCTTCAGATAATACTTGCACTAACTTCTATTGATGAAGCAGTGTGAGCCCTAGCAAAGTCCTTTCCCAAAGTGTCTTTGAAGCCAAGAGCCCATTGAAGGGAAGAAAGGCCGGGAGAGGGGATTAGTTTGTTCAGCAGCTGTGAATTTCAGTGGGAGGTTGATGAACTCCGAAGTCTTTGTTTAAATTAAAGTGGGGGAGAAAAAAGCCGCTGCTGGAGCGAGAGCCCCACTTGGGGCCCTGAACTAACACAAGGAGAAGTCTGAGCTGCAGGGAGCTGTGTACTGACTGCGAAGACTTTTCCCAAACACTTTCGGAAAAGGTGTTGTGAGAAGACAAGGGGGCGGAGTGGCGGATTAGCATGTGAAATGAAGTTTTCATTGACTCCAGTGGGGGTAGAAGGCTATTTTAATGGCATTTTGTTCTCCTATTTTCTCTTCTTGAGCTCTTTAGAGATATTGTTTTGCTAAGACAGGCTTTCTTCCCCCTTCTTTCCAGTCTGAGGATTGCCTCTATGGGAGCCAACATAAATATTTCTCCTCCAGGAATGCGGGTTAATTAAAAGGAAATGAATGAGTGGAAGCATCCAATCCAGACCTACAATAGGCGAGTGCCCTGGCCTGCCCTCCCCTCCCACCACCGCCAGCACCACCAGCGCCGAAGACGACCCCGTCTCTGTCTTTGCCCTAACCTGCTGCTAAGGCCAGTTGAGGCTGCGATTCTTTTCAAAAAGAAAAAGCTCTGCCTGTGTTTAGGCTCACAGGCCAGGGACAGGAAGGAGACAGTGTTTTGCCCACCCCAACCAATGTCCTTGTCACTTCTCAGGGCCTCCCTCTGTTTCTGTCTTCTGGCTGAGACAGATGGGCTCCTGAAGAGCACACAAGAGGTGGAAGGGGCCTGTGCTCTGCACTCTCCCCACAGTAACTTACTAGTTGGGGGAAGAAGCCAGTCATCTTTCTCAGCATCAGTTTAAATCTGTAACACAAAAGGTTTGACTGGCTGACCTCAAAGATGTCTTCCCAAGCACCAGTTCTGGAGTTGTCTACTTTGTAAAGGGACCACGGCCCTGGCAATTGAGTGTAAGATGAGAACTTAAACTCCGTGATGCAGCAATGGTGGTTGTTCACCACTATCTCTACTCTGGTGTTTGTTGAATGAACAAATGAACAAGTGGATATTGCAAAAGGAAGGGAAAAGCAATACAGATCCAAGGCATCTCAGTCATGTTTTCTTGGTAGAACTGGAATGAATCTGGTATCCATTTGGGGGTATAAAACAATAACCTATGAAATAATGTTCTGGCGGCATGACGTATTTAGAGTGCTGACCTGGAGTTACCAAATATGAAGCACAATAGTTCTGCTTTTATGCTAAGAGACCTGGAGAATGTAGCTTTACTTTACAACATTGTGCTTTTAAATTTTCTAGCTGCCTTGCCAAACTTTCTTCGTGTACATTATAAAGTAATTCTGCAAAGTGGGACAGGTAGGTTAGTATATGCTGCTTCTTGATTAAGGAGAAAAGGTGAGTTGGGAGATTCAGGAGGTTCAGATAAAAGCAGAGGGAAGGCGTGAAGGGCCTTTTGCTGAGAAAGCTGGAAATGAAGCACTAAGAACACCTGAAAGGAAGTGTATCCCCGGTCAGGAAGGGGAAACTCTCTCCTCAGTAAGTGTTGGTAAGACCAGAAGGTGTGTGGGTGAGGCCAAGGGTTTGGGATCTGACCTGGCCATTGCCTTAGTTTGGAATACGGGAACCCTTGACTCTTACAGGTGAACCCCTAGAGTCTTGGCTTTTGTTGCCTGGAGCCAGCCACACTGCTTTTCCTACTCTGGGAGAGGAAGGTTGAGGTCGTCTAGCATCTGACCAGTTCTGCTCTAGAAGAGCTGCCCAGCCCCAGACCTGGGACTGTCCTAGGGCAAGGAAGCTGGCTGGGAAGCCCCTTGGGCTACAGAGGGTCTGTCAGGGATTGGTTCTTCCCTCCCCAAGGTCTTGCTCTGTTTCATAAACAAGTCCCTGCTGTACTCTCTGAGAATAAAACCAGAAGACTCAAGTACCACAAGCAGCAAGCTCATGGCTCTTGAGTGAATGTATTAGAAGATTTAAATAGATGATTTACTAATCCTTGGCAGCTTAGCCTCAATCCAGATAACTGCTTGGGCCACCAGGGAAGTGAGGCTTTAGGGAGGATGGTATCCTGCCAAGATGGGAGGGAGGAGAGAGCCTACAGGTTGTATCTGTTACCACAGCCCACCCGAATATCCTCAAGAATAAGTGCAGTACCTAGAAAAAGAGCACATATCACAATGACTGCAATAAATTAAGGTTCAAGGTGCTGAACTTCCTACTAAGCAACAGTTTCATTGCAGGAAGTTTACTCATTGAAGGAAGATATCCAGTGCTCTGAATCCTGCCTGTTTGAGAACCAGGTTAGTGAGAAGGAAGGGTCTCAGTTTCTCCTTCTTAGGACCTGCCTCTAGAGGTGCAGACCAGGATCTGAAGAGGAAAGTGGCTTTATTTACCTCAGTCTTGGCTCAGAGGAACAAAGATCCTTTGGAGAAGAAGAGGTAAAGTTGGTTGCTAGGAGGAAGTAGGTCAGGAGAAGGGAGAAGTTACCTTTAAAGGGTAGGAAATGACTGTAATCTGCCCTTAACGTATTTCCTAGACCTTCGGGGTATGTATCTGGAGTCCCTCGGGTTATTGTCTAGGAAAGTCATTGCCCCACTAGTAAAGTCCATTCATGATATGATACCATAGGGATGAGTAGCACCCTTGGTGTTCAAGTTAGCACTCCAGAGCTCCCTCTTCCATCTTCAACCTCTGCCTCTAGGAACCAACCCCAAAGACATGCTTTTCCGGGGCCAGTTTCCTCAGTTTTTCTGGGAAAGGAAAGGGAGAAGAGGAGAGAAAGCATTCAAGATTCCTGGGGAATCTGGCTCAGCAGGTAGCAGGGGAGGAGCTGTGCAGAAGAGAGGTGCAGCAGTGGGTGAGCCCTGGTAGCAGACAGTGGGCAAAAGGGCAAAGCTTTGACTTTACCTGGGTCCTGCGTGTCTGAGAAGGGTTCTTCCAGCGCCTAAGGCTTGATAGGCTAGGTCAGACATTAGGGCTGCTAGGAGAGGGGAGGAGGAACACCTGTTCTCCTAATCCAAGGAAGATCAGTAACTCAAAGCCTGAGTTCTCAGACCTAGGTGTGGCTGCGAGGATTCAGACAGAGCTCTAGGAGAGCACAGAGGAATTGGGGAAACAGGCTGGAAAGTGGCAAGCTTTGGAGAAATTGCAGTCTCTCCCTCTCAGGATCCCTAGGTCTGGGAGAGCGGGTTCCCCATTCCCTAGGTTCCACAATTACCGGGGTCTCTAAAGGAAGCCAAGAACCAGTGGGAAAAGGAGGGGGCAGAGGAAACCCTTAGGGTTTTCTCCCGGGTTTGTGCGCAGCGCCCCCCCGCGGCCGCTCTGCGCGGCTACAGAAGTACTTGGTGACCCTCCGGCGGCACTGCTCGCAGCGGACTGCGCAGCACCAGTGGAACTTGCAGTTGCAGCTGGACACGGTCTCGGCCCGGCGCTCCTCCACCGCCAGCCCGCAGTCCCCGCAGAGCCGGCGGCAGCTGCGGCGTTCCCAGCGACCCAGGGCCCGCCCGCGCCTTAGGCACTCTCGGCCTTCGGTGCCCAGCAGCCCTAGCGTTTTGTTCTCCAGGCAGTAGTCCGGGGAGTCCTCCAGGTGCACCAGCTCCCGGGTAGAGATGGAGCGAAAGGTGTCGGCGATGGCGCCGCGGCCGGCCGCGCTGTTGCCAGCACCCTGCAGCAGGTCCACCTTGAGTGCTGCGTGGTACTTCTCCTTCAGGTGCGCGCCCACCTCGCGGAACTCGGGCAGCTGCAGCCAACAGGTCTGCGTGGTGCAGCTGCCAGACACGCCGTGGCACTTGCACGTGCGTTTCATGGTGCCCTTCACCGCCTGGGGAGAGAGCTAGGAGTGAGAGGCCCCGGATTAAGCGCGTGGCGAGTTTAACTGCCCCTGTGGGAGTTGCGAGAAGTCTAGTTAGTCTACTGGGCCAGCCCACTTGGTACCTCATTTTGCCAATCTTTTAAATGAACTGAAGAGTTGTCCGCACCTGGAGCTGGTAGTGGATATAGCCAGCAGCTGCCTATTTCCAAGGGCTGCGGGACTCACCTTGCGGCCAGCCTCGTTGTTGTGCAGGTTCATGGCTGCCCGTGCATCCTGTCCTGTTTCCAGGGCATCGACAAACTGCTTGGAAATCGCCTCTCCGAAGCCCACATTGTCACTGCAGCCTCCCCACAGCCAGCCTTGTCCCCCTGGAAAAGTGCAGAGGGAGGACAGGTCATTGAGCAAGCGGGCGCAGAGCCTCCTGGGCTGCTGTTTCTAATTGGGTTGGGGGTGGGGGGGTCCAGGATAGGAGAGGATTAAGGTTGGGCGAGTGCCCTGTATCCAGATCAGTTGCCGTCTAGATTTGTTTTTGCCACTTTTACACGCCCACTTCCAGGTTCAGCCAATCCCCTGCTCAGGGCTCAACGACGTAAGTAGTTGCCGAGTGGATTCTTTGCAAGGTGCCAGTACACTCCTCTGCCAACAGTGCCTCTTCGCATGGGCAGAGGGTGCACGTGCCCTGCTGGTGATTGAGGTCCAGAAGGGACAAAATGGTGCCAAAAAGATGAGGAAAGCTCGAGCATTGAGGGGGAAAGAGGGGTACAATTGAAATATGGAACAACGATGTTGGAAATTGGTCAGGAGGGCTCAGGAGATTGGAGACAGCACTGGAGGTAAAGAGTGGAAAGTAGACGGGGATAGGCAACACGGAAGGAAGTTCCCCTTGTGTTTGAGAGAAGCAACAGAGGAATCCCCAGAGTGTTGTTTCTTTATTTTTATATTTAAATTAAGGAAACTACTCAATGGGAAAAGAAGGTTCTAAGCTACATTTAGCCTGGCTTGTCATTGTAGGGCTTGGGATCAAACTCGTTCACCCATCTTCCGCATGATTTTCTTCATATTTAGAAGAATACAGCTCTTCTTCACCCCCACCAGGCTTTTCATTCTTTATGTGCGTTGGCTGGCCTATGGTACCCATCCCTACATTACTACTCACCCAGTTGCCCGTTGCGGGAGTCATCACAGCCACAGTTATCAAAATCTCCAAGGCTGCAGTTTCTAGTCAGGGTGTACATGACTCCAGCAGAACTGATGGCATGCACAAATGCTGTCTCCCGATTGGCTAGCAGGAACCAAAAATCCAGAGTTAGAGGGAGGGGTTTCAGCTTAAAGAAATACCAGACATGCTACCTTTCTTTAATAACCATCATTATATCCTCTTTCCCTAGCTCCATCCTATTTCCCCATCTTTATTATTATTTTTTAACTTTTATTTTTTTGCAGAGAGTCGGTCTCACTATGTTGCCTAGGCTTGTCTCAAACTCTGGGCTCAGTCTTCCTACCTCGTCCTCCCAAAGAGCTTGGGATTACAGGCTTGAGCCACTGTGCCTGGCCTTCCCATCTTTATAGTGTATCTTACCCTCTTGCATGGTCTGCCCCATCCCTGGCCTTAGCCCTGCTCTTCTCACCTCCTGTCTTTTCAGGTCACACATTTTATGACCAAGTGGCTAGGGTACTGTTGACACACATGACTGGAAAGAGCCTGAGGAAGAAATGGGGAGGGAGATGAATCTGAAGGCTAGGTTGTAAAGAACCCATCCCCACTTCCTCCTGGAACACTTAGGGTCTAAGAGTCATGTGCAGTTAGTCTTGAAAAGAACCTCTGATTGGTAGCTCTTTCATTTACTGGCATGGCCACTCTTTATCTTCTCCATGGGAATCTGGTCTCCAAGTCACTCTCCACTTGCCCAGTATCTCTCTGCTGAGGAAGGGGCTAAGAGGTCTGAGGAATTATGACCCCTGCCTACCTCCTGATATTACTTACATTGTGAGGAGACCTTTAGCCAGCTGGGAGGCCAAGGATGGTATGGGATTGGGAGTAAGGCAAGATCCATTTGTTGAGCAATGAGAGTGTTGAGAAAGAAAGAAAAAACTCTACAGGTGGGAAAAAGGAAGTAGAAAAGGAAAAGAGAAGATCCTGGAGAGGGAGATGACCTAAGAGAAGAGAGCAGGTGAGGAATAAGGGTGTCGAGGAGGCAAGGGGCTATCCCTGGGGCTCTAACCTGTGACCAGAGGGTCCAGGGAGCTGTGGCTGAGGTTTTTCTTACCACTGCGAAGCCCACCATGGCTGGACAGCTGCAGGGCTCTCTCAGGGCAGTTCCAGCGGTCCCAGGCAAACTGATACTTGCATTCTTCAATACCACTCTGGGCACCAGCTGCCACACTGCTGGAGTAAATCAGGTAAGCCTGTAGGGACATAGGGGTAAAAATTCAGACTGAACTTAGGAGGCATTTACCCTAAACTGACCAAACAGCCCTCTTCCTGCTCACTCTCCCATCCCTCCAAAATAATGGAGTAAGCCTTTAAATATGCTGTCTCATTTGACATCACAAATAACTTGTGAAATAGGCACTATATTATAGATTAGGAAACTGAGGCCCAGGGAGTGAGCTAAAGTAATTTCCCCAAAGTCCCAGAGCTAGCAAATGGCAGAACTAGAAATGAAACTCAGTTTTATCAGACTCTAGTCCCTATTATCCTTTATTCACCTTTCTTCACTATACTATCCTGTCTCTCCAAAATGAGCCCAAATCACCTAATTCATGAAATTTAAGGAGTTCTCATCACATGACCATCTTAGAAAACAACATTTTGGAACTGAAAATGCCCATGAATGTAAAGATCATGTAGTACAATTCCAGCATTTTAAACATGGGAAACTGCATCCCACCACGGGGCACTGAGAAGGATGTGTGACTTTGCAGCCTGACACCTATAAAAGGCTGTTGACTTTTATGGCTCTGGAAATTCTAGCCATAAATTCAGTGCTCCTGCGTTCTTATCTTGGCGCTGACAGTGGTTTGCTATGTGGTTTTAGATGTGTCCCTAACACCCTCTGGGTCTCAATCTTTCTATCTGTAATGTATACAGCATAATAAAATATGTGGATATAATGAAAAATCTGCATTTATCATCTTTAGTCAACAGGCTAAGATTAGTGAAATCCATATCAATTAATGGAATTTGTTCTTACCTTTGGACCAGTCATCAGGAAATTGTTCACCGACCTATAAGGGAAAAAAAAAACAAAAACAGAATATAATGCAGAGACACCAACTTGTTTCTGCTTCCAAGAGTGGTAAGAATTACTTCAGCACATGTCATTAATAGGAAGAAAGGGAAACTAGTTTTACCCAGGAAACACTGTGCATAACAAACCTACTAAAGATGATTTACAGCCAGGTGGGGTGGCTCATGCCTGTATTCCCAGCACTTTGGGAGGCTGAAGCAGGTGGATCACTTGAGGTCGGGAGTTTGAGACCAGCATGGCCAAACATAGTGAAACCCCGTCTCTGCTAAAAATACAAAAATTAGCGGGGCATGGTGGCAGGCGCCTGTAGTCCCAGCTACTCAGGAGGCTGAGGCATGAGAATCACTTGAACCTGGGAGGTGGAGGTTGCAGTGAGCCGAGATTGCGCCACTGCACTCCAGCCTGGGCGGCAGAGCAAAATTCTGTTTCAAAACAAAAAAAAAAAAACACACACACACATAAAACTTAGTAGAAAAAACATGAATAAAAGTAGTATCATTTCCTTGCATTGTTAAAGCCAGGTAAAATTTCCAGTACCATATACCTGATAGTGATGGTTGCTGATTATTCTGCCATGAAGTGGGGGAGAGAACTAGCATTAACTCCTGACTATGTTCCTTATGCTCTACTCTCGGTATTTTACATGTTGATCTTGTTAAATCCTTACTGTCTCAGGCATTATTATCTCTATTTTGCAGACAGGAAATCTGAGACTCCAGAAAAGTTAAACGTGTGTTCAGGCTCACCCAGCTAATAAGTGAGTGAAGCAGGATTTGAATCCACATTCATCTGACTCCGTGGGACGTTAGAAGGATACTTCTCTAATTAGGAAGAGGTAAACAAACAGTGGAATATCTCTCTAGGGATTGAGTCATAATAAAACTCTAAAAATAAGTAATGCGATTTGGAAAAATGGTTTGGCTGCCCCTTTTAAAACTAAAAATGGGCTGGGCACAGTGGCTCACGCCCATAATCCCAGCACTTTGGGAGGCTGAGGCAGGTGGATCACCTGAATCCAGGAGTTCAAGACCAGCCTAGGCATCATCATGGCAAAACCCCGTCTCTACTAAAAAAAAAAAAAAAAAATAGCTAGGCATGGTGGTATGCGCCTGTAATGCCAGCTACTCAGGTGGCTGAGGCACAAGAATCGCTTGAACCTGGGAGGCAGAGGCTGCAATGAGCTGAGATTGCACCACTGCACTCCAGCCTGAGCAACAGAGTGATATTCTGTCCCAAAAAAAAAACAAAAAAAAACTAAAAATGAACTTGTCATATGACTTAGCAATTGCACTCTTGGGCATTTATCCCAGAGAAATAAAGACTTACTTTCACTCAGAAATTTGTACCTGGATGCTCATAGCCACTTTATTAATAATAGTCAAAAATTGGAAACTACCCAATGTCCTTCAAAGGGTAGTTTAAAAAACTGTGGCCGGGTGCGGTGGCTCACGCCTGTAATCCTAGCACTTTGGGAGGCCAAGGCAGGCAGATCATGAGGTCAGGAGATCGAGACCATCCTGGCTAACATGGTGAAACCCTGTCTCTACTAAAAATACAAAAAATTAGCCAGGCGTGGTGGTGGGCACTTGTAGTTCCAGCTACTCAGGAGGCTAAGGCAGGAGAATGGCGTGAACCTGGGAATGGAGCTTGCAGTGAGCCAAGATCGCGCCACTGCACTCCAGCCTGGGTAACAGACCGAGACTCCAACTCAAAAATAAAATAAAATAAATAAATAAATGAATAAAAAATAAAAAACTGTGGTACATTCATACCATGGAATATTACTCAGCAATAAAAAGGAATGATACGTTGATACATGCAACAACTTGGATGAACCTCAAGGAAGTTACGGAGTGATTAAAGTCAGTCTCAGAAGGATACATACTGCATGATTCTATTTACATAACAATAGTGAAATAATAAAAATTATATAATTATAGAGCTGGAGGACAGATCAGTGGTTGCCAAGGATTTGGGATGGGGGATGGATGTGGCTGTAAAGAGTAACATGAGAAAGTCTTGGGGGAATGGCCAAATGTCTTTACTGTGGTTATACAAGGCTACACATGACAAAATTGCATAAAGCCACATACATGAGTACATGTACACACAAGTGCATGTAAAAATGGTGAAGTCTGAATAAGCTTCATGGATATCGTACTAACGTTGTAAGATGTTCACACTGGGGGAGGTTGGGGCAAGTGTACATGGGACTTCCCTGTACGTTTCTTCCCTGTACATGTCTTGCAACTCCATAATTATCTAAAAATAAAAAGTTAAATATATATGTACATATACACATGATCTGCAGGGCTAAAGACTTGGAGAATGACTTCAGTATAGGCATTTGAAAATCAGAATCTATTATCTATTATCTTTGTTTTTCCATTATAATGTGAGAAAGTAATACGGGAATCATTATGTATTGTTCCATGCTGGTGTACCCCTGCAATTCTGAAGGCCAATAAGATGCTGAACATCACCAGAAAGGGGATTGGAAATGAAATAGACCAAGAAAGTTTCTTGTCAGGCCAAAAGAGCTTGGCTGACTTTCTTCATAAAAAACACATACAACACCAAAAATGTGAGTAGTTTTTGAAAACCAGTATTAACAAACTAAGAGGCTGCCATATGAGATGAAAAAGATTCTAAACGAGTTGTAATAGAATTTTAGAAAATCAAAAATACTATGAAGTCTATCAAAACTAAGGCCTATTTTTTTTTTTAGACGGAGTCTCACTCTGTCACCCAAGCTAGAGTGGTGCCATCTCGGCTTACTGCAACCTCTGCCTCCCAGGTTCACACCATTCTCCTGCCTCAGCCTCCCGAGTAGCTGGGACTACAGGCACCTGCCACCATGCCCAGCTAATTTTTTTTTGATTTTTTTTTTTTTGTATTTTTAGTAGAGATGGGGTTTCACTGTGTTTGCCAGGATGGTCTCGATCTCCTGACCTCGTGATCTGCCCTCCTCGGCCTCCCAAAGTGCTGGGATTACAGGCGTGAGCCACCGCGCCCAGCCACCAAGGCCTACTTTTTAAAGCTTGGTAGGCAACCTTAATTCAACTGAAAAGAAGCACTGCTTGATCAGGTGTAGTAGCACCAGCAAAACACAAAAATACAATTCAGAATGACTTAAATGAATTCACAATTTCCAAAGCCATTATAGGTTTGGACATGAATTTCTGATCCTTAAAGACATGTCAGAGGAGTCAGCCAGGCCCCTTTGCTTTGGGGAAAGGGGCCTGAGCTTGTTCCCACTCAGAAAGGCACTTTTTATGTTAGGAATAACATTCAAAGATTTTGGACATTACCAAGCCTGACAGAGCTAGTTCCCATTTTCCATAAGACAGAAATTATCAGGAAAGAAAACAAAACAACAAAGCAAATTGAGTGACAAAGAAAATGCTTTGCCATAGCTGGGGTGAAGAGTCTTCCTGTGAAAGGAGTCTAAGCCGGAACTACAGGGAGTAATAGACAGAGATTCTAGAGAATTCTTTCCTGGAAGATCCTACAATATGCAAAGATTTGTATGATATCCAGGTCAAGCCCAACTGATCAATGAATGAGACTTAATTGAGCACCTGTCATGGAACAACACTATAGGCCTTATTTGGACAACATTCCTATAAAGTGACTTGTGTTTTTGTTTTTTTTGTTGTTTGTTTTGTTTTGTTTTTGGAGACAGAGTCTCACTGTATCTTGCTCAGGCTTGAGTACAGTGGTGTGATGTCGGCTCACTGCAGACTCCACCTCCCGGGACTTGTGTTTTTCTGTTTGTTTGTTTTTTGAGACGGAGTCTTGCTCTGTCTTGCCCAGATTGGAGTGCAGTGGCATGATCTCGGCTCACTGCAGCCTCCGCCTCCCGAGTTCAAGCAATTCTCCTGTCTCAGCCTCCTGAGTAGCTGGGATTACAGGCGTGTGCCACCACACCCAGCTAATTTTGTAATTTTTGTAGAGATGGGGTTTCACCATGTTGGCCAGGCTGGTCTCGAACTCCCAATCTCAGGTGATCCGCCCACCTTGACATCCCAAAGTGCTGGGATTACAGGCGTGAGCCACCACGCCCAGCCAACTTGTGTTGTTAACCTCCGAGTTATTTGCAGACATATTTGAACCTTATGGCTAGCTTGTTCATATCCAAAATATCCTATATTAAGAAAAGACTCAGCTGGGTGCAGTGGCTCACGCCTGTAATCCCAGCACTTTGGGAGGCCAAGGCAGGCAGATCTTGAGGTCAGGAGTTTGAGACCAGCCTGACCAAAATGGTGAAACCCCGTCTCTACTAAAAATACAAAAATTAGCTGGGCGTGGTGATGCACCCCTGTAATCCCAGCTACTCAGGAGGCTGAGGCAGGAGAATCACTTGAACCCTGGAGGTGGAGTTTACAGTGAGCCAAGATCGTGCCACTGCACTCCAGCCTGGGCGACAGAGCGAGACTCTGTCTCAAAAAAAAAAGAAGACTGTCCTGTAGTGAGTACCAAAGGAGGAGGATCTTGTTCTTGGTCAATGAAACAATGACATGATTTCCTTTTGGGGGTAAAATATAGATTGCAGAAAACATAGTGAGTATTGTGAGAAGATGCAAAGAGAACCAAAAAGGAAGGAATTTAAGTGTTTGTATGGGTGCCACCTCTATGTGGCAGTTATGTGATTGAAGGAAAGATGCTAACAAACACTGAAGATGTAAATTTAAGATATAAATTTTGTTTAACAAATGGAGGCTGCTATATAGACAGAACATGGTAAAACAGTATACTCCCAGATGGAGGTACAAGCTTCCCATTTCCCATGAGGTTGTACAGTTGCTGACAATATTACCCAGATTCAGGACCATTCAAAGGGTTCATGACTTCCTGAACCCTCCCAGCTCTTCTCAGACATTTGCTTGAACTCTAGACTTGCATATCCAACTGTATTCTTGGCATCTCTCCTTCAGTGTTTAATACGCATCTCAAACTTAACGTGTCCAAAACTGAACTCCTGATCCTCGCTGCCATCACCCAAGCCTACCCCTTCTGTAGTCTTCTCCATCTAAGTAAAGGACTGTTCCTCCTAGTTGCTCAGACAAAAATCATGAAGAGTCACCTTTTTTTTTGTTTTTTAAGACAGAATCTTGCTCTGTTGCACAGGCTAGAGTGCAGTGGCGCCATCTTGGCTCATTACAACCTCCACCTCCTGGGTTCAAGCAATTCTTGTGCCTCAGCCTCCCAAGAAGCTGCGATTACAGGCATGCACTACCATGTCCAGCTAATGTTTGTATTTTTAGTAGAGATGGGGTTTGGCCACGTTGGCCAGGCTGGTCTCAAACTCCTGACCTCAAGCAATCCGCCTGCCTCAGCCTCCCAAAGTGCAAGATTACAGGCATGAGCCACCATGTCCAACCCATAATAGAATATTTTTTGACCATATAAAGGAATGAAGTACTGGATACAAGCTACAACATGGATGACCCTTGAAAATATCATCCTGAGTGAAAGAAGCCAGACACAAAAGGCCATAAATGATATGATTCTATCTATATCAAATGTCCAGCATAGGCAATCTCATGGAAACTGACTAGATTCACAGTTTCCAGGGACTGAGGGGAGGAGGAACGGGGAGTGAATGCTAATAAATAAAGGGTTTCTTTTTGAAGTGATTAAAATGTTCTAAAATGGATTGTGGTGAAGGTTGCACAAATCCATGAATTGGCTAAAAAAAATCATTGATTTGTTAAAGGGTGCCTTTTATAGTATGTAGATTATATTTCAATAAAGCTATTATTTAAAAATCTCACTTATTCTTGAATAAGTACCAGTGCAGAAGCCACAACCAGCACACCTTGAAGCCTCACAGCAACTTTTCTCTGTTTCATATGAAGGTTTCCCTTTCCTCTTTTATACTTAAGTATGGGCTGCCTTAATTATCTCTGTATACCCTCCAGTTCCTAATCTAGTACTTTGAACATAGTAAGTGCCTATAAAAGTGAATTGAATACAAGGATTTTGAAATAAAAAAGATAGACCATCAGATGCAGCAGAAAATGTAAGGAGAAAAAGAACTGCAAAAAGATTTTGAGAAATATAGGAAGCCTGTGGCAAGCCAGTGCTCCCACTAATTTTTTAGTGTAGTGAGCAGATGACTGTGCCACATTAGGAGATGATCAACTACAAGAGTAACAGAGTGAACACTGAGCATATGTACACAGAGGTTAGTGCTATAATCAAACCTTTAGCAAAGTTAATCTGACACACTTAGTGCTGTGCATAATTGTTATTGTGCTTCATAGTAATTAGGCATAAGTGGTAAGCGATTTACATAAATAACTGTGGTTAGTTGTGCTTTTACACTGCCAAGTCAAAATTTTACAATTGTTTCTTCTTCTTGTGTTAGCTGTCCAGTATACGTGTGTGTGTGTATACACTGATATAAAGTTTAATCATATCATGTAATAATAACTAGCATTTATTCAAGTATGTGAGGAACTCTTCTAAGTGCTTTACCTGTATCATCTTTTTAAATTTCCGTAGCAACTCCATGGGGTGGGTACTATACTTTTCACTGAGTGTTTATTCTGTGCACACGAAGTACTTTTATTTATTTATTTAGAGAGAGGGACTTGCTCTGTTGTCCAGACTCAAGAAATCTTCCGGCCAGGTGTGGTGGCTCATGCCTGTAATCCCAGCACTTTGGGAGGCTGAGGCGGGCGGATCATGAGGTCAGGAGATCGAGACCACGGTGAAACCCCGTCGCTACTAAAAATACAAAAAATTAGCTGGGTGTGGTGGCGGGTGCCTGTAGTCCCAGCTACTTGGGAGGCTGAGGCAGGAGAATGGCGTGAACCCAGGAGGCGGAGCTTGCAGTGAGCCAAGATCGCGCCACTGCCCTCCAGCCTGGGCGACAGAGCAAGACTCCATCTCAAAAAAAAAAAAGAAAAAGAAATCTTCCCACCTCAGCCTCCCGAGTAGCTGGGACTACAGGCACATGCCACCATGCTGGCTAATTTTTGTATTTTTAGTAGAGATGGGGTTTCATAATGTTGGCCAGGCTGGTCTTGAACTCCTGACCTCAAGTGATCTGCCCATGTCAGCCTCCCAAAGTGCTGGGACGACAGGGATGAGCCACCGCGCCCGGCATATTTTTATTTTGTATTTTTTGTAGAGACAGGGTCTCGTTGTGTTGCCAGGACTGACCATGTACTTTGAAGTGTTTTACATATTTTAAGTTCATATAATGATCACAATTATATGAGGTAGAAACTATTATATCTTTCATTTTACAGAAACAGAGACTGAAACATAGAGTGGCCACCCAGCCTCACACAGCTAGGTAAGTGGTGAAGCCAGGGCTGGAGCCTAGGCAGTCCTACTCTAGAGCATGCACTCTACCTGCTGTGCTTTTCTGCAGCCCGTTTTTCCCTTGCTCTTATTCCCACTGGCTAATCCAGGACTCCTAATTCCTGAAAAATTCTTGGTAAATATTTCTGAGCGGCCTAAGCCATGTTTTGCACACACTCATGAATACACTCAGTTAATTATCACATTGTCTCTGCTACTTTTTTATCCTTTCATTACACCAGCCTACTGCTTCTATGTCCACAAAACAACCACATCTGCCAGGGCACAGGCCCTGCTTTATCTGGGTAGCACGACATCCCCTGGGCACATTTTCTAGGCACTGTTGCTGCTCACACTGGGTTCTATGTATAAAAGAGTAGGGAGAAACAAATGCTAAAGGACACTGTAGGCAGAGGTGGGGAGGGGATACAGTGTGTGGCTTCATGACAGGGATATGTTTTGAGAAATGTGTCGTTAGGTGATTTTGTCACTGTGCAAACATCATAGAATGTACTTATACAAACCTAGATGGATAGCCTCCTATACACCCATGCTATATGGTAGAGCCTATTGCTCCTAGGCTACCAGCCTATACAGCATGTTATTGTACTGACTACTGTGGGCAATTATAACATGATGGTAAGCATTTGTGTATCTAAACAAAACATAGGCCTGGCATGGTGGCTCACGCCTGTAATCCCAGCACTTTGGGAGGCTGAGGCAGGCAGATCACCTGAGGTTGGGAGTTTGAGACCATCCTGGCTAACACGGTGAAACCCCATCTCTACTAAAAATACAAAAATTAGCTGGGCGTGGTGGTGTGGACTTGTAGTCCCAGCTACTTGGGAGGCTGAGGCAGGAGAATCCGCTTGAACCTGGGAGGCGGAGGTTGCAGTCAGCCGAGATTGCGCCACTGCGCTCCAGCCTAGGCGACAGAGTGAGACTCTGTCTCAAAAAATAAAATAAAACAAAATAAAATAGAAAATAAGAAACATTCTGAATATGAATCTGCAGAATTTGATATTTTCCTCTTACCACCCAGGACTTTCATCTTAGTGCCCTGTGATTTTGTTTTGTTCTGCCTCTCATCACTTTCCCCACAAATCTTTACGTAGTATTTCTGGCTTCTCCCCAACCTTTAATCCCATCTCTTAATGTCCATAAAATGTCTCTGAGTCATCAGCTGGGCATGGTGGCTCATGCCTGTTATCTCAGCATTTTAGGAGGCCAAAGTGGGCCGATTGCTTGAGCCCAGGAGTTTGAAACCAGCCTGGGCAACAGAGTGAGACTCTGTCTCTACGAAAAATAAAAATAAAAATCATAATAAAGATGGATAAATGGGATGGAGCTCAGAAAAGAGGATATAATGATGATATTTTAAAAAGGCAATGAGACCCTGTCTCTACAAAAAATACAAAACTTAGCCAGGTATGGTGGCATACACTATAGTCCCAGCTACTCAGGAGGCTGAAGTGGGAAGATCATTTGAGCTAGGGAGGTCGAGGCTGCAGTGAGCCAAGATTGTACACTCCAGCCTGGCTGACAGAGTGAGATCCTGCCTTAAAAAAATTGTCTCTGAGTCATGAGGCTCAGTTTGGTCTACTTTAGGAGAGAGACATCTGATTACCGAAATTGGAGTGCTGGCCCAGGGGAAAGGAGAAGTGGTAGTGAATGAATGTGAACTATAGATCTCCATCTGAAGATTTAGCACAGAAGGCATATAGGACAAAGGGCTAAAGGCTAAGGGGAGGGTATGGAGTAGGGAAACTGCCAGGGGCTATAGCTGGAAGGTTCTCCAGTGATGCAGCTTTCTCATAGAATGAGTTCTGACAGCAGCTTTTCAGTCCATAGAACTCCCAAGATGCCTTGGGCTGGGGAGAGCCCAAAGATAGCTCTTCTGAGTGAGTTTCCTTGTGACTGTCTCTGTTCCACAGCATCCACACATCTGACCTGTAGAACACATGTGCACGAGCAGACACAAAGGTATGTTCACACGTGTGCCCACACACACAGTTACACAGAAAGTAGGTCTTACTAATAACTGTGAAATAATATCCCGTTGGTCCCCAAATTTTCTTCACTACCTTATCTGATAATACCTGAGGGGATTGAACTTGGAACTATTCACTGTACAATTTGAGAGAGTTAAGTTTAAAATGCAAATATTTTTCAAGGGTGAAAAGCATGACTAATTCTTACCTATTCCAAAGTATTGAAATCAGGCTTTCCTATTTAACTAGGGGAAGGGATTAGGAGGTAGAAGTTACAAGGTATCTGAAGTCTTAAAGGGAAGAGAAGTATTCAGACTTTCAAAATCAGATTTCCTCCTACTTAAAAATATGTCAAGAGGGAACAAAGCTGGTATCAGTGGAGGGATCTATTTAAGTATGGCAATAGAACACAAGCCAGATTGCAGAGAGTGAGGAGTTATGACATGAAAGTAGCTAGTGCTAACTGGTTGGGGGAGGATGGCATTGAAAGAAAAAAGAGAAAGGAGAAATGATTGCAGTAGAGATTGGGGCCAGAGGAAGGTATTTTTCAAGATGAGTATAGAAAGAAAAATTCAGGAATGTGTAGCTTTTGGTCATATTCCCATAACTATTTCACCAAATTAAAGTCCATTTCTTTCTTCAAAGGGAGTTCAGCCCTGTAAATCATTCTAAAAATGTTTTTTATAAATGTGAATTTTTTATATAATGATGCAGTGCCCTAAAATATGAAAAGAGAAAACAAGTCTTGTAAGCCAATTGACAAAAAAAATTTTTTAAAGTTAAACAGATGTGACAATCTTAGCAGTAGTCCTTATATTAAAATGTATATTAAAATCCCACATTATCGCAAATCCGGCCCTTGCCAAACAATTGTTAGCAAAGGCCATGTAATAGCCCACAGGACAACTCTGTACCATGGATCTTTGCTAAAGAAGCTCAGGCAGATTCCTTCACAAGCAAAGCACAAATGTTCGGGGGATCATCTTTTTCCCTGCAACTGATACGTCATTTGTATTCCAGGATATTTTATAGAGTGATAGGCTATCTTCCCTGTCCTCATTTCTTTCCTTCTTTATGTATTGTAGCAAGTGCTGCTGAGAAACGCTAAGCTACAGAAAAGCACTTCAGCACTTAGCATCTAAATGAGGACTGTGGCAGGGATAAGCTATACTCATGCTCCTTTCCTTGGTCTCTAAGTGAGAGCTGCTAAGGAACAGCTCAAGCCACCATTCCCAGAAAGCCTGGGATCACGGGAACTTTTTCCACAGTCGTTATGGAGGCAGATAATTCCATTTTGTTTTCTGATCTTGTTGCCTTGGTCCCTGCAGTATAGACTTTAGAAAACATTTATGTTCTCAGTTGCATCGATGGAAACAATACCAGTTTATATCAGTATCAAGAAGGTGGGTGTACATGGTAACTCCAAGAATTATCCTGTAAAATAACTAGGTGAACAGCTTAAGGTTGGAAAATTGACAGGCTTTGGCACTTTAGTGCCATTTTTACTGCTTAATGGAATTAATCCAAATAGATGGTAAAATGTTCTCTCCTCAATCTGATCCAACCATCAATTTCTACTGCCTTTGCTAATTAACCACAGCTCCAATAGAAATAAACACAAACATGTATTTGAATGACTTATTCCCTTTTGCTAATCTGTATTCTTGATCTTCTCCTAAGGGCAATGGGAGAAATGTACAATGTTCCCCAAACTTCATTCTAATTACTGGCCTGAATCTCTCAGACACAGGACAGATAATCCTTTTGCTATCCCTCTTCTTCCTGTTTTGAACCATGGTAGTACTTGGAAGATTCAGACTAAGAGAATATGCAGTTAAAAATGCTACAGAAAGTATAGGTGAAACATGATTGGTCAGAGATTGATAACGGTTGAAGCTGAGTTATTGGGGTTTGTTATATATGCTGTTCTCAACATTTGTAAAAACATGTTTTTCCCATAGTATGAAAATTTTAAAACAAAACCAATTATTCTGAAAAGCAATAATCTATGGAATCTGGGCTCCACCAGATGCCTTGGATTAAGGTGAGGAAATACCAGACAGGATAACGTGGACAATCTATTGATTCACTACTTAGCGTCCTGGATAATGGAACCTTCAAAGTGTGATACGATAAACCTAAAGAACCTGACTACAGAAAAAGGACTGAGATTTAGAGCAGCAAATGGTAATTGCAGTTTTGAATGAAGGGGAAATTCCTCCTAATGTAGGGTGGTGTAAATTTGGCCTGGAGAGTATAAGAATTTCATCTATGGAGCTGCATAGAAAGACTGACCTATTAGCCCTCTTATAGGGTCTTATTGGGACTACTGGAATATAGCCCCATAATGTGCTGGTACCATAGGATGCTGAAGTTGCGAAAACAACCTATTTTTAAAAAGCGAGTTTGGACTGGTCAGATGATGGTGAATTTAAATGATCCCCTTATGATCTGATTTTCTCTTGGCTTGGAGAAAACTCTAACCTAAGAAGCATACAGAGAAATGAAATGATCAATAACAGGGGCTTACAATAAAGATTGAGAAAAACAAACCATAAAAGTTTGGCTCATAATGAGACTGAAGCATCTGTCCAAAGTGGATGGTAGTTTCCGTTGAGAGGTCCTGGGAGTGCAGGTGTATTTCAAGTGGGAGGCAATGGGGAATGTTATTTATGTGACCCAAGCTCAGTGTTTCCCTCAGCTGTTAACCTAGCCTGATCTTTTACTGAGTAAGAAAAAAAAAATCCACTTTCTGAAAAATAAAGATTTATCCTAAGAAAAATTATATTGACCTCATTCTCTAAGCCATATGAATTCTCCCCCACTTTTCTGATGGAAATAGACAAGCATCGTTGGAGCCCAGAAAAAAAGGAATTTTATTAATAGTCCCAAGAGATAATAGTATCACCCAATATAGAGCAGCATTAAACCAATTTTCCCAGCTGGGAAAAAGAAAAAAAAAAGGAATATCTTTCCATGGAAGGAGAGGGTTTAGATTAAAACTCCTTTTCTTCTGGTCCTTTTTTAATGCCTCATTTGTCACTATGTAATAGCACACAAAGGAGATCCTTCTTTGTGTCATGTTGTCATCCACCAAAAACTAAAACTAAAACAAAGATGCATCTTAGAGCATCCTTCTTGTCACTCACACAAACTGGTTTCATAACAAGAGCTGTAATGAAGTGTCTTTTCCCAGGATACTCACAGCCTTTGTTGTTATTAATAATTATAATAATAATAGTTATTGTCTTTCATGACAAGAGAAATAGAGATTCTGGAAAGAAACACATGGGGCTCAAGTTGTGGAGGCCTTCATTGATAAACCTGGGAATTAAACTTCTCTGGTTATGTCTCAGAGCCCTCAGGCCTTCCTACAGTGCAGCTGCTGATCTAGCCCACCTCAGAGCTACTCCACAAATCCCAGCTTTTTTTTTAATGGATCAGGCACTTTTTTTTATGAACCAAGGATGCTATTAAGTCACTCTTTTATACTGGTATTTTTTTTTCCAGATTCCAAAGCAGTTCCTCACACCTTACTTTTTATTTCTTTAACTTCAGGGATTCCCAGCGTCTTTGAGGATAAGAATCCTCCCCTATCGTGACAGTTTTAGTGGATCTTCACTTGATCATATATGGTTTTTTTTAATCTGTTAGTGGGAAAAATTCAACATGGCAAAAACTTATGACAGAACCCCAGTATGAATTCAGTAATTTTTAAGTGAGTTTGTATTTTATTGTTCATAAAATACACCTAAAAGTAGTAGAACATAGTGTGGAGATCAATAATTTCAGCTTTATGCAATGCTTGGTGAGAATATGGATTCAAAGACCTTCCTCCAATAACTGATTCCTTTGCCAATCAGGAGTCCCACATGTCATCATCAGATGAGATTTCAAGAGCCATAGAAAGGTTACTCTATGAGATGCATGTAGAGGACCAAAAGATGATGTTTTTCAAAAGCTGCCATAAAATCCAATGATTTTAGGTAAATTCTTGCCCTACTGCAGAAGAGAAATGGACCCTGTTTAAATTCCTGCTGCAGACCTTTGGAAAGAAGTAGAGGCGGTGACTTCTGTTGAAGAATGAGAGCAGAGCTATAGTTTACTTCTGTATCCCAGGGCATCCTTCTGATTTGGTGACTGAGTTAGGTGGGGAGAGAGTGAGAAATGAACAGAACTGGGTAAGACCCACTGTCATTATGACATATCATTTGGAGTAAAATGGGGCCAACCAGTTAAGGTAAAACACTTTCTAGGCCTGCTCATTCCAGATGAGTAAGTGCATTGGAAGGAAAATCAAATTGGTTCATCTCTGGCCACCATTATAATCATCATCATCTGCTTGGCTTATCATGCATTCTCATTCTCTATCTTTGGAGCCATAAGGATTAAGACAAACAAATTCAAAGAAAATAATTTTCTCAAGTTACTAAAAGACAGTTCTCCTTGGAAGTGTCCCAACTATAAAAAACTGTGGCAAATACTTTTCAAAGAAATCATCTTGTACTGATTTACCTAGTAAAACTGCATATTATAGGTGAATGTCATCATTATTCTCTCCTTTTCAAGCCCAGGAATTTCTGCTGATGGACTCTTTTAGATAGTAATTTCAGGCAGGCCTACAATTGAACAGCCAAGCAGAAATTGTGGTTCTCTATTTGTTAAATGCTTTTGAGGTCCTTACATAAAAGGTTGATAATGAAGTATTAAGAGAAACATTTCAAAGGCTGTGGTTGGTCAAATTTCTCTGCATGGCATAAAGGGGAAGATGACCTTATGCAAAACCGTGATAGTTTCATTAGAAGCATAATCAACGTTTAATGTTAAATTTAAAAATCACTTTTCAAATGCCACCACAAACAGATTCTTGGTGAAGTACAAATGTTTAATTTAAATTGGGGCTTATAGGAAAAAGCAATTAAAATCTAATTGTATTATAAAGGAGATTTGTACATTTTCTCCTCAAAGTCAGGCAAGGCGAGAAGGGCTCTTAAACCCTGTTTTCTTAAATTAGAACTTTCTTTCACATCTCTTTTTCCTTTTTTCTTTTTGAATCCAGACACTTGAATTTGGACAGACAAGCAACCCAGCCACCTTTCAGTGTGGCTGTGTCAGTATCGGAATGAAATGAACATGACCCCCTCCAGCAGGGAAGGGAACACACAGTAAAGGTATTTTTTATAGAACAATTCTTCACACCGCCCTGGTGACTAGGGAAGGGAATCTCGTGTTTCTCTTTTGCTGATACTGAATCAGCTGAAGAATACCATGAACATCAGTAGAAATGCTCTGAAATAGTCTCCTCTCCCTTTTGTCTTTTTGTTCTCATGAGGGGGAGAGAAGAGAGACCTTTTTTTTAACATTGAAATATTTAATTAAAATGCCAATTAAAAATGGACTAATTGGTGGTTCTGCTTATAATCAGAAATGTTGCAAATTATTGTATTAACTTGCAAATAGTTTTATGAAGTTGGCATACTTCCTATCAACACTCCTATAAAGACGGCTACACTCATTTATGATAAAAATGTATTTTCAATTCTCAAAGGAAGCTTATCTCAGCAAAGAAATTTCTTTTCCTGCTTCCTCAACAGTTTATGTAGCAATTGGATTTATATCTTTGTTAAATAGATGGTCAAAATGAGAGCTGATGAAGAGAGAGACTGAGCTCATATCTGAACTGGAGAGAAACTCCGAACACCCTAGCAACCTGCATTCTGTATGTTATTGTGTACTGGTGTATTTGCTAATGAACAGTTGCATGTATAGATAGTTTATGTGGTTTCCAAGAGCTAAATGAGAATGGTGATGATATTCTTTAGCATTTGTGTTTATAATTTACAAAGCACTTTCATATACGTTATCTGATTTTCTGAACAATTTAGAAATATTTGTAAATTGAACAAATTAAATAAATTTCTCGAGACGTTTAGATTTCTAAAATATCTGGTTTCAAACATGTTTGTTAACCCAATGCCTGCTTAGTGGTTCAAATAAAATTTTTTATGTCTAGGAAATGATAATTTGAGCAATTACTTAGAATATCCTGAAAAAAAAAATAAAGTCAGAAAGTACAAAGTAAGATCCCATTGAATTTTGTCTCCAGACTTTACCTCAAGATCAGATTCAACACACGGTAGAACTTGCTTTGAACTACCTTCCTCCTCTCTACAATGCTGACATCAGGATTTCGTGAAAAGGGCTGCTGTCCATTTACCCCCAAATCACTTTGGGGGAATATTTGTGGAATAGCAATTTATAAAAATAGGAACCCCCGCTCCCATCATTTAGTCCTTTATTGGTAGGGGTCCTAAAGATTCACTAAAATCAGCCATAAATTTAGGAAGAGCCCTACCCCATAGAACAGTTTTTCCTAGGAGAGCTATCAAGGCTTCCTACATTTCTGGAAATGAAATGAGCTTTACCCAACACATTACATACACTTACCTATTCCCAGCTCCAGGTAAGAGTCCAGGTTACTTACCAGCTGTGGCTGAGTTGGAGGACACAGGTGAAAAGACAGATGTACACAGAAGGCTTTGAAAGAAACATAATCCTCTGGAGTAACAGCTAGAGAAAATTCCAAAAAACTGGGAGATGGGTAAGCAAGACGGAGAAATATTCTCCTCAGTGCCAGTGGGATGGAATTCTCAAAGCCCAACTTCCTTGGTGTGTAAGCGATCCCAAACAGAGTTAAGGGGAGGTGAAATGGAGCTGCCAAACGTCCAAAGAAGAGATTATCTACTTAATTAAAGTTTTTTTTCCCCTCTAAGTCCTTCAGCCAATCAGAACTCAAGTGCCAGAGAAAGATTGAGTCGATCAAAAGAACACTCCAGGATCCTCCCAGACAAATGCAGAAGAAGGGGACCAGGAGAAAGAGGACAAAGAAAGAAGCGGGGGGAAGAGACATAGCAAATCCCCTCCACATAATCACTGCATGGAGTCTCTTTCCTCCCTCTTGCCTATCCCCTCCCATCACACCACAACCTTTTCCCACCTATGCACACTTACACACACACACACACACACAACACACACACACACACAGCCTGGTCCCCAAAAGGGATCCAGAAAGGACTGTGCTTTCCTGGTTGTCCTCTGTAGCACTTTGAGACTGAATTTGCATTCAGGATAGCATTTTTTTGTTTGTTTTGTTTTTTCAGAAAAAAATACACCAGGTGCAGGTGAACCTCCACCCTCTGATTTGAGAATGTGGGGATGCAGTCCTACCATCTAGTGTATTCTCTGTCTAAGTTAGAAAGGCTAGAAACTTCAGGAAGCCCGATGGTTTTTTCTTCCTTTCAACTTTTTCATCACACAATTACTTACCAAATGCCTATTTTATTCTCAACACCACCCTAGGCATTGTGGAAATTTTTAAAAACCAAAACATGATTTCTGCCCTAACAACATTTACAGCCTAGTAAGGTGACAATAAAATAACGCAGTTTAATAAAGTATTAGAAAGCTACAAACTGCCTATAATAGTGTAGGCTTATTTAGGGGAGGTTTTCTGAAGAAGGTAGAATTTGAGTTTCGAAGAAGGAAAGAGATTTCAATAGGCACACAAAGGTGATCTCAAAATCCCTACTTTCTTAAACTCAGGTGGCGGAGCCAGGAGGGCACCCAGGCCCTCGCTCACACTTCTCTGGGACTCTGCTCCTTCTGTTCCCTAGGGAGGAGGGTGGCCTCAGCCACAGCACTGGGGATCCTCAAAGGGCTCCAGACTGATGTCTATGTAGCCATATAGCCCCATCTTTTAAAAAAAATTTCAGTTAACTTTTGTGGATACATAGTAGGTATATATATTTATGGAGTACATGTACATGAGATATTTTGATACAGGCATACAATGAATGCATGATAATCACATCAGGGTAAATGAGTATCCATCACCTCAAGCATTAATCCTTTGTGTTACAAACAGTCTAATTATACTCTTAGTTACCATGTACAATGAAATTATTATTGACGATAGTCACCCTGTTGTGCTGTTGAATACTAGGTCTTCTTCATTCTTTCTAACTATTTTCACACCTTCTACTTTAGCATCCGCATCACCTTTCTTAAGGTCTCCCTGAGACAATGGTCTTTGTTCTTTTCTTTTAACCTTGTTCCTCTTGCTCCAAAACCCTCTCTGGCTAGACTGAACCAGAAAATAAAGAATTAATACACAAATTCACTTTCTCCATTACCTAGGCCAGACGATTTAGGGGGTCTTCACCTCAGTATCTTAACTGTGTAATTTTGTTGTCCACATGGAATCTTCTAGACCAAGTCTTTATTTGGGGCTCCAAACCTTATTGTGAGATGAGCTTGGTCAGTTGTGGCTCCTACACAAACAACTTTAGGTCCTCCTCTCTCTTCATTCAGAAAGGGAGCAGTAGAGTCTATTTCAGGCCAAGAGTCAGGTTCTAGGAAGATAAGGAGCAATGACTCCTGGATTTCAGCCTTGACTTCTTCCCTGACCACAGTTTTTGCCATTTACTTGACTAGAGAACTCCTAAGGGATGCAAAAATTCATTGGGAGGTAGAGCAGATTTGGGCAGTTTTTGTGTAAAAAGGGAGAGCTAATTTAAAATGAGTTCATTGAGGCACTGTCCTATCCCCTTAGAATTTCTTCCACAAAGGAGAAAGTTAAGACTTTTATTGTTTGTTTATCTATCTGTCTGTCTGTCTGTCTGTCTGTCTGTCTGTCTGTCTATCTATCTATCTATCTATCTATCTATCTATCTATCTATCTATCTATCTATTTATTTTTAGAGACAGGGTCTCGCTATTCTGTCCAGGCTGGTCTCATACTCCTGGCTTGGCGAGATCATCCAGCCTTGGTCTCCCAATGTGCTGGGATTACAGGCGTGAGCCACCACGCCTGGCCTACTTTTATTGTTTTGCACAAAATTAATACATTCTTATAATAAAAACTTAAACATGACAGAGATAAATAGTGCAAATCCCCTTTGATGACCTGCCTTCTCCCCTCTAGGATAACAGCAGTTAAGTTTTAGATGGTCTTTCAAGAGGTTTTATATGCATATGTAAATATGTATATAAACATTTTCCACAAAAATGAGATTATATAAATTATATTTTGCAAATTGCTTTTCTCATTTAGTAATATGCAACTTTCTTTTTTAAATTTTTTTAATTTTAAATTTTTTTTATTATACTTTAAGTTCTAGGGTACATGTGCACAACATGCAGGTTTGTTACATATGTATACATGTGCCATGTTGGTGTGCTGTACCCGTTAACTCGTCATTTACATTAAGTATATCTCCCAATGCTATCCCTCCCCCCTCCCCCAACCCCACAACAGGCCCTGGTGTGTGATGTTCCCCACGCTGTGTCCAAGTGTTCTCATTGTTCAATTCCCACCTATGTGTGAGAACACATGGTGTTTGGTTTTCTGTCCTTGCGATAGTTTGCTCAGAATGATGGTTTCTAGCTTTATCCATGTCCCTATAGAGGACATGAACTAATCCTTTTTTATGACTGCATAGTATTCCATGGTGTATATGTGCCACATTTTCTTAATCCAGTCTATCATTGATGGACATTTGGGTTGGTTCCAAGTCTTTGCTGTTGTGAATAGTCTTTATAGCAGAATAATCTTTTGAGTATATGCCCAGTAATGGGATGGCTGGGTCAAATGGTATTTCTAGTTCTAGATCCTTGAGGAATCACCACACTGTCTTCCACAATGGTCGAACTAGTTTACAGTCCCACCAACAGTGTAAAAGCGTTCCTATTTCTCCACACCCTCTCCAATGCCTGTTGTTTCCTGACTTTTTAATGATCGCCATTCTAACTGGTGTGAGATGGTACCTCATTGTGGTTTTGATTTGCATTTCTCTGATGGCCAGTGATGATGAGCGTTTTTTCATGTGTCTGTTGGCTGCATAAATGTCTTCTTTAGAGAAGTGCCTGTTCATATCCTTTACCCACTTTTTGATGGGGTTGTTTGATTTTTTCTTGTAAATTTGTTTAAGTTCTTTGTAGATTCTGGATATTAGCCCTTTGTCAGATGGGTAGACTGTAAAATCTTTCTCTCATTCTGTAGGTTGCCTGTTCACTCTGATGGTAGTTTCTTTTGCTGTGCAGAAGCTCTTTAGTTTAATTAGATCCCATTTGTCAATTTTGGCTTTTGTTGCCATTGCTTTTGGTGTTTTAGTCATGAAGTCCTTGCCCATGCCTATGGCCTGAATGGTATTGCCTAGGTTTTCTTCTAGGGTTTTTATGGTTTTAGGTCTAACATTTAAGTCTTTAACCCATCTTGAATTAACTTTTTTTATAAGGTGTAAGGAAGGGATCCAGTTTCAGCTTTCTACATATGGCTAGCCAGTTTTCCTAGCACCATTTTTAAATAGGGAATCCTTTCCCCATTTCTTGTTTTTGTCAGGTTTGTCAAAGATCAGATGGTTGTAGATATGTGGCATTATTTC
Source organism: Homo sapiens (assembly GCF_000001405.40). Taxonomy (NCBI): domain Eukaryota; kingdom Metazoa; phylum Chordata; class Mammalia; order Primates; family Hominidae; genus Homo; species Homo sapiens. Next base: position 100,459,275 of record NC_000010.11, on the reverse strand, counting down.
TGAGGCCTCTGTTCTGTTCCATTGGTCTATATCTCTGTTTTGGTACCAGTACCATGCTGTTTTGGTTACTGTAGCCTTGTAGTATAGTTTGAAGTCAGGTAGCGTGATGCTCCAGCTTTGTTCTTTTGGCTTAGGATTGTCTTGGCAATGCGGGCTCTTTTTTGGTTCCATATGAACTTTAAAGTAGTTTTTTCCAATTCTGTGAAGAAAGTCATTGGTAGTTTGATGGGGATGGCATTGAATCTATAAATTACCTTGGGCAGTATGGCCATTTTCACGATATTGATTTTTCCTATCCAAGAGCATGGAATGTTCTTCCATTTGTTTGTGTCCTCTTTTGTTTTGTTGAGCAGTGGTTTGTAGTTCTCCTTGAAGAGGTCCTTCACTTCCCTTGTAAGTTGGGTTCCTAGGTATTTTATTCTCTTTGAAGCAATTGTGAGTGGGAGTTCACTCATGATTTGGCTCTCTGTTTGTCTGTTATTGGCGTATAGGAATGCTTGTGATTTTCGCACATTGATTTTGTATCCTGAGACTTTGCTGAAGTTGCTTACCAGCTTAAGGAGATTTTGGGCTGAGACGATGGGGTTTTCTAAATATACAATCATGTCATCTGCAAACAGGGACAATTTGACTTCCTCTTTTCCTAATTGAATACCCTTTATTTCTTTCTCTTGCCTGATTGCCCTGGCCAGAACTTCCAACACTATGTTGACTAGGAGTGGTGAGAGAGGGCATCCCTGTCTTATGCCAGTTTTCAAAGGGAATGCTTCCAGTTTTTGCCCATTCGGTATGATATTGGCTGTGGATGTGTCATAAATAGCTCTTATTATTTTGAGATACGTCCCATCAATACCTAGTTTATTGAGAGTTTTTAGCATGAAGGGCTGTTGAATTTTGTTGAAGGCCTTTTCTGCATCTATTGAGATAATCATGTGATTTTTGTATTTGGTTCTGTTTATATGATGGATTACATTTATTGATTTGCATATGTTGAACCAGCCTTGCATCCCAGGGATGAAGCCAACTTGATCGTGGTGGATAAGCTTTTTGATGTGGTGCTGGATTCGGTTTGCCAGTATTTTATTGAGGATTTTTGCGTCGGTGTTCACCAGGGATATTGGTCTAAAATTCTCTTTTTTTGTTGTGTCTCTGCCAGGCTTTGGTATCAGGATGATGTTGGCCTCATAAAATGAATTAGGGAGGATTCCCTCTTTTTCTATTGATTGGAATAGTTTCAGAAGGAATGGTACCAACTCTTCTTTGTACCTCTGGTAGAATTTGGCTGTGAATCCGTCTGGTCCTGGACTGTTTTTTGGTTGGTAGGCTATTAATTGTCTCAATTTCAGAACCTGTTATTGGTCTATTCAGGGATTCAATTTCTTCCTGGTTTAGTCTTGGGAGGGTGTATGTGTCCAGGAATTTATCCATTTCTTCTAGATTTTCTAGTTTATTTGTGTAGAGATATTTATAATATTCTCTGATGGTAGTTTGTATTTCTGTGGGATCGGTAGTGATATCCCGTTTATCATTTTTTATTGCGTCTATTTGATTCTTCTCTCTTTTCTTCTTTATTAGTCTTGCTAGCGGTCTATCAATTTTGTTGATCTTTTCAAAAAACCAGCTCCTGGATTCATTGATTTTTTTGAAGGGTTTTTTGTGTCTCTATTTCCTTCAGTTCTGCTCTGATCTTAGTTATTTCTTGCCTTCTGCCAGCTTTTGAATGTGTTTGCTCTTGCTTCTCTAGTTCTTTTAATTGTGATGTTAGGGTGTCAATTTTAGATCTTTCCTGCTTTCTCTTGTGGGCATTTAGTGCTACAAATTTCCCTCTGCACACTGCTTTGAATGTGTCCCAGAGATTCTGGTATGTTGTGTCTTTGTTCTCGTTGGTTTCAAAGAACACCTTTATTTCTGCCTTCATTTTGTTATGTACCCAGTAGTCATTCAGAAGCAGGTTGTTCAGTTTCCATGTAGTTGAGCGGTTTTGAGTGAGTTTCTTAATCCTGAGTTCTAGTTTGATTGCACTGTGGTCTGAGAGACAGTTTGTTATAATTTCTGTTCTTTTACATTTGCTGAGGAGTGCTTTACTTCCAACTATGTGGTCAATTTTGGAATAAGTGTGATGTGGTGCTGAGAAGAATGTATAATGTCTATTCTGTTGATTTGGGGTGGAGAGGTCTGCTCGGTGCGGAGCTGAGTTCAATTCCTTGATATCCTTGTTAACTTTCTGTCTCGTTGATCTGTCTAATGTTGACAGTGGGGTGTTAAAATCTCCCATTATTATTGTGTGGGAGTCTAAGTCTCTTTGTAGGTCTCTAAGGACTTGCTTTATGAATCTGGGTGCTCTGTATTGGGTGCAATATATATAAATATATTTAGGATAGTTAGCTCTTCTTGTTGAATTGATCCCTTTACCATTATGTAATGGCCTTCTTTGTCTCTTTTGATCTTTGTTGGTTTAAAGTCTGTTTTATCAGAGACTAGGATTGCAACCCCTGCTTTTTTTTTGTTTTCCATTTGCTTGGTAGATCTTCCTCCATCCCTTCATTTTGAGCCTATGTGTGTCTCTACACGTGAGATGGGTCTCCTGAATATAGCACACTGATGGGTCTTGACTCTTTATTCAATTTGCCAGTCTGTGTCTTTTAATTGGAGCATTTAGCCCATTTATGTTTAAGGTTAATATTGTTATGTGTGAATTTGATCCTGTCATTATGAAGTTAGCTGGCTATTTTGCTCGTTAGTTGATGCAGTTTCTTCCTAGCACTGATGGTCTTTACAATTTGGCATGTTTTTGTAGTGGCTGGTACTGGTTGTTCCTTTCCATGTTTAGTGCTTCCTTCAGGAGCTTTTGTAAGGCAGGCCTGGTGGGGACAAAATCTCTCAGCATTTGCTTGTCTGTAAAGGATTTTATTTCTCCTTCACTTATGAAGCTTAGTTTGGCTGGATATGAAATTTCTGGGTTGAAAATTCTTTTCTTTAAGAATGTTGAATATTGGCCCCCACTCTCTTCTGGCTTGTAGAGTTTCTGCCGAGAGATCCGCTGTTAGACTGATGGGCTTCCCTTTGTGGGTAACCCGACCTTTCTCTCTGGCTGCCCTTAACATTTTTTCCTTCATTTCAACTTTGGTGAATCTGACAATTATGTGTCTTGGAGTTGCTCTTTTCAAGGAGTATCTTTGTGGCATTCTCTGTATTTCCTGAATTTGAATGTTGGCCTTCCTCGCTAGGTAGGGGAAGTTCTCCTGGATAATATCCTAAAGAATGTTTTCCAACTTGGTTCCATTCTCCCTGTCACTTTCAGGTACACCAATCAGACATAGATTTGGTCTTTTCACATAGTCGCATATTTCTTGGAGGCTTTGTTCATTTCTTTTTACTCTTTTTTCTCTAAACTTCTCCTCTCACTTCATTTCATTCATTTGATCTTCAATCACTGGTACCCTTTCTTCCACTTGATCAAATCAGCTACTGAAGCTTGTGCATGCATCACGTAGTTCTTGTGCCATGGTTTTCAGCTCCATCAGGTCATTTAAGGACTTCTCTACACTGTTTATTCTAGTTAGCCATTTGTCTGATCTTTTTTCAAGGTTTTTAGCTACTCTGCGATGGGTTCAAACATCCTCCTTTAGCTTGGAGAAGTTTGTTATTACAGATCATCTGAAGCCTTCTTCTCTCAACTCGTCAAAGTCATTCTCCGTCCAGCTTTGTTCCGCTGCTGGCGAGGAGCTGCGTTCCTTTGGAGAAGAGGCGCTCTGATTTTTAGAATTTTCAGCTTTTCTGCTCTGGTTTCTCCCCATCTTTGTGGTTTTATCTACCTTTGGTCTTTGATGATGGTAACGTACAGACAGGGTTTTGGTGCGGATGTCCTTTCTGTTTGTTAGTTTTCCTTCTAACAGTCAGGACCCTCAGCTGCAGGTCGTTGAGTTTGCTGGAGGTCCACTCCCGACCGTTTTCCTGGGTATCACCAGCGGAGGCTGCAGAACAGCAAGTATTGCAGAATGGCAGATGTTGCTGCCTGATCCTTCCTCTGGAAGCTTCGTCTCAGAGGGGCACCCGGCTGTATGAGGTGTCAGTTGGCCCCTACTGGGAGGTGTCTCCCAGTTAAGCTACTCGGGGGTCAGGGACCCACTTGAGGAGGCAGTCTGTCCGTTCTCAGATCTCAAACTCCATGCTGGGAGAACCACTACTCCCTTCAAAGCTGTCAGACAGGGACGTTTAAGTCTGCAGAAGTTTCTGCTACCTTTTATTCAGCTATGCCCTGCCCCCAGAGCTGGAGTCTACAGAGGCAGGCAGGCCTCCTTGAGCTGCGGTGGGCTCCACCCCGTTCGAGCTTCCCGGTGGCTTTGTTTACCTACTCAACCCTCAGCAATGGTGGATGCCCTGCCCCCAGCCTTGCTGCCGCCTTGCAGTTCCATCTCAGACCGCTGTGCTAGCAGTGAGCGAGGCCCTGTGGGCGTGGGACCCTCTGCACCAGGCGCGGGATATAATCTGGTGTGCCATTTGCTAAGGACGTTGGAAAAGCGCAGTATTAGGGTGGGAGTGTCCCGATTTTCAAGGTACTGTATGTCACAGCTTCCCTTTGCTAGGAAAGAGAATTCCCCGACCCCTTGAGCTTCCCCAGTGAGGCAATGCCCCGCCCTGCTCCGTGGGCTGCACCCACTCTCTGACAAGCCCCAGTGATATGAACCTGGTACCTCAGTTGGAAATGCAGATATCACCCATCTTCTGTGTCACTCACGCTGGGAGCTGCAGACTGGAGCTATTCCTATTCGGCCATCTTGGAACCTCTATACAACTTTCTATGTTAGGGTCTAAAGATCTCTCGGCCAGGCACGGTGGCTCATGCCTGTAATCCCAGCACTTTGGGAGGCTGAGGCAGGTGATCGCAAGGTCAGGAGTTCAAGACCAGCCTGACCAACATGGTGAAACCCGTCTCTACTAAAAATACAAAAATTAGCTGGACGTGGTGGCATGTGCCTGTAGTCCCAGCTATTCAGGAGGCTGAGGCAGGAGAATCACTTGAACCTGGGAGACGGAGGTTGCAGTGAGCCGAGATCGCACCACTGCACTCCAGCCTGGGCAACAGATCAAGACTCAGTCTCAAAAAATATATATATGTATCTCTTACTCTCAATTTTTTAAAGAGCAGGATAGTATAAATTGTCAGGTATACAAGTAATCTTATTTTGCTCAATATTTGGGTTGTTTTCAGTCTAATAAAGGAATTGGCAGTTTTTCTTTCTTTTTTTTATTCTTCGGGTATTTAAAAGGCAACTTTTTCAACACCTGTGAAAAGAAGGGAACAAAAAAAGTCAACTTTTTAATTTATTTTAATTTGGATTTAAGTATTGCTATTTTAATCACCTTGATACTGGAGGATAGAGTCTTTATCTCAATGGTTGAGGTACAATGAATTATAAATAAATTTATCAGTTCCATCAGGTTTTGTTTTCAACTTTATAACCCTCTCATTATTTTCAAATCCTAAGTCTGGAATTTTCTCTTGGTGCCCTCAAATCAGAGGCCTCATGTAAAAATGAACTACATTTGCATTTTTCCTCTTAAACAGACTATATTACATTATTTGATTTACTATTATTAATAATTAAAAATCAGATATTCTTAGATCTCTTGGGTTTTTTTTTTTTTTTTTTTTTTTTTTTTTGAGAGAGAGACTTACTCTGTTGCCCAGGCTGGAGTGCAGTGGCGCCATCTCAGCTCACTGCAGCCTCCCGGGTTCAAGCAATTCTCCCTGCCTCAGCCTCCTGAGTAGCTGGGATTACAGGCACCCACCACCATGCCCAGCTAATTTTTGTAGTTTTAGTAGAGACGGGGTTTCACCATGTTGGCCAGGTTGGTTTTGAACTCTTGACCTCAGGTGTTCCACCTGCCTCAGCCTCCTAAAGTGCTGGGATTACAGGCATGAGCCACCATGACCGGCCTCTCCTGGGATTTTATTTTATTTTATTTTTTTGAGATGGAGTCTAGCTCTGTCACCCAGACTGGAGTGCAGTGGCGTGATCTCAGCTCACTGCAATCTCTGCCTCTCTCCTGGAATTTTATACCAGAAACTAATATATTGAAGCATTTTACAACCAAATTTCTTTTTTTTTCTTTTTTTTTTTTGAGACGGAGTCTCCCTGTTGCCACCTGGGCTGGACTGCAATGGCATCTCAGCTCACTGCAACCTCTGCCTCTTGGGTTCCAGCGATTCTCCTGCCTCAGCCTCCCAAGTAGCTGAGATTACAGGCACCTGCCACCAGGCCTGGCTAATTTTTGTATATTTAGTAGAGACGGGGTTTCACCATGTTTGCCATGCTGGTCTCGAACTCCTGACCTTAGGTGATCCACCTGCCTCAGCCTCCCAAAGCGCTGGGATTACAGGCGTGAGCTGCTGCACCCGGCCTGACAACCAAATTTCTTAATATTCTTCTATCCTAGTTCATCTTCCAAAGGTGTTTGCTTAGTGTTATTCTTTTAGACATAAAAATGTGAAAATTAAGCTAGAGGGCAGAAAAGCAATATACTGAGTATCCTTAGAGATAGTACTGTTTTAAGTTATTATTATTAATGCCCTGACACTTTATTCTCTATTTAAAACTTTGATAGTGGCACATTTGCTTTGTTGTACTTTTCCCTAAGAAAATATGGTGCATGAATGTGTCTATTTAATTGGCAAAAATGTAATAGCCTATGATGTGTCAGGCCCTGTGTAAGACTCTGAATCAGTGATAGAGGAGGCTACCACCACATTGATAGTTCCCTGGAAGAACAGACTAGTAAACATTCAAAATTGCCAAGGGAGAGATATGCATGGCGTGCCTTGGGAGCTTGTAGGCGGTGTACCCAAAGGAACAGGGGAGAGGCAGAGAGACCTCCTAGAAGATGAAGAGACTTGGTTAAGTCTAAAACAAAATGAAATAAGAGTTCATCAGTAGTGAAAAAAAGGAAGGGGGTTTCATATAGAGGGAATAACAAAAGGTATTACAAATGTGTGAAGCAACAGGGTACATTGGAGAACTATTAGCCCATTGTGGCTGCAGTATGTGGAACAGGGAGGGAGAAGAAAGGCAGGTCGGGCACAGTGACTCACGCCTGTAATCCCAGCACTTTAGGAGGCCAACGCAGGCGGATCACCTGAGGTCAGGAGTTCGAGACCAGCCTGACCAACATGGTGAAACCCCGTCTCTACTAAAAATACAAAAATTATCCAGGCATGGTGGCGGGCACCTGTAATCCCAGCTGCTCAGGAGGCTGAGGCAGGAGAATCACTTGAACCTGGGAGGCGGAGGTTGCAGTGAGCCGAGATCATGCTATTGCACTCCAGCCTGGGGGACAGAGCGAGACTCCCCTTCTCAAAAAAAAAAAAAAAAAAAAAGGGAAGAAGAAGAAGAAGAAAGGCCAGAGAAATTAGGTAGTATGCAGGGGAAGAAGCGCCCATTCTAAGGAGTTTGGGTTTTATCATCATGAAGGCAATTGGAAACCATCAAAGGGTTTAAGCAGACATGTAATATAAAATGTATACATTAGAAGACTTATTTTTTGGCAGTGATGAAAAATGGCTTAGATGAGGATGAGATTGGAGGCAGAGACAATTTAGGGCCAGTTGCAGAAATCTGGGTGAAAAAAGACAAAGACTGAATATGGCAGTGAATAGAAGAGTATTGAATTAGCTATTTAGTATAATGAAGGACACTGTGATTGAATATTTGGTGCTTCATACTCACTAAGTATGCAAGATTCATTTGCTAATATTGAATCTATTGTTCTCTAGAGTATTTTTTAAATGTGTTATTAAAGTTGATTTGAGGACAATTAACATTTAGGTAAACGTGTCATTTTAAATTTAACTTGGCATTAAAAAAACCTTTTTCTATAAACAAAATAGACTAATGGAAATATATCTTTAATATGTACGTTGAAAGTAAATATTTTTGGGCCGGGCACGGTGGCTCACGCCTATAATCCCAGCACTTTGGGAGGATGAGGCGGGTGGATTACCAACACGGTGAAACCTTGTCTCTAGTAAAAATACAAAAATTAGCTGGGCATGGTGGCAGGTGCCTGTAATCCCAGCTACTCAGGAGGCTGAGGCAGGAGAATTGCGTGAACCCCGGCGGCAGAGGTTGCAGTGACCCAAGATTGAGCCACTGCACTCCAGCCTGGGTGACAGAGTGAGTCTCAAAAAACAAAACAAAACAAAAAAGGTAAATATTTTTAATATATAAAGAGCTATAACAAACCATTAGAATGAAAAATGTCCAATTTTAAAATGGCAAATTCATATGGATAGGCTCTTCAAAAGTCAGAAATAAAAAACACCTGAGAAGCAGATGAAACTATTTACCTTGGCCGGGAGTGGTGGCTCACTCCTGTAATCTCAACCCTTTGGGAGGCCGAGGTGGGAGGATCACGTGAGATCGGGAGTTCGAGGCCAGCCTGGCCAACATGGAGAAACCCCGTCTCTACTAAAAATACAAAAAATTAGCTGGGCATGGTGGCAGCTGCCTGTAATCCCAGCTACTTGGGAGACTGAGGCAGGAGAATCACTTGAACCCCAGAGGGTGGAAGTTGCAGTGAGACAAAATTGTGCCACTGCACTCCAGCCTAGGTGACAGAGTGAGACATTGTCTCAAAAAAAAAAAAATTTACCTTTACTGATTATAAAAGGAAGATTAAAATAACAAGACATCACCTAACTCATCAAATTGGCAAAGATTTAAAAAAATAAGATCCAATATTGTGTTGTCAAATGGCTATTTTATATACTGCTAATAGGAGTGTGAATTAATCCAATGCTTTTGAGATGAATTTGATAACATGAATTTAAAACTTTAATCATATTAATACACTTTGACCCAAAAATTCCACCTTTAGGAATTTATTTTAAGGAAGTAATCATATGATGTTTATAAAGATTATACACAAGGGTGTTCATTGAATTATTACAACTAATAGCAGAGTGCTTTTGGAGTGTCTGCCCAGCTCATGGGCAGTTTATAGGCTATCTAACCTCCAGTGGGGGGCCTCTGGCAGTAATTTTGTACCACATGACCTCAGCCCTGACCATAAATGATGTAACTAAGTGGGTAACTAAGTGGGTACTCTCCCCAGCTGAGCCAATCAGGTTTCCTTCCCTGGAAATTTGGATGAGAGAGAGAATGACAGAGAGGAAAATAGTGTCTCTGTCAAGTTGGGCTTCTCCTGTTTCCTGAATATTCCATGTATTTTTTTTCAAAAGAAGAATAGTGAGAGCAGAAAGGAGAAACACGAGATAGCAAAATGAGCTCTAAAATAGATGACAAGGAGAAAAAGATTTAGAGAATCTAGAAGCCCTAGAGTAGTAGATAGAAGCCGAGTGTGTCTTTGCACAACCAAAAAGGACTGCATCAACTTCAATAAGTGACACCTGGCTGAGGCAGTTTAATGTTGAATAATATAACTTGTGGCAATGATCCTCTTTCATGGTAACTGACCTCTACTCAGAATTATCTTTTGTGTAAGGAAAGTCTAGGCAGGGGCCAGGCGCAGTGGCTCACGTCTGTAATCCCAGCACTTTGGGAGGCCGAGGTGGGTGGATCACCTGAGGTCAGGAGTTCGAGACCAGCCTGGCCAACAAGGTGAAACCCCATCTCGACTAAAAAAATACAAAAATTAGCCAGACGTGGTGGCTCACTCCTGTAACTCCTGTAATCCCAGCTACTTGGGAGGCTGAGGCATGAGAATTGCTTAAGCCCGAAAGGCAGAGTTTGCAGTGAGCCAAGATTGTGCCACTGCACTCCAGCCTGGGTGATGGAGTGAGACTCTACCTCAAAAATAAATAAATAAATAAAAATAAAGTCTAGGCAGGAAGTAATCGGTGACTGAGGGATTCTGGTTAACCCATTCCTTTTTACTTTGCTAGTCCATTTCCACTGGCTTTTCAAGGATGCCAAGATTGGAAGAAATACAATCTTGAGAAAAAACAACTTGATATAGAAAACTAATGTGGAAGATGTATTCGTTTCCTAGGGCTGCCGCTGTATTACAAAGCACTGCAAAATGGGAAGCTTAAAACAACCAAAATGTATTCTCTCACAGTTTAGAGAGCAGAAGTTTAAAATTAAGGTGTCAGCAGGATTGGTTCCTCTTTGGGGGCTCAGAGAAAGAATCTGTTCCAAGCCTTACTCTTTGCTTCTGGTGTTGCTGGCGATCCTTGGCATTTCTTGGCTTGTGGACACATCACTCTATTCTCAGCCTCTGTCATCACACGGTGTTCCCTCCTTCTTTCTCTCCTCCTCCTCCTCCTTCTTCTTCTTTCTTCTCCTTCTTCTTCTCTTCCTTCTTCTTCTTCTTCATTTTTAAAATTTTTATTTATTTATTTTTAGAGACAGAGTCTCGCTTGTCCCCTAGGCTGGAGTGCAGTGGTGCAGTCATGGCTCACTGCAGCCCTGAACTCCTGGGAACAAGTGATCCTCCTGCCACAGCCTCCTGAGTAGCTAGGACTACAGGTGCACGCCACCACACCTGGCTAATTCTTATATGTTTTTAGAGACAAGGTCTCACTATGTTGCCCAGGTTGGTCTCAAACTCCTGGCCTCAAGCGATCCTCCCATCTTGGCCTCCCAAAGTATTGGGATTACAGGTGTGAGCCACTGCCCCGGCCTCTTTTCTTCTTAGAAGGACACCATTTGTGTTGGATTAAGAGCCCACACTACTCCAGCATGACCTCATGTTAAATTGACTAATTACATCTGCCACAACAACTCTATTTCCAAATAAAGTCACATGCTGAGGTACTGGAGCTTAGGGCTGCAATATATCTTTTAGGAGGACACAACTCAATCCATAACATATAGGACATATACCTTTAAATATTTCACTCTAAAAACTCCAACGGGCCGGTCATAGTGGCTTACACCTGTAATCCCAGCACTGGGAGGCCAAGGCGGGTGGAAAACTTGAGCTCAGGAGTTTGAGACCAGCCTAATCAATATGGCAAAACTCTCTGTCTACCAAAAATACAAAAGTTAGTCTGGCATGGTGACTCGCGCATGTAGTCCCAACTACTTGGGAGGCTGAGGTGGGAGGTTCACTGGAGCCTGGGAAGTCAAGGCTGCAGTGAGCCAAGATTATACCACTGTACTGCAGCCTGGGAGACAGGGTGAGACCCTATCTCAAAACAACAACAATAACAACAACCAAAATACACCCCCAAACCCTGCAGCAAACCTTTTACTCACATTCAGATGTTGTATAATCTCAGATTTTATCACTTTGGAACTTTTTATCTGGGTGGTCAAATCCCATTCAACAGATGAAAGAAAGTTCTGTGATGCCAGAGCCTGCATTCTGGGTATTGAGCCCTTTCTTATTGAGCCATTTGAGTTATTTTGAGGAGAACTCATCAATTATTTACTGGAGGGGCAGGTGCTTGGCTGATGAAGGGAGAGCGAAATTGATGGGCCAGCTGTTCTATGTACAGACTTTTAATCAGTAACTCCCACATCTCATTTGCTCCCTCTGTTGTATGTGGGGCTCCAGCTAAAAGCTCCTCCTGGATCCTGGGGACTACCCAGTGTCCTTGGCTGCCACCCCCTCCACAAAAACCCTAGGCAGTAGCTGCTTCTTCTTGGCTTCATTACCCTTTCCTTATCTCTAACTTCAAAAAGTTGGTTGAAATCTTCATTTGCTGATGGGCCCCTTCATTTTTTTCACCACTCTAAGTTTTATTTATTTCTATGTTATTTGTCATCATTATAATAGGGTGGGGTTCCTGTAGTGAGAGGGAAAAACTGTATGTGTTCACTTGGCCACCTAAAACTTGTGAATATATATACTTAAAGTGTTAATAGATATTACCAAATTGCCTTTCCTTTTCAATATTTATATTTCTCTATTCTTTTTCTTCTTTTGTTGCATTGACTAAACTTGAATGTAATATTGGTGACGGTAATGGGCCTCCTGATCTTATCCTATTTTGGTGGAAATGCTTCTAATATTTCATCGTTAAATACGATGTTTTGGAGGCCATTATCCTTATTGAAATGACTCAGAAGCAGAAAGCAGAAAACAGTATGTTTTCACTTATTCATGAGAGCTAACAATGAGTGCACATAGACACACAGAGTGGAATAATAGACACTGAAGACTCCAGAAGGTGGGAGGGTGATGAGCCTGGTCCTGAAATTGTACTTTCCAATTGTTGCTGGCACAATTTATTTTTTAATATTCACTTTGTATTCAGAAACATTACTCACTTTAATTCTAACACTTTGTGGGATATTCTTTTGCATTTTTTTATATTGACATATGTGATCTGAAAATAGTGACTGTTTCTTCCTTTTATTTCTTGTTCAATTTTACTGTGTCAACTAAGACCTCTAGTTCAATAGAATAGAAATGATAGTGGCAACTTTTGTCTTGTTAATGAAATGGAATAATTTCAGTGTTTCACCATGAAAGAAGATATATGACATGAAATTGTGATAGCCAGTCTCTATATGGCTCCAAATGATCTTTGCCTAATGATATTCACATCCCATATCTGAAGAGGGCTGACCTGTGTAATAGGATATTGCAGAAATGGTCACGTGTGACTTCTGAGGCTAGACTATAAAAGATATTGTTTCCATCTTGCTCTCTCGGTCTGCCTGCTCTGGGGGAAAGCCAGCTGCTGTGTTGGAAGGACACTCAAGCAGCTCTATGGAAGGGTCACTGCAGCAAGGAGGCCTCCTGCTGGCAACCAACATCAATTTGCCAGCTCTGTGAGTCAGCCACCTAGAAAGAGGATCCTCCAGCCCCAGTCAAACCTTCAGATGACTGCAGTACTGGCCAATGTTCTGGACTGCAACATCATGGGAAATACTAAACTGGAAGCACTCAGCTAAGCTGCCCGAATTTCTCACCCATATAAACTGTGTGAGATCATAAATGTGTTTCAGTGTGTTAAGCTATCAAATTTCGGGGTCATTTGTTATGCTTCAATGGATAACTAATACAAAGAGCTTTGTAGAGGCTTTATCAGATTGAGGAAGTTCACATCTATGTCTAGTTTCATTAAAGATTTTTAAAATAATGAATTCACTTTGGGAGGTCAAGGTGGGAGGATCACTTGAAGCCAGAAATTTGAGACCAGCCTGGGCAATGAAGTAAGACCCTCTCTTTAGAAAAAACTAAAATTGGTCAGGTGCGGTGGCTTACGCCTGTAATCCCAGCACTTTGGGAGGCCGAGGTGGGCAGATCATGAGGTCAGGAGATCGAGACCATCCTGGGCAACATGGTGAAACCCCGTCTCTACTAAAAAATACAAAAATTAGCTGGGCATGATGGCGCATGCCTGTAGTCCCAGCTACTCGGGAGGGTGAGGCAAGACAATCGCTTGAACCCGGGAGGCGGAGGTTGCAGTGAGCTGAGAATGTGCCACTACACTCCAGCCTGGTGACTGAGTGAGACACTTCATCTCAAAAAAAAAAAAAAAAGAAAAAATTAAAATTAATTAATTAATTATTTTTTAAAAAATGAATTGATGGTGGATTTTTTCATATACATTGTATCCATGTAGTGAATAAACATATTATCTTTCATTAATATGCAAATATTTTGAATTATGTTGGTGGATTTTCCAATGCTAAACCAAGCTTGCATTCCTAAGATAAACCCAACTTGGTCATAAAGTATTGTCAGTTTTGAACATTATTAAATTTAGTTTTCTAACACTTTATTAGGATTTTGCATCTATATTACTGAGTGACTATGACCTATAATTTTCCTTATTCATAAAGTTTTTGTCAAGTTTTATAAGAATTCTGCCAGTTTCACAAAATTAATTGGGAGTGATTTATCCTTTTCTGTACTCTGAATTGATTTGCACAAGTTGGAATCATTTGGCCCTTGAATGTATGTGAGAACTCACTGGTGAAACCACCTGGACTTGATTTTTAGCTATTGCTTTAATGCCTTGTTATAGGATTATTAAGGGTTTTTCTTTCTTCTTGAGTCAGTCTTGGTAAATTGTATTTTTTCCTGGAAGATGGTTCATTTGATGAAAGTTTTCATATACATTGGCTTATAGTTGTTTATAATATACCCCATCTCTGCTAAAAAAATGCAAAATTAGGTGGGTGTGGTGGTGCATGCCTGTAATCCCAGATACTTGGGAGGCTGAGGCAGGAGAATTGCTTGAACCCGGGAGGTGGAGGTTGCAGTGAGCCGAGATCGCGCCATTGCACTCCAGCCTGGGCAACAAGAGTGAAACTCCATCTCAAAAAAAAAAAAAAAAAAAAAAAGGAATTCATAGTAGTAACTCAAATAAATGTATTGAGCAATTCCTACAACCCTAAAAAGGGGTTTACATGAATGAAGTCATTTAATCTCACGACTCTATGAGGGATGCAATATCATTGCCCTCATTTATGAGTGAAGCAACCAAGGTTTAGAGAAGCAAGGTAAGGTGCCCAGATTTACACAGTAGGTAAGTGGCAGAAGTAGGATTTGAACCTAGGTGTGCCTGACTCCAGTGCTTATTCTAACAATAGTGCTATACTGTTTAACAAAACTGAGGTATCATCATAACTTTGGCTAGTGCAGTCTATAGGATCCTCAGTTCTGTTTACTTTTTCCCCATCTCAACTTTAAGATTTACCCCTAAAGCCCACTTTTTTTTTTTTTGAGACAGAGTTTCACTCTGTTGCCCAGGCTGGGGTGCAGTGGTGCGACCTTGGCTCACTGCAGCCTTGACCTCCAGGGTGCAAGCAACCCTCCCACCTCAGCCTCCCAAGTAGCTGGGATTACAGGCATGCACCACCACACCCCACTAATTTTTGTAGTTTTTAGGTAGAGACCATGGCAGGGGGATCTCCCTGTGTTGCCCAGGCTGGTCTCAAACTCCTGGGCTCTAGTGATCTCCCTCCTGGCCTCCTAAAGTGGTTGGATTACAGGCATGAGCCACTGCAGCCAGCCCAAAGCCCACTTTTTTAGTCTTAATAACTTCTCACTAAAGTACGCTTTTGGCCAGGTGCGGTGGCTCACGCCTATAATCCCAGCAGTTTGAGAGGCTGAGGTGGGTGGATCGATTGAAGCCAGGAGTTCGAGACCAACCTGACCAACCTGGTAAAACCCCATCTCTACTAAAAATACAAAAATTAGCCCGGTGTGGTGGCATGCACCTGTAATCCCAGCTATTTGGGAGGCTGAGACACGAGAATCACTTGAACCTGGGAGGTGGAGGTTGCAGTAAGCCGAGATCGTGCCACTGCACTCCAGCCTGGGTGAAGAGTGAGACTCCGTCTCAAGAAAAAAGAAGAGTGCTTTTAATGGTTATTCATTCAACCTTCTTCTGGAAGGTTGAAATTCACTGGAATTTCAGACCCTGTACCTATACCCCGCTTTGCGTGGAGTGGTGAAACCACAGGTGGGCCAGCAATGTTGGGTAGCTTTTCTAGGAGCTACAACCTTTAAGATGTTTCAAAACTTCTTCTCATTTGAACCTGCAGGTTCTTGAGAAGGTCCAAGCATTTTCACAAAAGGCCATTATGAAAACACATGTAGAATCTACAGATAAATAGTTTTTTTTGTTTTTTATTTTTGAAATGGAGTCTCACTCTGCCGCCCAGGCTGGAGTGCAGTGGTGCGATCTCAGCTCACTGCAACCTGTGCCTCCTGGGTTCAAGCGATTCTCCTGCCTCAGCCTCCCAAAGTGCTGGGATTACAGGTGTGAGCCACTGTGCCTGGCCAGATAAAGAAATTTAATAAGAGGTAGGTGATGTAGGACTGCTCTTTTTAAGTAGGTACTTATACGTTGAGTTTTTCTTATGTAGGCTATTTCAAGCAGTAATATTTGGGTTGAATACTGGGCTTCACAGATGAAACTTGAGACCGAGAACTTTTGACAAGGACCAGAGAGAACAGCAATGTGAGATATGATGAGAAGTAGAATTATTGTTGAGAAGGCCTGGTACATTTATTATTGACCATGGTAAGCTAATTTAATTATTCCATTGAGCACCAGACAAATGAGAAGAGACAGGACAGAAATTGCTTTGGGAAGGATTAGGTTGGATATTAGGAGAACCATTCTGACAACTAAATATTATTGGACACTGGACTTCATTTTTATTGTCAGAAAAATGGTGGAATCTTTTCTGAAAACATTTAAGTAGAGAACTGGCTGCTCTCTTTCCAGACTGCTTGAAGGTCACCCATTCATTCATTCAACAAACATGTGAGTGTCTGTGGTGTGCTAGACACTGCTGTATGCACTGAGGATACAGCTGTGAAGAAGAAAGAAACTAATTATTGTTGTCTTGAAGGTGGTGGTTGGGAGAGGGAAATAATGAACAAATGGCAAAATAACTTCAGATAATATATGCTATGAAATTATAATGAATAGGGACTGACTACAGGCCTACCTCAGATGTGGTCACAGAAGTCATTTCTGAAGAAGTGATACATGAGGGGAGGCCTGAAAGATAGGAAGGCGCATTAGGCATAGTTCCGAGGAAGAACATTCCAAGTGAAAGAACAGTAAACACAAAGGTCTAGAGGCAGGAGCAAGTTAGGCAGGTTTTTGGAGCCAAAAGATCTGTATGGCTGAATATGGTAAGCAAAGAGGGGAGGGTAGCTGGAGATAAGGTCAGAGAGGTAGAATAAGCTAGATCAGGAAGTGTCTACTAGATGTTTGTTTGTTTGTTTGTTTGTTTATTGAGATAGAGTCTTGCTCTGACACCGAGGCTGGAGTGCAGTGGCATGATCTCGGCTTACTGCAACCTCTGCCTCCTGGGTTCAAGTGATGCTCCTGCCTTGGCCTCCCAAGTAGCTGGAATTACAGGTGCCCGCCACCACGCTCAGCGAATTTTTTTTTTTTTTTTTTTTTGAGACAGAGTCTCGCTGTGTAGCCCAGGCTGGAGTGCAGCGGCGTGATCTCGGCTCACTGCAACTTCCGCCTCCCAGGTTCAAGCGATTCTCCTGCCTCAGCCTCCTGAGTAGCTGGGATTACAGGCATGCACCACTACACCGGCTAATTTTTTTTTGTATTTTAGTAGAGATGGGGTTTCACCATGTTGGCCAGGATGGTCTCGATCTCCTGACCTCATGATCTGCCCACCTCAGCCTCCCAAAGTGCTGGGATTACAGGCATGACCCGCTATACCTGGCCTGTATTTTTTTTTAGTAGAGACGGGGTTTCGCCATGTTGGCCAGGCTGGTCTCGAACTCCTGACCTCAGATGATCTGCCTGCCTCGGCCTCCCAAAGTGCTGGGATTACAGACATGAGCCACCGCTCCTGGCCTCTACCATATATTTGGATTGTATTCTAAGAGCAATTGGAAGCCATAGGAGGGTTTTAAGCAGAAGAGCATCACATCATGATATGCTTTATATTTTAGAAAAAAATATCCTGGATGCTGCGTGAAGAGTGGATTAGAGGAGTGATAGAAAAGAAACAGAGAGGCTGGGCACGGTGTCTCACACCTGTAATCCCAGCACTTTGGGAGGCCAAGGCCGGTGGATCACTTGAGGTCAGGAGTTCAAGACCAGCCTGGCCGACATGGTGAAACCCTGTCTGTAATATAAATACAAAAATTAGCCAGGTGTGGTGGTGCGTGCCTGTAATCCCAGCTGCTCGGGAGGCTGAGGCAGGAGAATCACCTGAACCCAGCAGGCAGAGGTTGCAGTGAGCCAAGGCCTCACTACTGCACTCCAGCCGCGGTGACAGAGTGAGACTCCATTTCAAAAAAAAAGAAAAGCAGAGAGAACCATTTAGGAAGCTAGTGTGGTAGTCCAGGGGAAAGATTTCATTGCGTTTTCTAAAATTTTATTTCATTTTATTTTATTTTTTGAGATGGAGTCTCACTCTCATCCAGGCTGGAGTGCAATGGCACAATCTCGGCTCACTGTAACCTCCTCCTCCTGGGTTCAAGTGATTCTCCTACACCAGCCTCCAGAACAGCTGGGATTACAGGCATGCGCCACCATGCCCAGCTAATTTTTGTATTTTTAGTAGAGACAGGGTTTCACTATATTGGCCAGGCTGGTCTCGAACTCCTGACATCAGCTTATCTCCCCACCTTGGCCTCCCAAAGAGCAGGGATTATAGTGAGACCCCCCATCTCTATTTTAAAAATTTAAAAATAATGAAAATAAATAAAACTGCTGTGAACATTTAGTACAAGTGTTTAATGGATCTATGTCTTCATTTATTTGGGATAAATACTTAGAAATGGAATGGCTGGGTTTATAGTAGGTGTATGCTTAACATTTTAAGAAGCTGCCAAACTTTTCCAAAATGGGTTTTTTTGTTGTTGTTGTTTGTTTGGTTTTTCTTTTAGATGGAGTCTCGCTCTGTCGCCTAGGCTGGAGTGCAGTGGTGTGATCTCAGCTTACTGCAACCTCCACCTCCTGGCTCAAGTGATGCTCTTGCCTCAGCCTCCTGAGTAGCTGGGACTACAGGCGTGTACCACCACACCCAAGTAATTTTTTGTATTTTTAATAGAGACGGGCTTTCACCTTGTTGGCCAGGTTGGTCTCGAACTCCTGATCTCAGATTCACCTGCCTCAATCTCCCGAAGTGTTGGAGTTACAGGCGTGAGCCACCGTGTCCACGCAAGCCCAGGAGTTTGAAACAGCCTGGGCAACATAGTAAGACGCTTTCTGTAAAAAAAAGAAAGGAAGAAAGTTCTGGTTGCTTCCCATTCTTGCCAAAACACTCATCTGGATTATGGCTCTTGTAAGTGTGTAGTAGTATCACTGAGGTTTTAATTTGCATTTCTCTACTGGCTAATGAGGTTGAACATCTTTTTCTGTGCTTATTTGCTATCCATATATCTTTCTTTTTTTTTTTTTTTGAGACGGAGTGTTGCTCTGTCGCCCAGGCTGGAGTGCAGTGGCGTGATCTCGGCTCACTGCAAGCTCCGCCTCCCGGGTTCACGCCATTCTCCTGCCTCAGCCTCCTGAGTAGCTGAGACTACAGGCACCTGCCACCATGCCCAGCTAATTTTTTTTTTTTTTTTCCAGTAGAGATGGGGTTTCACCGTGTTAGCCAGAATGGTCTTCGTCTCCTGACCTCGAGATCCTCCCGCCTCAGCCTCCCAAAGTGCTGGGATTACAGGCTTGAGCCACCGTGCCTGGCTGCTATCCATATATCTTCTTGGGTGAGTTTTCTATTCAAATAGTTTCCCCATTTTAAAAATTGGGTTGTTTGTTTTATTATTACTGAATTTTGAGAGCTCTCTCTATATTCTGGATACAAGTCCTTTATCAGATACAAGACCCCTTTAGGGGTCTGTCAGCTGTCCTGTTGCTTCCTTTGATTTTTCCCATGCAGATGCTGAAATGGTACACTACTTGTGGATATTGAGTTATTTCTGTATTCTCCCAGTCTGTTGCTTGTCTTTTTTCTTTTCTTAACAAACTTCAAAGAGCAAAAGCTCATAATTTTGAGGAATTTTAAGTTATTGGGTTTTTTTTCTTATATGAAATCTTGGGTTGAGCAAAAACTTATTAGATACTATTATGCAGGTTACAAAAGTATTCTCCTGGCTGGGTACAGTGACTTATGCCTGTAATCCCAGCACTTTGGGAGGCTGAGGTGGGTGGATCACTTGAGGTCAGGAGTTCGAGACCAGTCTGACCAATATGGTGAAACCCCATCTCTACTAAAAATACAAAAATTAGCTGGGCATGGTGGTGTGTGCCTGTAATCTCAGCTTCTCAGGAGGCTGAGACAGGAGAATTGCTTGAACCTGGGAGGCAGAGGTTGCAGTGAGCCGAGATCGCAACACTGTACTCCAGCCTGGGCGACAAAGCAAGAGATGAGAAAGGATGTTTTTGGCTGGGCATGGTGGCTTAGGCCTGGAATCCCAGCACTCCTGAGGTGGGAGGATCACTTGATCGCTTGAGCCCAGGAGTTTCAGACCAGCCTGGGAAACATAGTAAGACCTCATCTCTACAAAAAAATTAAAAAAAAAAAATTTCAGAAAGGAAGGATATTTTCTTTTCCTGAATTATAGCACACTCCAGAAAAGCTATGCTGAAAGCACAGCAAATGTAAAAGTAAGGAGCTGAGGTACCAGAAGATCTCATTACATTCTATGAATAGTTATTGAGCACCTGTTACGTGCTTAGGAACTGTTAGGCTCTGGAGAGACAACAGTCAACAGTACACAATTCTTATCCTCAAGGTGATTCCATGGAGTAAACAGGCAATTGGCTGTACAGTGAGAGCACAGAGGAAGGGAGGGGTGCAGTTAGGGGGTGAAGATGGAGATTGCGGCGGTGAGGCAGGTAAAGAGATCTGGGGATGAAGCTGGGAAGACTGGCATGGTGGGGTGCCAATCGCTATTTTCTTCTTCGTTCTCTTTATTAGTTTCTCCTGATTGCTACTGTGAGAGAGTATTTATAGCTGCTGACTCTTCCTGCTTTACATACACTTTGACACATTATTATATCCCTGAGTGTTCTGACAGCTGTGATCATGACTTTCCAATGGTCGATTATGTATCTGACATAGGGGAGCCCAATAAAACCCAGCTAGGAATTAAAGATATTTTTGTATTCTTTTTCTTAAAGAGTGTTCCTTAAATTGTATAAGCTTCAGGACCCATAAAATCTCAATCAGCCCCAAGATATAGAGGATGATCCTGATGCATATTATTCTCTGCATCTTGCACGTTTATTTTTGCAACTAGCTACAGGATACTTTTCTAGAAAATGGGGGTTTGAGTTTTAATCAGTGAAAAAACTTCAGACCATTGAATAAATTTTTAAACTTTTTTTAGTGTAGGTGAAAATAAAAAGCTAAAATTAGGCCAGATGTGGTGGCTCACACCTATAATCCCAGCACTTTGGGAGGCCAAGGCGGGTGGATCATTTGAGGCCAGCAGTTCAAGACCAGCCTGACCAACATGGTAAAATCCCGTATTTACTAAAAATACAAAAATTAGCCGGGCATGGTGGCGGGTGCCTGTAATCCCAGCTACTCAGGAGGCTGAGGCAGGAGAATTGCTTGAACCCAGGAGATGGAGGTTGCAGTGAACCAAGGCTGAGCCACTGCACTCCAGCCTGGGTGACAGAGTGAAACTGTCTTATAAAAATAAAAAGTTGGCCGGGTGCGCTGGCTCACACCTGTAATCCCAGCACTCTGGGAGGCCGAAGTGGGCGGATCACCTGAGGTCAGGAGTTCCAGACCAGCCTGGCCAACATGGTGAAACTCTGTCTCTACTAAAAATAAAACATTAGCTGGGTGTGGTAGCATGCGCCTGTAGTCCCAGCTACTCGGGAGGCTGAGGCAGGAGAATCACTTGATTCTGGGCGACAGAGCGAGATTCTGTCTAAAAGAAAAAAAAGAAAAAAGTTAAAATTCTTAAACTGTTATGCATGAAAGATAGTCGGGACCTCTCCCAGCAATGAGATTAAAGATCTTTCATTGTCCATACGTTGGCTGTTCTTATTTTATCTTCAATATTTGCCACTTTCCCTTTAATCTATTTCTTTTTGGGTTATTTTCTATTTATTTATTTACTTTTTTTGAGACAGGTCTTGCTCTATCTCCCAGGCTGAAGTGCAGCGGCACAACCATAGCTCACTGAAGCTTTGATCTCCTTGGGCTCAGGTGATCCTCTCACCCCAGCCCCCCAAGTGGCTCAGACTACAGGCACATGCCATCATGCTCAGTTAATATACATATATATATATATATATATATATATATATATATATATTTTTTTTTTTTTTTTTTTTTTTTTTTTTTGAGAGAGATGTGGTCTCCCTATGTTGCCCAGGCTGGTCTCGAACTCCTGTGCTCAAGTGATTCTCCCGCCTCAGCCTCCCAAAATGCTGGGATTACAGGTGTAAGCCACCATACCCAGCTCTTTTTTGTTTTTTAAATGTTCCCTGTTTTTTGCCTTCTATTTCTCTCTTTTTTTTTTTGAGACAGAGTTTCACTCTTGTCACCCAGGCTGGAGTACAATCTCGGCTCACTGCAACCTCCGCCTCCTGGGTTCAAGTGATTCTCCCGCTTCAGCTTCCCAAGTAGCTGGGATTACAGGCACGTGCCACCATGCCCAGCAAATTTTTGTATTTTTAGTAAGGACAGGATTTCACCATGTTGGCCAGGCTGGTCTCAAACTCTTGACCTCAGGTGATCCACCCGCCTAGGCCTCCCAAAGTGCTGGGATTACAGGTGTGAGCCACAGCGCCCGGCCTTCACCTCCTATTTTTCTTAAGGCATTATTTGTTGTGCCTATTCACTGTGGTGTTTCTGATAGTTTGTCTTTATTTTTGAAATTATTTTCTTTCTAATTATTTCCTGAGTTCTGTCACTTTATTTCTGCGTTTGTCTGTTTCTGGTTTTTACTATTCTTTTATGTCTTATATCATTTAAAAAGGGTTTTCCAGTTGGTTTCAAAGCAAGAAATTGTAGAGTTTTACTCTGTTTCTAATATGCTTTCATTGCCTGTAGAAACTATTCTGCCTCTTATTCTCCTTTTCCTCATAATAACTTTTATTAGATTTAATCTTGATACTTTTCTGTTGCTTATTTCTATGAGGTTGGCTTCCTGAAATTTTAGGAAATAGGAGTGTAGTGTTTAAAAATATGATGGCTTGCTTTCTGTGACTCTGATATTGTTGCTTTCCTCCCCCGCCTAATCTGAACACCTCTTTTATTGGCCTTTTTTTATCCCAGTCCTGCTTAATTTTGACTCTACATCTGGACGTTTTTCTTCAGTGTGTGGCCATGTCCTGAAATGGGGCCCTGGTTGGTCAGTTTCATGGGTTTCTAGGGGCTGGATTGCTCTAGCCAGACTCATGGGCCCCACACGCACTCACCCACTAATAGGATTAGGCCAAACTCCTCCAGTTCTACCTCTTGTTTTCAGATTGACCCACCTCACTTTCCCGTTGGCTCTTTTGGAGTTCTCCAGTTGGGGGTCTGTCAGCTGTCCTGTTGCTTCCTTTGCTTTTCCCATGCAGATGCTGAAATGGTCCAGAGCTTGTGGGTATTGAGTTTCACCTGCTTGCATATGGGATTCCTAGGGATACCTTGTCACCTAGTTTTGCAAAATGTGGTCCAGGGATTTTGGGTTTGTTATCTAGTTGCTCTCCCAGTTTTGATATGGGAATTTGGAGAGATTAAACAACTGTGCCTTCATCATTGCCATCTATCTAATATCTGTATTTGATTTGGTGGGGAGAAGAGAAAAAATAATATATTCTAGTTGTTTAAAAAAAAATCAGAGGCATGTAAAATAAAAATGGAATGCTGTTCTTTTCCCAGTTCCATTCTCCAGAGGTATTTACTGTTAAGAGTTGAGTATATTTCGGCCGGGAGCAGTGGCTCACGCCTATAATCCCAGCACTTTAGGAGGCTGAGGCAGGCGGATCACCTGAGGTCAGGAGTTCAAGACCAATCTGGCTAACATGGCAAAACCCCGTCTCTACTAAAAATACAAAAATTAGCCAGGCATGGTGGTGCGCACATGTAGTCCCAGCTACTTGGGAGGCTGAGGCAAGACAATCGCTTGAACTCGGGAGGTGAAGGTTGCAGTGAGCCAAGATGGTGCCACTGTACTCCAGCCTGGTGACAGAGTGAGACTCCGTCTCAAAAAAAAAAAAAAAAAAAAAAAAAAAGAGTTGAGTATATTTCCTTCCAAATACTTTTCTATTCTTTTGCTGTTTATGTACTTTTCTATCACTTTGCTGTCTGCATTTTCTTGCAATTTTCTTTTTCCATGTATATATTTTCCAACATACAACAATATATTGGGCACCATCTTTAAGGACTAATATAGTCTGATAGTGTTATTATTTATTACAATTACCAAGTGGATAATTATCTCAGGAAGGAAACAAACTGGTTCTAGTTGCTTTGAAAATAAACATTTATGGCTGGGCGCGGTGGCTCAACGCCTATAATCCCAGCACTTTGTGGGGCAGAGCCAGGCAGATCACCTGAGGTTGGGAGTTCGAGATCAGCCTGACCAACATGGAGAAACCCTGTCTCTACTAAAAACTACAAAATTAAGGGGGCGTGGTGGTGCATGCCTGTAATCCCCGCTACTCGGGAGGCTGAGGCAGGATAATTGCTTAAACTCGGGAGGCGGAGGTTGCGGTGATCCGAGATCATGCCATTGCGCTCCAGCCTGCACAGCAGGAGCAAAACTCCATCTCAAAATAAATAAATAAATAAATAAATAAATAAATAAATAAATAAATAAAACATTTATTTATTAATTTTTTTAAAAAAATCTTAGAGATGGAGTCTCACTATGTTGGTCAGATTGGTCTTAAACTCCTGGCCTCAAGTGATCTTCCCACCTTGGCCTCCCAATGTTCTGGGATTACAAGCATGAGCCACCATGCCTGGCTGGAAAATAAACATCTAAATAGTGTAAAGAGCCATCACAAAATAATTGATGGTATTTGTCTATAGATGGAAAGGTCATGGCACTCAGGACCACTAAGCGAAGACCTCCTCAATGAACTCTAGGCTGCTTTGCTTTAAGAAAATTCTGGCTGGCTGGGCACAGTGGCTCATGCCTGTAATCCCAGCACTTTGGGAGGCCAAGGTGGGTGGATCACTTGAGGTCAGGAGTTCGAGACCAGCCTGGCCAACATGATGAAACCCGTCTCTACTAAAAATACAAAAAAATTAGCTGGGCATCGTGGTGGGCGCCTGTAATCCCAGCTACTCAGGAGGCTGAAGCAGGAGAATCGCTTGAACCCAGGAGGCAGAGTTTGCGGTGACCAGAAATGGAGCCACTGCACTCCAGCCTGGGCGACAGAATGAGACTCTGTCTCAAAAAAAAAAAAAAAAAAAAAAAAGAAGTTGTATTCACAGAGTCCTGAGAGGACTAGGACTGGTTTCCCCTTAAAATATTTTTTCGCTTCTAAATCTTAGATAAACAACACACTGATGATCTTCTGAAAAAGCTTTTTAAAAAGACAGATGACTGCGCTCCTCTCAAAATTTATGAATCAGAGTTTCTTGGGATAAAATCTGGGAATCTGTATCTTTAAAAATGTTCTCCTGGTGATTCTGCCAGTCAGCCAGATTTGGGAACTACTGGATAAATTCCTTGGACTAGGAGATAACTTTCCTAATTGCAATGGATCAGATTTGGGGTGCTAGGGAAGCCCTATCTGGCAGAAGTAGCCCACCAGCTTTCTTCCTAACATCTCCTTTCCCTACTTCCCTGGCGCCCTCCCCTACACCTTCTAATTCTTGCTGTCACCCTCTTTCCTACCCTAAACTGGCCCTAAAATGACACTTAGAACAGCAGCGCCACATTGTGGAGAGAAACAATATAGTGCTCCAAAAGGCACAGAACACTGTCCTCGCAGATCACCGAGCCTGCAGTTACCGATTTGTCCTGCAGGGGGCATAACTTCCTTACTTTTTAAGTGAGGACAGGTTCTCGCCCCATAAAACCTGGTAAAACCTGGGTGATCTCAGAAAACATCCCTGGAGAAGGCACGGGATGGAGCATCTGTGCCAGATTAGAAATCAAAAACCTCCACTTCGTGAAACTAGAATAAACCGACTAAGTGCATGGACATGAGCAAGCCTTCTGCTGAGGTTAGAAGCCAAGCTCTATGACAGTCTTGGTCAGGGTAAAACTATGGCGGTCTCCAAGTCACTGTGTGACTTGATAAACACACGTCTATCTGGGGTACAAGGCACTGTCAGATATCTCTTGGAAAGTGTTCTGTTTTATATGGTACCCATGAGTCTGGCATTAATCAATAGATCTGATCTCTTTAATAAGGATATTTATACCCAATGACACATCGGTTTATGTTGGTGGAGCAGGGTTGGATCGCTGTAGTAGTGTTCTGAGTATGCACCTTTGGATTTGTTCCCACCTGGTGAAGTCTCTCTCTCTGTCTCTCTCTCTCTCACACACACACACAAGCATTCACACACAGGCTCTTCTGATATTTGTAACTAGACACATCTTTTTCAATGGCATGTTTGATGATCCAGCCAAATTAATATGGCTAGAAAAAAAAAGATATATTTACACAAATTTACCAATCTATCTGGTTGCCTGGTTGCTTTCCCTTCATATTAATAGCTGCCCTCAGGCTCCAGATGAAACAAGAATGTACACCTTGGTAGATTTGTGTAAGATTTCCTGGCAGATGATTGTGTGGCTTTCTTTTCTTTTCTTTTTTTTTTTTGAGACAGAATTTCACTCTTGTCACCCAGGCTGGAGTTCAATGATGCGATCTTGGCTCACGGCAACCCCGACTCCCGGGTTCAAGTTCAAGTGATTCTCCTGTCTCAGCCCCCCAAGTAGCTGAGATTACAGGTGCCTGCCACCACACTCGGCTAATTTTTGTATTTTTTAGTAGAGACGGGGGTTTCACCATGTTGGCCAGGCTGGTCTTGAACTCCTGGCCTCAGATAATCCACCCCCTTCAGCCTCCCAAAGTGTTGGGATTACAGGCGTGAGCCACTGCGCCTGGCCTATTTCTCTACTTTGACTCTTCTAGCTGCTTGGTTTTCTGAACTCCTGAGTTACACTGGCAGCCAGAGCCCTGTGGTTTACTGTTAATGTTTTTCTTGTTGTCTTGTTTTTTCTGATATGTTTGCTATCTCCCTAACTAGACTGTGAGCTCTTTGACTGCAAGCTCTAAGCCCAGATCACACCTATCCCTTGAACACTCACCACACACATTGTTGGGTGTGTGTTATGTCCTCAATACAAATGTTTAGGTTGTTAGTTTGAATAATGAGGAAAGGTGTTTTAAAAGACTGAGAAGCGGGCTGGGTGCGGTGGCTCACACCTATAATCCCAGCACTTTGGGAAGCCAAGGCAGGAGGACTGCTTGAGTCTAGGAGTTCAGACCAGCCTGGGCAACATAGGGAGACCCCTGTCTCTTTAAAATAATAATTAATAAACAAAAGAGTGAGAAGTAAAGGAGAACCAGGAGAGAGAAAGGAATAAAACATAACGTTTCTAAAAGATTGACTTAAATGACCAATGAAAGGAAGTAACTGATAAAAGACAAAAGAGAGTGACATGAAAGGAGGATATTAGGGTTCTAGCTTTTTCACAAAATGGAAATGCTATTGTGGGCAATGATAATTTCTGAGGAGATGTTCATGGTCAAAGAAATAAGATTTCCCCCTTGGGAGACTGAGGTAGGTGGATCACCTGAGGTCAGGAGTTCAAGACCAGCCTGGTCAACATGGTGAAACCCCGTCTCTACTAAAAATAAAAAATAAAAAAAATTATCCGGGTGTGGTGGCTCACATCTGTAGTCCCAGCTACTCAGGAGGCTGAGGCAGGAGATTCATTTGAGCCCAGGAGGTGAGCTGAGATTGCGCCACTGCACTCCAACCTGGGCGACAGAGCCAGACTATGTCTCAAAAATAAATACACAGGCCGGGCATGGTGGCTCACTCCTGTAATCCCAGCACTTTGGGAGGCCGGGTGGGGGGGGGGGGGGCGGGTGCGGATCACAAGGTCGGAAGTTCAAGACCAGCCTGGCCAATATGGTGAAACCCCGTCTCTACTAAAAATACAAAATCAGCTGGGCGTGGTGGCGGGCACCTATAGTCCCAGCTACTCGGGAGGCTGAGGCAGGAGAATTACTTGAACCCAGGAGGCAGAGGTCAGTGAGCCGAGATTACGCCACTGCACTCCAGCATGGGCGACAGGGTGAGACTCCATCTCAAAAAAATAAAATAAAATAAAATATAAATAAATACATAAAATAAAATACGATTTCCTTACCAATTTAAGGAAAATGAGTGGAATGTGAGGTACTCTGTGAAAGAAAGTTGTAATTTTGGAATAAGTTCAAAAGAATGAATGAGTACACAGATTTAGTATATAGGCCAAGCTTAAAACTCTCCCTGAATGTGACAATCAAATATTGCATAACCAAACTCTTTTAAATCTTCTTTTATTGCTCTGTAGAGTTGAACCAGTTTATGTATCCACTAAAATCTCAAGGAATTGTTCTTTAGCTTTAGATTCTCAGGTACAATGAATAGAAGAGGACTTCCTGCTATTATTTATTAATTTTATTTTACTTTATTTTATTTTTTGAGACACAGTCTCATTCTGTCACCCAGGCTGGAGTGCAATGGTGCAGTCTCTGCTCACTGCAGCCCCCATGTCTTGGGCTCAAGTGATCCTTCCATCTCAGCCTCCCGAGTAGCTGGGACTACAGACACTCACAACTACGCCCTACTAATTTTGTTTATTTTTTGTAGAGATAATGTCTCACTATGTTGCCCAGGCTGATCTCAAACTCCTGGACTCAAGCTATTCCCCTACCTCAGCCTCCCAAAGTACTGGGATTACAGATGTGAGCCACCATGCCTGGCTATTTCTTATTTTTAATTTGCTTTTTAATTGCACATATATTCGATAGAATACATCTAGAGTGTTTTAAAACAAAAGTCACAATCTTAGCTCACTCAAGTCTGTTTCATATTTAAACAATTGTTTTTCTATCTCTGAAGTGATTGTTTTGGTAGAAGCATTTCATATTGTTTGAGGGAGCAATAATCCATTGATTATAGCAGTATACATATGAAATGGCTGGGATTTAGAAGCAATATTGTCATGGTTGTAAAGAAAAATAAGTCTAAAAACTGTAAAATCTTGGAACAGAGTATACTGGTTAATTGAGCTTCTGATTAAGTATGGGTTAATGAGAGACACTTTTTGTTTGAAATCTCTCTAAATTGCCTCAGTCCATTTTCGTGCTTTAATAAGTAGTCTCATGAACATAACTGAATATTCTCTTAACTGATTCAGCACCCTGTAATGCCTCAGGACCATTACTCTGAACATCATATATAACTCTATAAAGTACTACAGCCACAGAAGGTATAGGAGTTTAGGATGACTCATTAGACATGTCTTTACTTTAAAAAATAAATCCCTGTAATCTGTGCATTTCATTGTATGTAAATTTATGTTAATTTAGTAAATGCCTGTTACATATCATAGAATAATAAACTGCTCAATCATTTAATCCATAGAGACTTTTGAGATTATGAAATTCAATGTCATTATTTAACAGATGAGAAAACTAAGAATAAGAAAATAACAAGAAGGATTAATACAACTAGGGCTACCATCAATGTCTCCTGATTGCAAATCAGGTGGCCTTTTACACCATGCTGCAACTTTCAAATGATTTGGAGTTCCTGTCATTTCTCTCCCTTCCCCCATACAAGTGGAGTTCATTTTCAAAATTAATTATTTGAGATTTTTGGATAAATGAACATAAGCTCCACTAAAATATCAGCTCCGCTGAAGCAAGGATTTGTCTGTTTTGTTCACTGATGTAGTCTCAGCATCTAGAATAGTGCCTGCCCCTTAGAAAGCCCTCAATAAATGTACGTTGAATGAAAGAATGAAATAAAGATTGAATATCTATTACACACAAGATAACTTGATTTTGAGCTCATAGGTTGAATATAGCTCTATATTAATCTGTTTAACAGTCATTAGGATTCACAGTATACAGATTACAAGCTAAAATCATTATAGTCAAAACTTTGAGTATACAATGAGCAAATGAAGAAGAAATATTAAATAATTGTTGTGGTAAAACATTTTGAGCTTTTGTTTTTGGTTCTCTTCTGTTTTGTGTACCTCAGTTTCAAACACCAAGTGTTGGAAGTTAGAAGCCCAGATATTGTTAAACTTTAAGAATATTATTTGGATAGTCAAATGAGTCATCAAAATAGAAAATGTCAAAACTCAGCTTTGCAAAGCTGTTTTAAAATATAAATTCTAGGCTGGGCGTGGTGGTTTACGCCTGTAATCCCAGCACTTTTGGAGGCCGAGGCGGGCAGATCAAGAGGTTAGGAGTTTGAGACCAGACTGACCAACATGGTGAAACACCGTCTCTACTAAAAATACAAAAATTAGCCAGGTGTGGTGGCGCTCGCCTGTAATCCCAGCTACTCAGTAGGCTGAGGCAGGAGAATTGCTTGAACCCAGGAGGCAGAGGTTGCAGTGAGCCGAGATCACACCACTGCACTCCAGCCTGGCAACAGAGCGAGACTGTCTTAAAAAAAAAAAAAAAAAAAAAATCTGAATAATTGTCAAACACATCTCTTTAAATAAGGCAAACAAGGCTTTAAACTTTAAAACTAGGGAGAACAAAATATTCTTGGACACTACGCCCTATGCTTCTTATCACATATGTGCTTTGACTCAGAATTGACGAGTCTGCCAAAGCATCTGCTAAGTCCTTCCGTATGAAGAAATACCTCAAAAACAAACCCAAGGATGAATGAAATGCAAAAGCCCTTTACCTAAGAACCACTTTAGGGTCAGTCGTGGTGGCTCATGCCTGTAATCCCAGCACTTTGGGAGGCTGAGGCGGGCAGATCACTTGAGGTCAGGAGTTCGAGACCAGCCTGGCCAACATAGTGAAACCCCGTCTCTACTAAAAATACAAAAAAAAAAAAAAAATTAGCCGGGCATGGTGATGGGTGCCTAAAATCTCAGCTACCGGGGAGGCTGAGACAGGAGAATCGCTTGAACCCGGGAGGTAGAGGTTGCAGTGAGCCGAGATCGCGCCACTACACTCCAGTCTAGGCAATAGAGCCAGACTCTGTCTCAAATAAAAAAAAAAAAAAAGAAGAAGAAAAAAGAACCAGTTTAAAATTTAACAGTGTACGAATGTAAGGTTGTATGGCCACACAGGAGTATTTGGACTCAGAGTCATGGTTTCAATAACAGCAAATCAGAAGATGGTATTTATCTTACAATGCACAAAAATAAATAAATAAATAAAATTTTTAAAATTGCGTCTTGGGAGGCCAAGGCAGGAGAATCACTTGAGCCCAGGAGTTTGTGACCAGCCTGGGCAACATAGCAAGACCCTGTCTTTATTTAAAATTTTTTAAAAAGTGGTATTTATCTATGAAAATGGACCCATCTGTTATTCCCTTTATATTCCAGAAAATGTTTTAGGTCTCCAGAATTCCTTGAATTTCTTTTTTCTTTTTCTTTTTTTTTAAAGTGTATAGTTTTATTTATTGTTTATCTTTTTATTTATTTTTATTTTTTATTTTTTGAGATAGAGTCTCACTCTTGTTGCCCAGGCAGGAGTGCAGCGGCCCAGTCTTGGCTTGCTGCAACCTCCACCTCCTGGGCTCAAACGATCCTCCAACCTTAGCCTCCCAAGTAGCTGGGACTATAGGCATGTGCCACCACATCCAGCTAATTTTCTGTATTTTTCGTAGAGACAGGGTTTTGCAATTTGTTGAGGCTAGCCTTGAACTGCTGAGCTCAAGCAATCCTCCCACCTCAGCCTCCCAAAGTGCTGGGATTATGGGTGTGAGCCACCACAACTGGCATATTTATTTTTTAAATATAATTTCAATTTTTATTTTTCAACTTATATTTTAGATTCAGGGAGTACATGTGCGGATTTGTTACCTGAGTACATTTTGTGGTGCTGAGGTTTGGGGCACAAATGATCCCATCACCCAGGTACTGAACATCATACCTAACAGTTACTTTTTCAACCTTTGCTTCTCTCCCTCCCCACTTAGTAGTCCACAGTTTCTATGATTGCCATTTTTATGTCCATATGTACCCACTTATAAGTGAGAATATGGGTATTTGCTGTTCTGTTCCTGTGTTAATTATCTTAAGATAATGCCCCCCTGCCAACTGCATCCATGTTGCTGCAAAGGACATAATTTCGTTCTTTTCTATGGCTGTGTAGTAGTCCATGGCGTATATGTACCACATTTTATTTATCCAATCAACCATTGATAGGCACCTAGATTGATTCCATGTCTTTGCTATTGTGCTGTGTCTTTTTGGTGGAGTGATTTGTTTTCTTTTGGATATATACTCAGTAATGGATTGCTGGGTTGATTGGTAGTTCTGTTTTCAGTTCTTTGAGAAATCTCCAAATTGCTTTCCACAGTGGCTGAACTAATTTACATTCCCACCAACAGTGTATAAACATTCTCTTTTCCCTGAAACCTCGCCAGCATCTGTTATTTTTTGACTCTTTAATAATAGCCATTATAGTTGGCATGAGATGGTATCTCATTGTGGTGTCCATTCGCATTTCTCTGACAATTAGTGATTTGGAGCATTTTTTCATGTTTGTTAGTCAATTGTATGTCTGTTCATGTCTTTTCCCATTTTTTAATTGGGTTATTTGGGTTTCACTTATTTAATCGTTTAAGTAAGTTCCTTATATATTCTGGATATTATACCTTTGTTGGGTATGTAGTTTGTGAATATTTTCTCCCATTCTGTAGATCATCTGTTAGTCTGTTGATAGGTTCTTTTGCTATGCAGAAAAGAAGCTCTTTAGTTTAATTAGGTCCCACTTGACCTAATTAAATCCTAATTAATCAATCTTGAGTTAATTTTTGTTTATGGAGACAGATAGGAGTCCAATTTCATTCTTCTGCATATGGCTAGCCAGCTATCCCAGCACCATTTATTGAATAGGGAGTCATTTCCCTATTGCTTATTTTTGTCATCTTTGTTGAAGATCAGATCACTGTAGATGTGTGGCTTTATTTCTGGGTTCTCTAATCAGTTCTGTTGGTCTATGTGTCTGTTTCTGTACCACTACCATGCTGTTTTGGTTACTGTAGTGTTATAGTAAAGTTTGAAGTCAGGTAATATGATGTTCCAGCTTTGTTCTTTTTGCATGGGATTGCTTTGGCTATTTGAGGTCTTTCTTGGTTCCATGTGAATTTTAGAATAGTTTTTTCTAATTCTGTCAAAAAATAACATTGGTAGTTTGATAGGAATAGTGTCAAATAAATAGATTGCTTTGGACAGTATGGGCATTTTAACAATATTGATTCTTCTAGTCCATGAGCATAGAATGTCTTTCCATTTGTTTATATCACTTTTGATTTCTTTTAGCAGTGTTGTGTAGTTCTTCTTCTTTTGTAGATCTTCTTGAAAGATCTTGGAAATCTTTCACCTCCTTGGTTAGATGTATTCTTGGGGTTTTGTATGTGTGTGTGTGGCTATTGTAAATGGGATTGCATTCTTGATTTGGCTCTCAGCTTGAACATTATTGGTGTATAGAAATGCTGTTGATTTTTGTACATTGATTTTGTATCCTCAAACTTTTCTGAAGTCTCAACTTTTATTTTAGAATCAGGAGGTACATGTGGTGGTTTGTTACCTGTGTATATTTTGTGACACTGAGGTTTGGGGTATGAATGATCTTGCCACCCTGATAGTGAGCATAGTACCCGATAGGTAGTTTTCAGCCATTGCCCCCCTCTTTCCCTCCCTCCTCTAGTAGTCCCCAGTGTCTATTGTTCTCGTCTTTATGTTCATATGTACCCGATGTTTGGCTCCCACTTCTAAATGAGAACATGTGGTATCTGGTTTTCTGTTCCTGCATTAATTTGCTTAGAATAATGGCCTCCAGCTGCATCCATGTTACTGCAGAAAACATTATTTCATTCTTTTTTTTTTTTTTTTTTTTCTGAGACAGGGTGTCACCCTGTCACCCAGGCTGGAGTGCAATGGTGCAATGTTGGCTCACTGCAACCTCCGCCTCCCAGGTTCAAGCAGTACTCCTGCCTCAGCCTCCCGAGTAGCTGGGATTACAGGCATGCGCCACCATGCTCGACTAATTTTTGTATTTTTAGTAGAGATGGAGTTTCACCATGTTGGCCAGGCTAGTCTCGAACTCCTGACCTCAGGTGATCCGCCTACCTCAGCCTCCCAAAGTGCTGAGATTACAGGCATGAGCCACTGCGTCCGGCTGTGTATCATAATTCTTGTCCCTTATCTTTTATATCCCTAGTTATAGGGATATTGGAAGAAATAAAAAAAAAAACATTGGTGTGAAATGCTTTAAACCTTAAAATCAGTGATAAAAATACAAGGTGACACTTCATTTCCTAGGAGTTAGTAAGTTAAACATTAACCTAAAGTGTCATTTACCGCTGGAGGTTTGTTTGTACATTTAGCCCATTGTTAACTAGATTATCTTTGGGAAATGCAATGAAAGTACAGATTCTGTCCCTGCTCTCAACATTTTTAAAATTAAATGATCAGGAAAAGTTGGCATGAAAAGTGCCTTTCCAAGGCTTTGGTGCAGAAAACCAGACCCTCACAACATCTCTGACCTTTGTGGTCTCAAATTGACCTTGAATCCTAAAAGTTCTGCAGTCAGGAGCCTGCACATGCCATGTACGTTGCCTGCCTAGCCAGTTCTCAGATCCTTTGCTTCCCAAAGGCCTTAACTTCCTAGTCTAAGTAGTTGGGAAGGAGTCTCCTACCTGCATTCTCCATGTCCAAAGCATTTTCACCACCTAGTGATCCCTCCTACTACATACCTTCTGGTTCAGAAGAGGTTAAAGTTGATTTGAAAAGAAATCTGAGCTCAAGAGTACAGAAAGCCAAATTTCTACCCAGAAAACAATATTTCCAGGGTACATGTAAGATTTTTGTTTTGTTTTAACGTGGAGTTTTGCTCTGTTGCCCAGGCTGGAGTGTAGTGGCACAACCTTGGCTCACTGCAACCTCCGCTTCCTAGGTTTCAAGCGATTCTCCTGCCTCAGTCTCCAGAGTAGCTGGGATTACAAGCACCCACCACCACGCTCAGCTATTTTTTTTTTATTTTTAGTAGAGACAGGGTTTCACCATGTTGGCCAGACTGGTCTCGAACTCCTGACCTCAGGTGATCCACCCCCCTCGGCCTCCCAAAGTTCTGAGGTTACAGTCATGAGCCGCTGCGCCTGGCCTAGACTCTTATTAATAGGTGTGTTAGTTCAGAAATAAGGAAAGATTAAGAAATAAAGAGATGATAGGAAAGCTGTCCTTTCAACACACTTTGGGAAGTACAAACATGTTTGTGTGTGTGTGTTTCTTACAAAGCGCTGTTCTCAGTGGACATTTGTGATAATGAGGATTAAGGGACTTAGAGGCAAATTCAAATATACCCAAGACTGGAGCTCCAAAAAGATGAGTCTTCATTTACCTTAATCTTTTTTTTGTTTGTTTATTTTGACACAGAGTCTCACCTCTGCTGCCCAGGCTGGAATGCAATGGCATGATCTCAGCTCACTGCAACCTCTGCCTCCCAATTCTCCTGCCCCAGCCTCCCAAGTAGCTGGGATTACAGGCACCCGCCATCATGCCTGGCTAATTTTTGTAGAGACAGGGTTGTACCATGTTGGCCAGGCCGGCCTTGAACTCCCGACCTCAGGTGATCCACCCGCCTCGGCCTCCCAAAGTGCTGGGATTACAGGTGTGATCCACCGTGCCTGGACTCATTTCCCTTAGTCTTTACCCATCTTTTCTCTAGTTACTTTTTTCTGGACACCATGAACTCATTTCTGTTAACATTTCCATCTATCATTGTAATCTAGAAGAGGGCGCTTAAGTCTGTCTCTAAAATTCATTCATTCAGCAAGTACTTACTAAATTCCTTTTCTTTTCTAACACTGTGACAAACCACTTTAATACAAATATAAATTAGACATTATCCTTGGCTTCAAAGAACTTATGATTTTGTGGCAATTCAGGAAAAAAGGAAAAAGAAATTTCCAGCCATAAAAAAGAATGAAATCAAGCTGAGCATGGTGGCTCATGCCTGTAATCCCAGCACTTTGAGAGACCTAGGTGTGTGGATTGCTTGAGTCCAGGAGTTCGAGACCAGCCTGGGCAACATGGCAAAACCCCATCTCTACTAAAAATACAAAAAAAATTAGCCGGGCATGGTGGCTTATGCCTGCGGTTCCAGCTACTCAGGAGACTAAGGTGAGAGAATCACGTGAGCCCAGGAGATCAAGGCTGCAGTGAGCTGGGATCACATTATTGCACTCCAACCTGGGCAACCGAAGTGAGACCCTGTTTCAAAAAAAAAAAAAAAAGAGGGCCGGGTGTGGGGGCTCACGCCTGTAATCCCAGCACTTTGGGAGGCCGAGGCAGGTGGATCACCTGAGGTCAGGAGTTTCAGCCTAGCCTGGCTAACATGGCGAAACTCCTTTTCTACTAAAATTACAAAAATTAGCCAGGCACTAGTGGTGCACGCCTGTAATCCCAGCTACTCGGGAGGCTGAGGCATGAGAATCACTTGAGCCTGGGAGGCAGAGGTTGCGGTGAGCTGGGATCGTGCCACTGCACTTCAGCCTGGATGACAGGGTGATACCCTGTCTCAGAAAAAAAAAAAAAAAAAGAATGAAATAATGTTTTCTGCAGTAACATGGATGCAGCTGGAGGCCATTATTCTAAGCAAATTAATGCAGGAACAGAAAACCAGATACCACATGTTCTCATTTAGAAGTGGGAGCCAAACATCGGGTACATATGAACATAAAGACGAGAACAATAGACACTGGGGACTACTAGAGGAGGGAGGGAAAGAGGGGGGCAATGGCTGAAAACTACCTATCGGGTACTATGCTCACTATCAGGGTGGCAAGATCATTCATACCCCAAACCTCAGTGTCACAAAATATACACAGGTAACAAACCACCACATGTACCTCCTGATTCTAAAATAAAAGTTGAGACTTCAGAAAAGTTTGAGGATACAAAATCAATGTACAAAAATCAACAGCATTTCTATACACCAATAATGTTCAAGCTGAGAGCCAAATCAAGAATGCAATCCCATTTACAATAGCCACACACACACATACAAAACCCCAAGAATACATCTAACCAAGGAGGTGAAAGATTTCCAAGATCTTTCAAGAAGATCTACAAAAGAAGAAGAACTACACAACACTGCTAAAAGAAATCAAAAGTGATATAAACAAATGGAAAGACATTCTATGCTCATGGACTAGAAGAATCAATATTGTTAAAATGCCCATACTGTCCAAAGCAATCTATTTATTTGACACTATTCCTATCAAACT
Organism: Homo sapiens; assembly: GCF_000001405.40. NCBI lineage: Eukaryota > Metazoa > Chordata > Mammalia > Primates > Hominidae > Homo > Homo sapiens. The sequence goes on along the minus strand of NC_000010.11, from coordinate 100,422,442 downwards.
ACCAATGTTATTTTTTGACAGAATTAGAAAAAACTATTCTAAAATTCACATGGTAGCACGTGCCTATAATCCCAGCTACTTGGGAGGCTGAGGCAGGAGAATAGCTTGAAAAAAGCTTAAACCCGGGAGGCAGAGGTTGCAATGAGCCAAGATCATGCCACTGCACTCCAGCCTGGGCAACAGAGCGAGACTCAGTCTCACAAAAAAAAAAAAAAAAAAAAATTAGCCATGTGTGGTGGTGCACGCCTGTCATCCCAGCTACTAGGGAGGCTGAGGCAAGTAGCTGAACCTGGGAGTCAGAGGTTGCAGTGAGCCAAGATTGCACCACTGCACTCCAGCCTGGGCAACAGAGTGAGACTCTGTAAAAATAAAAAATAAAAATAAAAATAAAAATAAAAAAAAAACTAAACTCATCCCCCAAACCTCTTCTTCATTCTCCATGTCCCAAACTCAGTGAGTGATATCACCATAAACCCGGTTGCTGAGAAATACAATGTAACCAACAGTTTTGTTTTGTTTGAGACAGGGTCTGGTGTGATCATGACTCATTGCAGCCTCCACCTCCCAGGCTGAAGCCATCCTCCCACCTTAGCCTCCCTAGTAGCTTGGACTACAGACATGCACCACCACGCTTAACCAATTTTATTTTATTTTTCTGTAGAGGTGGGGTCTCACTATGTTGCCCAGGCTGCTCTCAAACTCCTGGGCTCAAGCGATCCTCCCTCCCTGGCCTCCCAAAATGCTGGGATTACAGGCGTGAGCCACCAAGCCCAGCCAACACATAGCTTTTTTTGTTTTGTTTTGTTTTTTGAGATGGAGTCTCACTCTGTCACCCAAGCTATAGTGCAGTAGCATAATTTTGGCTCACTGCAACCTCCACCTCCCAGGTTTAAGAAATTCTCCTCCCTCAGCCTCCCTACTAGCTGGGATTACAGGCGTCCACCACCACAGCCTGGCTAATTTGTTTGCTTTTTAGTAGATATGGGGTTTTACCATGTTGACCACGCTGGTCTTGAACTCCTGACCTCAAGTGATCTGCCCACCTCAGCCTCCCAATGTGCTGGGATTACAGGCATGAGCCACCATGCCCGGCCTTAACACATAGTTTTTATTTTATTTTTTGAGACAGAGTTTCGCTCTTGTTGCCCCAGGCTGGAGTGCAATGGCACGATCTCGGCTCACTGCAACCTCTGCCCCCCAGGTTCAAGTGATTCTCCTGCCTCAGGCTCCAGAGTAGCTGGGATTACAGGCACCCACCACTATGCCTGGCTAATTTATATATATATATATTTTTTTTTTCTTTCTTTCTTTCTTTTCTTTTCTTTCTTTTTTTTTTTTTTTTTTTTTTTTTGAGACGGAGTTTTGCTCTGTCGCCCAGGCTAGAGTGCAGTGGCGCAATCTCGGTTCACAGCAAGCTCCACCTCCCGGGTTCACACCATTCTCCTGCCTCAGCCTCACCCTCCCGAGTAGCTGGGACTACAGGCATCTGCCACCACGCCCGGCTAATTTTTTTTTGTATTTTTAGTAGAGACAGGGTTTCACCGTGTTTGCCAGGATGGTCTCGATCTCCTGAGGCCTCCCAAAGTGCTGGGATTACAGGCATGAGCCACCGCGCCCAGCCTTAACACATCGTTTTTAAACACCACTATGTGCCACACACCCTGCTACAGCATGTACCTAAGTAAGATGTTCAAGATAAATCCCTGTCCTAGGGTTGTTTATAATCTTGTGGGGAAGGCAGCTAAACAAATACTTGCACAAATAACTACTTAGTCATAATTGAAAGCGCTACCAAGGAAAAGGTAAGGAATCATCTTTGACGCTTTCTCCTCCTGCATTGAATCACCAGGTGCTGTTAATTCTAACTCCGAAGTCTCCAGATTGTCCTCTTCTCTCCACTTCACTGCTATCAGTATCTCAACTTAGACTACCGAAATACCTTCCTAACTGGCTCCCCTGTGTCTATCCTTGCCCCCACAGTCTATTTACCATGCTAGATCCATAGTGATCTTTTAAAAATGCAATTCTGCGTGTCACCTTCCTGCTTAAAACACTTCATTGGTTTTCTATTGCCCTTGGGATAAAGTCTACACTTCTTACCATGGCTTGAGAGGCCCTCTATGTCCTGGTCCCTCCTTGCTTATATCTTTACCTTACCGCTAGCCACCCTTCTCCTAGTTCTATTTCTGTGAGGCCCTACTTTTAGGGCCTCACTGTATACTTTTCCCTCTGCCTAGAGCACTCTGCTGCCTCCTCTCTCTTCTCCCACTGACTTTTCACTTAGCTAATTCCTCTTTTCTTCAAGTCTCCAAAAAGATTACCAGGTCAGCTTCCCGTATTATACCCTCTCCTAGCCCCTGTGGTTTCTGCTTTTGTAACATTCATCATATTTGTACTGTGGTGCTCTATGAGGACCGGTACCATGATTGTCTAGTTCACTGCCATCTCCCTAGCAGTACCTGGCCCAAGGCAGGCATTCAATAGATATTTCTTTTCTTTTCTTTCCTTTTCTTTTGAGACAGAATCTCCCTCTGTCACCCAGGCTGGAGTGCAGTGATGTATTCACAGCTCACTGAAACCTCGAACTCCTGGGCTTAAGTTATGCTCCCGCCTCCCAAGTAGCTGGGGCTACAGGCATGCAGCACCACACATGACTAACTTTTTTAGTTTTTGTTTTTTAGAGACAGGGTCTCGCTATGTTGCCCTGGCTGGTCTTGAACACCTGGCCTCAAGCAATCCTCCTGCCTCAGCTTCACAAAGTGCTGAGATTACAGGCATGAGTCACCATGTCCTGCCTCAATAGATCTATCTTTCTTTCCTTCCTCCTTCCTTCTTTCCTTCCTTCCTTTCTTTCTTCCTTCCTTTCTTTCTTCTTTCTTTCTTTCTCTTTCTTTCTTTCTTTCTTTTTCTTTCTTTTCTTCTTTCCCTCCCTCCCTCCCTCCCTCCCTCCCTCCCTCCCTTCCTTCCTTCCTTCCTTGCTGATTAAGATGAGGTCTGGCCACGTTACCCAGGCTGGTCTCGAACTCCAAGGGTCAAACGTTCTTCCCACCTCAGCCTCCCAAAGTGCTAGGATTATGGGTGTGAGCCACTGTGCCCAGCCTTCAGCCTTCTCAATAGATTTTTTTTTTTAAGCTACTGTATTGCTCTGTCACCCCAGGCTGGAGTGCAGTGGCATGATCTCGGCTCACTGCAAAGGGGTTCAAGCAATTCTCCTGCCTCAGCCTCCTGAGTAACTGGAATTACAGGCACACACCACCATGCTCATCTAATTTTTGTATTTTTAGTAGAGACAGGGTTTCACCACGTTGGCCAGGCTGGTCTTGAACTCCTGACCTCAGATGATCCACCCACCTTGGTCTCCCAAAGTGCTGAGATTACAGGTGTGAGCCACCGCGCCTGGCCAGGAGATGTTTAAAGGACTCTATCTTAAAAGCCTGCTGTCTTTCAGGCAATAGATGTGGTTTGTTTTGTTTTGTTTTGTTTTCAGAGATGGGGTCTCCCACTTTGTTGCCCAGGCTGGACTTGAACTCCTGGACTCAAGATATCTTCTCCCCTCAGCCTCCCGAGTATCTGGAAATATGAGCTCGTGCCTCCAGCCCAGCTCCATGTGTGTACTTAAACACTTACTGGAAGCTATACCACTGTGGGGTTTTGGGGGTGTTTTACTTCCCAACCTGTGTAGGGGAATTGCTTTTTTCCAGCAGGTATTTGGAACCTCAAAGTCGCCTTCAATCACGCTATATAAGCACTAACTCTACACATAATTTTTCTTTTTTCTTTTTAAATTGTGCACGTGTGAGTGTGGAGATGGGAGTTCCACCATGTTGCCAAGGCTGGTCTCGAATTCCTGAGCTCAAGCTATCTGCCCACCTCTGCCTCCCAAAATGCTGGGATTGCAGGCATGAGCCATTGTGCCTGGACTTTTCTTTACTTCTTTCCTTTCCTTCCTTCTTTCCTTCCTTCCTTCCTTCCTTCCTTCCTTCCTTCCTTCCTTCCTTCTTTCTTTCTTTCTTTCTTTCTTTTTCTTTCTTTTTCTTTCTTTCTCTCTCTCTCTTTATCTCTCTCTCTCTTTCTTTTTTTCCTTTTCTTTCCTTTCTTTCATTTTTTTGAGAGTTGCCCAGGCTGGAGTGCAGTGGCATGATCTTGGCTCACTGCAACCTCTGCCACCTGGGCTCAAACCATCCTATCACCTCAGCCTCCCAAGTAGCTGGGACTACAGGCATGTGCCACCACATCCAGCTAATTTTTGTATTTTTTTGTAGAGACGGGGTTTCGCCATGTTGCCCAGGCTGGTCTTGAACTCATGGGCTCAAGTGATCTGCCCACCTCAGCCTCCCAAAGTGCCAGGATTATAGGTGTGAGTCACGGCACCCATCCTACCTATAATTTTTAAACAAAAGGCAGAAACTAGCCAGGCAAAGATAGTAGAGACAAGATAGTAACAGATTTCACCCTACAATTTTTTTTTTATCCTAGCTCAGCTGGTCATTTGCCATATGAACTAGAGAAATCCCTTTCTTAGTTTTTCCACATTAAGTGGATATCATAGTATGAGCTTATTTTACCAAAGAGAAAAAATAATAATAATTAAAACGTAGTGCCGGCTGTGGTGGCTCAAGCCTGTAATCCCAGCACTTTGGGAGGCCAAGGCAGGCAGATCACCTGAGGTTAAGAGTTCGAGACCAGCTTGACCAACATGGAGAAACCCCGTCTCTACTAAAAAATATACAAAATTAGCTGAGCATGGTGGTACATGCCTATAATCCCAGCTACTCGGGAGGCTGAGGCAGGAGAATTACTTGAACCCGGGAGGTGTAGGTTGCAGTAAGCCGAGATTGCGCCATTGCACTCCAGCCTGGGCAACAAGAGTGAAACTCCATCTCAAAACAAAAAACAAAAACGTAGTATAAGAACCCTTATTGTTTTTCAGATTTAAAAGAAGTGTTTTCTAATGTTGAATTAACATTAATTCAGATTATTCCCATATTCTCCATTATGAAAGTAAATCAATATTGTTCTTTCTCTTCCTCTGCATTTTCACTCCTTCCCCTTCTTGCTTTCCTCTTGCTTCTCCTGCCCTCCTCTTTCCTCCCTCTTCTGCCCTTCCCTTCTTCCCTTCATAAACAACTTTAATCCAAAAGCCTAATGGTAAGCAAGGTAGATGTCTTCATGACAGGAGTGGTTGTGGGGACGAGTGGTGCTTAAAATCAGGTGCTGGAGTCTAAGCAGAGGAGAAGCGACCAGGCAGGGGTGGGTAAAGAGAGCAGCCATGTGGAGGGGAAGCTGGTGTGCATGGCTGGATCCCAAGTGCTGTGAGGAGACATCCATTTGCTGAAGAATAGGATAGTCAATAGTCGGAAAGTATCTCCCCACCAAATAATTAGTAAGTACCCGTCCTCCGCCACCTTAATCAATTGAACCAAATTACTATCCCCAGTAATGGGACAAATATAAATCACGTGCCACCGGATGGGATGCAGTGAGAACACAGCATCGGTGCCTTGGTGACAGTTCTGACAAAGATGCGTAAGCTGAGTCTCATCATGAGGATACATTAGTCAAGCCCACATTGAGGGATGTTCTAAAAAACAAGTGGCCATTAAGCTAGAAATGTCAAGATTGTGAAAGTCAGGAAAAGACTGTTCTAAATTGAAGGCAACTAAGGAGACATGATGACTGTATGCAATGCATGATTCCAGATTGGATTCTTCTGCTAAAAAGGACATTCTTGGGACGACTGAACGAGGCCTGAGTTTATGGTTGTAATGTGGTTATATAGGAGAATGCTTGTTGGAAACACACGCTAAAGAATGCAAAGGTGTGAGTTTCTATCTTTTTGAGAGAAAATAATAATAAAAAGAAAGAAAGAATACAAACATGATGGGCTAAACTGGCAACTAGCTTTCAAATGGTTCAGAAAAAGATAAGGTTCTTTGAACTGTACTTGCAACTTCTCTAAAGTTTGAGATTGTCTATATTAAAAAGATAACATCTACAGTTGATATTAAAAATTAACAAATAGAGGCCAGGTGTGGTGGCTCACATCTGTAATTCCAGCCCTTTGGGAGGCCGAGGTGGATGGATCACCTGACGTCAGCAGTTCAAGACCAGCTTAGCCAACATGCTGAAACCCCATCTGTACTAAAAATACAAAAATTAGCTGGGTGTGGTGGCACAGGCCTGTAATCTCAGCCACTTGGGAGGCTGAGGCAGGAGAGTCGCTTGAACCTGGGAGGCAGAGGTTGCAGTGAGACGAAATTGCGCCACTGCACTCCATTCAGCCTGGGTGACAGAGCAAGACTCCGTCTCACACACACACACACACATACACACAAAAGACTAGGAACTTGGAACCCCAAAATATCTTGCCCAAATGTCCCCAGATCCACTTCCAGAGCCTGCGTGGACCTCTTCCCTGGGTCTGTCCTCCCAAGGATGTATTGTACCCCCTGTGCACACCTCACTAGACCCAAGGGGGTGGCTGCTTGATTGTTGTGGAATGAGACTTAAACATGGGACCTGCAGAGTTCACATGAATGAGCATCAGAACTCTCCTGGTGTGGACAGAGCTGGGGCAGAGAGTGAAGGGGTCTGGAGGCTGGTGCTGGGGCCAGCTCGTCCCACACCACCACATTCTGGTGTGGGACTCTCAGGAACTTGAGAATTCTAAACCCAAATCTAGCCTTCTAGGTTATGAAGGCATATGTGTCAAGGGAAAGGGAAAGAATATATCTTTCTCTTATTTTATTTAACTGTTTCTTAGCTCGATTTGAAAATTTTTAATATTTAAACACATCTTTGTTCTTTTGTGCTCCTGCAAATGGTGGTTTGAAAATCCTCATGGCGACCTTTGTTTTCTACCTTATCATCATGAAAAGAAACATTAGGAAAGTGTAATTTAAAAAGCCCACTTGACCTGTCTGTGCCTTTCGTTACAATTTTTTTTTTTTTTTTTTTTTTGAGATGGAGCCTCGCTGTGTCGCCCAGGCTAGAGTGCGGTGGCACAATCTTGCCTCACTGCGACCTCCACCTCCCAGGTTCAAGCAATCCTCCTGCCTCTGCTCCCGAGTAGCTGGGATTATAGGTGCCCACCACCACACCCAGCTAATTTTTTGTATTTTCAGTAGAGCCGGGGTTTCACCATGTTTGTCCGGCTGGTCTCGAACTCCTGACCTCAAGTGATCCACCCACCTCAGCCTCCCAAAGTGCTGGGATTACAGGAGTGAGCCTCTGTGCCCTGCCTTTACAATATTTGTTATACTTCTCATAAGCATTTCATAAGTCAAGTTGGCATAGGAATAATTCGGCCATGGAAACAACCAGTATGTGCCAAGCAGTCACTTTAGAGAAGGTCAGTGACTGGAGATGGCACCACCTGGTTAAATGAGACATCACTCTCTTTCGCACTTAAGGATGGGCATGTCATTATCTCAACTCTATCCAGATTGATCAGAACTGCTGCGTGATCTACCAAGTGATTCACTTTGGTCTACAAAAACGAAGGTATCATGTTCAATTTACTGATGCTTCATGTTTTCATGTCTTTTTTTTTTTTTTTTTTTTGAGACAGGCTCTCCTTGAGTCACCCAGGCTGGAGTGCAGTGATGTGATCTCGGCTCACTGCAACCTTTGCCTCCTGAGTTCAAGCGATTCCCCTGCCTCAGCCTCCTGAATAGCTGGGATTACAGGTGCGTGCCACCACAGCCCAGCTAATTTTTGTATTTTTAGTAGAGATGGGGTTTCACCATGTTGCCCAGGCTGGTCTTGAACTCCTGACCTCAGGTGATCAGCCCGCCTCTGCCTCCCAAAGGGCTGGGATTACAGGTATGAGCCACCACGCTCGGCAGATGCTTGATATTTTCAAAATTTGGCCAAAATTTGTATTTTTGTGAAAAGTCTGAATTGAAACTAATCTGATTCTGTCTCTCCTTTCCTCCCTTCTTTCTTTTTCTCCTATCTTCCCTCCTTCCATCTTCCATTTATTTGCTCCACAAAAAGAAAGCTATTGGGAATTTCTTCTGTCTTGGAACGTAAACAGACTTTTTAGGAAGAAAGCAAATTAGTTTATAGACCCAGAGTCCAGGACTTTTGCTTTTTTCTTTCTTGCTTTTGTTTTTAAAAAATGTTTTATGGGCTGGGTGCGGTGGCTCACACCTATAATCCCAGCAGTTTGGGAGGCCGAGGCAGGAGGATCATGAGATCAAGAGATTGAGACCATCCTGGCCAATGTGGTGAAACCTCATCTCTACTAAAAATAAAAAAATAGCTGGGCGTGGTGGCGTGTGCCTGTAGTCCCAGGTACTCGAGAGGCTGAGACAGGAGAATCGCTTGAACCTGGGAGGCAGAGGTTGCAGTGAGCCGAGATCACGCCACTGCACTCCATCCTGGGCAACAAAAGCAAGACTCTATCTCAAAAAAAAAAAAAAAGTTTTATGTATTTAGAGATGGGTTCTCTCTATGTTGCCCAGGCTGGTCTTGAATTCCTGTGCTCAAGTGATCCTCCTGCCTCAGTCCTTCAAAGTGCTGGTATTATAGGTGTGACCTACCATGCCTGGCCAGGACTTTTGCTTTCTTCCCATTTCTTTTTTTGTTTTGTTTTGGTTTGTTTTGCTTTTTTGAGATGGAGTTTACTCATCGCCTAGGCTGGGGTGCAATGGCACGATCTCACTGTAACCTCTGCCTCCTGGGTTCAAGTGATTCTCATACCTCAGCCTCCCGAGTAGCTGGGGTTACAGGCACGTGCCACCACGCCCCAAAAAAGAATTTTTTTTGTATTTTTAGTAGAGACAGGGTTTCACCATGTTGTCCAGGCTGGTCTTGAACTCCTGACCTCAGGTCTTTTCTTCCCTGCCTTTTCTTCCCATTTCTAAGAGGGTCCCACCATGTGCTCTTAAGCAAGTTCTGTAGCTTCTTCATGACTCTTTTTTTCTCAATCGTTTACCACACAGAGCTGACACTTCTCTTACTATCCAAAGGAAATGGCTATCTGCATAAACTGAATAACGAAGGAAAAGTACAAAATGTCATGTGAATATGTTTTATTCATGAGAAACAGTATGAAAGCTGTGTACAGTGAAGAAAGAACTATTGGTCACAGAGGGTATTTTTTTCCAGCCACACCCACATACTGACAACAATCTCAGCCAGTTGTGCCCTATCTGATTACAAAGAGGTAACACAAAAAATTCTGGCTGCGCAGAGTCCTACTTCATATAAAAGGGACAATTTTGGAGGCAAAACTCATGGGTAGCAGAGCTCAAGGACAGTCACAAAGACAAGGGTCACTTCCAGTTCTAAGATTCCAGGATTTTAGTTTTTTGAGTTTGGGAGACAGGATGCTCAGCTGAGCAGGAGAAGCATCCTGCCTTCATCAGTTAGTGTTAAAATTGTGGCACAGCTCAGTCTGCCTGAGGTTTATTTTGATACCTTATCTTCATCTGGGTTTAAATCAGTTGTGGTCACATAGATTGCAAATATAGGATTTTTAGGCCGGACGCAGTGGCTCATGTCTGTAATCCCAACACTTTGAGAGGTTGAGGCGGGCGGATCACTTGAGGTCAGGAGTTTGAGACCAGCCTGGCCAACATAGTGAAACCCTGTCTCTACTAAAAATACAAACAAACCTGGCATGGTGGCAGGTGCCTGTAATCCCAGCTACTCAGGAGGCTGAGGCATGAGAGTCACTTGAACCCAGGAGGCGGAGGTTGCAGTAAGCCGAGGTTGCACCACTGCACTCCAGCCTGGGCGACAGAGCGAGATGGTCTGAAAAAAAACAAGTATAGGATTTTTAAAAGTGCATTAGCTTTGTTTGGATGAATACAAAAGGTTGGAAAGTATGCCTTTTACTGACGTCACAAAAAGCTTGACCAATATATTTTCCTTTTATTGAATTATTCATTTAATTACCAGGCTGGGGAGAAAGAAATAGAGATTTCTTTATTATTATTATTATTATTATACTTTAAGTTCTAGGGTACATGTGCATAACATGCAGGTTTGTTACATATGTATACATGTGCCATGTTGGTGTGCTGCACCCATTAACTCGTCATTTACATTAGGTATTTCTCCTAATGCTATCCCTCCCCCCTCCCCCCACCCCACAACAGGCCCGGGTGTGTGATGTTCCCTTTCCTGTGTCCATGTGTTCTCATTGTTCAATTCCCACCTATGAGTGAGAACATGTGGTGTTTGGTTTTTTGTCCTTGCAATAGTTTGCTGAGAATAACGGTTTCCAGCTTCATCCATGTCCCTACAAAGGACATGAACTCATGATTTTTTATGGCTGCATAATATTCCATGGTGTATATGTGCCACATTTTCTTAGTCCAATCTATCATTGTTGGACATTTGGGTTGGTTCCAAGTCTTTGCTATTGTGAATAGTGCTGCAATAAACATACGTGTGCGTGTGTCTTTATAGCAGCATGATTTATAATCCTTTGGGTATATACCCAGTAATGGGATGGCTGAGTCGAATGGCATTTCTAGTTCTAGATCCCTGAGGAATTGCCACACTGACTTCCACAATGGTTGAACTAGTTTACAGTCCCACCAACAGTGTAGAAGTGTTCCTATTTCTCCACATCCTCTCCAGCACCTGTTGTTTCCTGACTTTTTAATGATCACCATTCTAACTGGTGTGAGATGGTATCTCATTGTGGTTTTGATTTGCATTTCTCTGATGGCCAGTGATGATGAGCATTTTGTCATGTGTCTTTCGGCTGTGTAAATGTCTTCTTTTGAGAAGTGTCTGTTCATATCCTTCGCCCACTTGTTGATGGGGTTTTTTGTTTTTTTCTTGTAAATTTGTTTGAGTTCATTGTAGATTCTGGATATTAGCCCTTTGTCACATGAGTAGATTGCAAAAATTTTCTCCCATTCTGTAGGTTGCCTGTTCACTCTGATGGTAGTTTCTTTTGGTGTGCAGAAGCTCTTGAGTTTAATTAGATCCCATTTGTCAATTTTGGCTTTTGTTGCCATTGCTTTTGGTGTTTTAGACATGAAGTCCTTGCCCATGCCTTTTTCCTAAATAGTATTGCCTAGGTTTTCTTCTAGGGTTTTTATGGTTTTAGGTCTAACATTTAAGTCTTTAATCCATCTTCAATTAATTTTTGTATAAGATGTAAGGAAAGGATCCAGTTTCAGCTTTCTACATATGGCTAGCCAGTTTTCCCAGCACCATTTATTAAATAGGGAATCCTTTCCCCATTTCTTGTTTTTGTCAGGTTTGTCAAAGATCACATGGTTATAGATATGTGGCATTATTGCTGAGGGCTCTGTTCTGTTCCATTGATCTGTATCTCTGTTTTGGTACCAGTACCATGCTGTTTTGGTACCAGTACCATGCTGTTTTGGTTACTGTAGCCTTGTAGTATAGTTTGAAGTCAGGTAGCATGATGCCTCCAGCTTTGTGCTTTTGGCTTAGGATTGACTTGGTAATCCGGCCCCTTTTTTGGTTCCATATGAACTTTAAAGTAGTTTTTTCCAATTCTGTGAAGAAAGTCATGGTAGCTTGATGGGGATGGCATTGAATCTATAAGTTACCTTGGGCAGTATGGCCATTTTCACAATATTGATTCTTCCTACTCATGAGCATGGAATTTTCTTCCATTTGTTTGTATCCTCTTTTATGTCATTGAGCAGTGGTTTGTAGTTCTCCTTGAAGAGGTCCTTCACTTCCCTTGTAAGTTGGGTTCCTAGGTATTTTATTCTCTTTGAAGCAGTTGTGAATGGGAGTTCACTCATGATTTGGCTCTCTGTTTGTCTGTTATTGGCGTATAGGAATGCTTGTGATTTTCGCACATTGATTTTGTATCCTGAGACTTTGCTGAAGTTGCCTATCAGCTTAAGGAGATTTTGGGCTGAGACAATGGGGTTTTCTAGATATACAATCATGTCATCTGCAAACAGGGACAATTTGACTTCCTCTTTTCCTAATTGAATACCCTTTATTTCCTTCTCCTGCCTGATTGCCCTGGCCAGAACTTCCAACACTATGTTGACTAGGAGTGGTGAGAGAGGGCATCCCTGTCTTGTGCCAGATTTCAAAAGGAATGCTTCCAGTTTTTCTCCATTCAGTATGATATTGGCTGTGGGTTTGTCATAGATAGCTCTTATTATTTTGAGATACGTCCCATCAATACCTAATTTATTGAGAGTTTTTAGCATGAAGCGTTGTTGAATTTTGTCAAAGGTCTTCTGCATCTATTGAGATAATCATGTAGTTTTTGTCGTTGGTTCTGTTTATATGATGGATTATATTTATTGATTTGCGTATCTTGAACCAGCCTTGCATCCCAGGGATGAAGCCCACTTGATCATGGTGGATAAGCTTTTTGATGTGCTGCTGGATTTGGTTTGCCAGTATTTTGTTGAGGATTTTTGCATCGATGTTCATCAGGGATATTGGTCTAAAATTCTCTTTTTTTGTTGTGTCTCTGCCAGGCTTTGGTATCAGGATGATGCTGGCCTCATAAAATGAGTTAGGGAGGATTCCCTCTTTTTCTATTGATTGGAATAGTTTCAGAAGGAATGGTACCAGCTCCTCCTTGTATCTCTGGTAGAATTTGGCTGTGAATCCATCTGGTCCTGGACTCTTTTTGGTTGGTAAGTTATTAATTATTGCCTCAATTTCAGAGCCTGTTATTGGTCTATTCAGAGATTCAACTTCTTCCTGGTTTAGTCTTGGGAGGGTGTATGTGTCGAGGAATTTATCCATTTCTTCTAGATTTTCTAGTTTATTTGCATAGAGGTGTTTATAGTATTCTCTGATGGTAGTTTGTATTTCTGTGGGATCGGTGGTGATATCCCCTCTATCATTTTTTTATTGCGTCTATTTGATTCTTCTCTCTTTTCTTCTTTATTAGTCTTGCTAGTGGTCTATCAATTTTGTTGATCTTTTCAAAAAACCAGCTCCTGGACTCATTGATTTTTTGAAGGGTTTTTTGTGTCTCTATTTCCTTCAGTTCTGCTCTGATCTTAGTTATTTGTTGCCTTCTGCCAGCTTTTGAATGTGTTTGCTCTTGCTTCTCTAGTTCTTTTAATTGTGATGTTAGGGTGTCAATTTTAGATCTTTCCTGCTTTCTCTTGTGGGCATTTAGTGCTATAAATTTCCCTCTACACACTGCTTTGAATGTGTCCCAGAGATTCTGGTATGTTGTGTCTTTGTTCTCATTGGTTTCAAATAACATCTTTATTTCTGCCTTCATTTTGTTATATACCCAGTAGTCATTCAGGAGCAGGTTGTTCAGTTTCCATGTACTTGAGCGGTTTTGAGTGAGTTTCTTAATCCTGAGTTCTAGTTTGATTGCACTGTGGTCTGAGAGACAGTTTGTTATAATTTCTGTTCTTTTACATTTGCTGAGGAGTGCTTTACTTCCAACTATGTGGTCAGTTTTGGAATAGGTGTGGTGTGGTGCTGAAAAGAATGTATATTCTGTTGATTTGGGGTGGAGAGTTCTGTAGATGTCTATTAGGTATGCTTGGTGCAGAGCTGAGTTCAATTCCTGGATATCCTTGTTAACTTTCTGTCTCGTTGATCTGTCTAATGTTGACAGTGGGGTGTTAAAGTCTCCCATTATTATTGTGTGGGAGTCTAAGTCTCTTTGTAGGTCTCTAAGGACTTGCTTTATGAATCTGGGTGCTCCTGTGTTGGGTGCATATATGTTTAGGATAGTTAGCTCTTCTTGTTGAATTGATCCCTTTACCATTATGTAATGGCCTTCTTTGTCTCTTTTGATCTTTGTTGGTTTAAAGTCTGCTTTGTCAGAGACTGGGATTGCAACCCCTGCCTTTTTTTGTTTTCCATTTGCTTGGTAGATCTTCCTCCATCCCTTTATTTTGAGCCTATGTGTGTCTCTGCACGTGAGATGGGTTTCCTGAATACAGCACACTGATGAGTCTTGACTCTTTATTCAATTTGCCAGTCTGTGTCTTTTAATTGGGGCATTTAGCCCATTTACATTTAAGGTTAATATTATTATGTGTGAATTTGATCCTGTCATTATGATGTTAGCTGGTTATTTTGCTCGTTAGTTGATGCAGTTTCTTCCTAGCCTCAATGGTCTTTACCATTTGACATGTTTTTGCAGTGGCTGGTACCGGTTGTTCCTTTCCATGTTTAGTGCTTCATTCAGGAGCTCTTTTAGGGCAGGCCTGGTGGTGACAAAATCTCTCAGCATTTGCTTGTCTGTAAAGGATTTTATTTCTCCTTCACTTATGAAGCTTAGTTTGGCTGGATATGAAATTCTGGGTTGAAAATTCTTTTCTTTAAGAATGTTGAATATTGGCCCCCACTCTCTTCTGGCTTGTAGAGTTTCTGCCAAGAGATCAGCTGTTAGTCTGATGGGCTTCCCTTTGTGGGTAACCCAACCTTTCTCTCTGGCTGCCCTTAACATTTTTTCCTTCATTTCAACTTTGGTGAATCTGACAATTATGTGTCTTGGAGTTGCTCTTCTCAAGGAGTATCTTTGTGGTGTTCTCTGTATTTCCTTAATTTGAATGTTGGCCTGCCTTGCTAGATTGGGGAAGTTCTCCTGGATAATATCCTGCAGAGTGTTTTCCAACTTGGTTCCATTCTCCCCGTCACTTTCAGGTACACCAATCAGATGTAGATTTGGTCTTTTCACATAGTCCCATATTTCTTGGAGGCTTTGTTCATTTCTTGTTATTCTTTTTTCTCTAAACTTCTCTTCTCACTTCATTTCATTCATTTGATCTTCCAACACTGATACCCTTTCTTCCAGTTGATTGAATCGGCTACTGAGGCTTGTGCATTCGTCACATAGTTCTTGTGCCGTGGTTTTCAGCTCCATCAGGTCCTTTAGGGACTTCTCTGCATTGGTTATTCTAGTTAGCCATTCATCTAATTTTTTTTCAAGGTTTTTAACTTCTTTGCCATGGGTTCGAACTTCCTCCTTTAGCTCGGACTAGTTTGATCATCTGAAGCCTTCTTCTCTCAACTCGTCAAAGTCATTCTCCATCCAGCTTTGTTCCACTGCTGGTGAGGAGCTGCATTCCTTTGGAGAAGGAGAGGCACTCTGATTTTTAGAGTTTCCAGTTTTTCTGCTCTGTTTTTTCCCCATCTTTGTGATTTTATCTACCTTTGGTCTTTGATGATGGTGACGTACAGATGGGGTTTTGGTGTGGATGTCCTATCTGTTTGTTAGTTTTCCTTCTAACAGTCAGGACCCTCAGCTGCAGGTCTGTTGGAGTTTGCTGGAGGTCCACTCCAGACCCTGTTTGCCTGGGTATCAGCAGCGGAGGCTGCAGAACAGCAGATATTGGTGAACAGCAAATGTTGCTGCCTGATCATTCCTGTGGAAGTTTTGTCTCAGAGGAGTGCCTGGCCGTGTGAGGTGTCAGTCTGCCCCTACTGGGGGTTGCCTCCCAGTTAAGCTACTTGTGGGTCAGGGACCCACTTGAGGAGGCAGTCTGTCCATTCTCAGATCTCAAGCTGCGTGCTGGGAGAACCACTACTCTCTTCAAAGCTGTCAGATAGGGACATTTAAGTCTGCAGAGGTTTCAGCTGCCTTTGTTTGGCTATGCCCTGCCCCCAGAGGTGGAGTCTACAGAGGCAGGCAGGCCTCCTTGAGCTGGGGTGGGCTCCACCCAGTTCGAGCTTCCCGGGTGCTTTGTTTACCTACTCAAGCCTCGGCAATGGTGGGCGCCCTGCCCCCAGCCTCGCTGCCACCTTGCAGTTTGATCTCAGACTGCTGTGCCACCAATGAGCGAGGCTCCATGGGCGTAGGATCCTCCAAGCCAGGTGCGGGATATAATCTCCTTGTGTGCCATCTGCAAAGACCATTGGAAAAGTGCAGTATTAGGGTGGGTGTGACCCGATTTTCCAGGTGCCATCTGTCACCCCTTTCTTTGACTAGGAAAGGGAATTCCCTGACCCCTTGCGCTTCCTGGGTGAGGCGATGCCTTGCCCTGCTTCAGCTCATGCTCGGTGCACTGCACCCACTGTCCTGCACCCACTGTCCAACACTCAGCAGTGAGATGAATCCGGTACCTCAGTTGGAAATGCAGAAATCACCCGTCTTCTGCATCGCTCATGCTGGGAGCTGTGGACTGGAGCTGTTCCTATTTGGCCATCTTGGCTCCACCCTCTTTTTTTTTTTTTTTTTTTTTCAGATGGAGTTTTGCTCTTGTTGCCCAGGCTGCAGTGCAATGGTGCCATCTTGGCTCACTGCAACCTCTGCCTCCCAGGTTCAAGTGATTCTCCAGCCTCAGCCTCCTGAGTAACTGGGATTACAGGCACCTGCCACCATGCCTGGCTAATTTTTGTATTTTTAGTAGAGACGGGGTTTCACCATGTTGGTCAGGCTGGTCTCAAACTCCTGACCTAAGATGATCCACCCACCTTGGCCTCCCAAAGTACTGGGATTACAGCTGTGAGCCACCGCACCCAGCCAGAAATAGATTTCTGAAGCCAAAGATAATTGAAGGCAAGCGCTTGAGTGTTACACCAAGAACAGGACTATGAGGGGTCTGGTGTCTATTTCTTCCCAAACAGAGGGTGGAGTGGGATGAAGTCACAGAGCTCTGACAGAGAAGTTTCTGTCTCACAAAATGAAAAGGAAGAGCTACTGGCGGGAACAGAGGCAGATGCCATTTAGTCTTCTATAAGCTGTCACTCTGCCCCTGCCCCTGGCCTGCACCAGCCTGTCACTACTGAGTCTCAGAGCCTACACCTGGCTACCTGGCTGGGGAGACTCACTATCCTCCTTATCCCACCCGACATCTTTATAAAGTCCCTCATTGAATAAAGTGTCCATGAATTGGTTCGCTTTCTTCATAGAATTCCAGTAACTGAGGAAGGTATCATCCTCATCTTGAAGTTTGTAAACACATTCATAGATAGTGTATAGTGGTCCTCAACCTGAGAGTAAAATGAGTAAATTCCTGTGCATTTCCTCCTGATCCTTGTGGTAATTAAATCCTTGCAAAAAGAGCTTTTCTGTGAAATGTTTAAGGAAAATTTTTTAAATTGCAGTTGTGGCCGGGTGCAGTGGCTCACATCTGTAATCCCAGCACTTTGGGAGGCTGAGGTGGGCTAATCACTTGAGGCTGGGAGTTCAAGACCAGCCTGGCCAACATGGTGAAACCCCGTCTCTACTAAAAATACAAAAATTAGCCAGGTGTGGTGGCGGGCACCTGCAATCCCAGCTACTCACGAAGCTGAAGCAGGAGAATTGCTTCAATCCGAAAGGCAGAGGTTGCAGTAAGCTGAGATCACTCCACTCCACTCCAGCCTGGGCGACAGAGCGAGACTCTGTCTCAAAAATAAATAAATAAATAATTGCAGTTATTATTGCAGAGTATTCATTAAGAGAATCTTTTTTCCCCTAGAATCCTTCATCTGAATCCCAAGGCTAGATGAAAATGGAATTTCTCTCCTGAAGGAAATCAAATGATTGTTACTAGGATACGCAAATGCTTGTCTCTTTTTTCCTTAATGAGAGATCACTATTTGCTATTGCACCTCTTTGTGAGGGCTTCTCAGGTACACCTGTTAGATTTTTAGTCCAAACCCAGCTTCCACAGATGAGATATTGTTTAGGTCACTGGTGTGACCAGGTGGCAACAAAGAATCTAAGGGATGTCCTTGGTGTCTGGTCTCTTTGCCGACTTTAAATCTGGGAAGGTTGCAGGCTAGCTTTAAACACAAGGGATTGGCCGGGCATGGTGGCTCACGCCTGTAATCCTGGCACTTTGGGAGGCCAAGGTGGGTGAATCACTTGAGGTTAGGAGTTTGAGACTAGCCTGGCCAATGTGGCAAAACCCTGTCTCCACTAAAAATACAAAAAAATTAGCCAGGCATGGTGGTGCATGTCTATAATCTCAGATACTCTGGAGGCTGAGGCAGGAGAATCACTTGAACCTGGGTGGCAGAGATTGCAGTGAGCCGAGATCACGCCACTGCACTCCAGTCTGGGCAACAGAGCGAGACTCCGTCACAAAAAAAAAAAGAAAGAAAATATTTTCACCTAACTTTACATAGTTTTCTGATATAGATAATGTCATTAAGTAGATATGTATAAAAGTCTATGAAAAAAACCCTGTTTCCTTCAGGCCTGGAGCAGAATCCAACTCCATTTCCGTATGGGGTGGGAGCTCAGTTTAGAAAATTGTCTGACATGTAGCAGGCATTCAATACAAAGTATTAATTAAATTGCTGTGTCAACTGCTAACTCCCTGGATCAGCTTCTGTGCTCTCAACCGTACTCCCAAAGTCTAAGTAAAGCCTATGACACTTTTCCTGTAACTCTGATAAGTAACTTGAGCTCATTTACTAAAATCTTTTTTAAAATTAAGACATTGTTTATGTTAAAAAGCTCAAAACAGGTCAGGTACAGTGGCTCACACCTGTAATCCCAGCACTTCGGGAGGCCAGGGCATGAGGATTGCTTGAGCCCAGGAGTTCAAGACCAGTCTGGGCAACACAGGGATATCCCATCTCTACAGAAAAAAATTTTTTTTAATTAGCCTGGCAAACTGGCATGCAGCCCAGCTTTTTGGGAAGCTGAGCCAGGAGGATGGAGAGGATCGCTTGAACCCAGGAGGTCGAGACTGCAGTGAGCCATGGTCACACACTCTAGCCCAGGCAACAGAGTAAGCAGAGTAAGACCCTGCCTCAAAAAATAAAGCTCAAATCAGATAGCATTTTATTAACCTCTGCTGTTAGAAAGGAGAAGACTCATTATAGAAGGAGTGTATGAACTACCAGCTTCCAAGTCCTCAATTGCTTCCTACCTCTTTCCTCTATATACCAGATAAATATGCAATATTTTACCTTCTGCTGATGATAGAGTGCTAATTAATTAATGTTGGCAAGATCTTTTAAAATGGGAATGTAGAGTCTGTTAAAGAAGCAGGAAACAGAAATACTAGAGCAAGCCCTCAAGATTGACTAAATTGTGTGTGTGTGTGTGTATTTGTATTTGTATTTGTGTGTGTGTGATGGAGTCTCACTCTGTGGCCCAGGCTGGAATGCAGTGGCGCGATCTGGGCTCACTGCAAACCTCTGCCTCCTGGGTTCAAGCGATTCTCCTGCCTTAGCCTCCCCCGTAGCTTGGACTACAGGTGCATGCCATCACGTCCAGCTAATTTTTGTATTTTTATTAGAGACGGGGTTTCTCTATGTTGGCCAGGCTGATCTTGAACTCCTGACCTTAAGTAATATGCCCGCCTTGGCTTCCCAAAGTGCTGGGATTACAAGCATGAGCCAACACGCCCGGCCTATTGACTAGATTTTATAATGTTACATAACATGTTTTCTTGTGCCAGATGAATAGCATAGATGACTTTTAAAAGAGTTGTTTTCTTAAAGTCTTTCTGTTACGTTGGCAATAGTAAATAGCAGCCCAAATTAGCAATTGCTTAAAATGTTTGAAGGGTCAAGCATCTGGGAGAATGGGAACCAATGATGTAGCCCTCCCTTGTTTGTTTTCATCTTTCATTCTACAAGTAATTACTGAATGAATACACACTGTGTGTCATCAGTATTCTAAGCTGTATGGGAGATATTGTTTCTATTTTTATTTTTTGAGATGGAGTCTCACTCTGTTGCCCAGGCTGGAGTGCAGTGGCATGACCTAGGCTCACTGCAACTTCTGCCTCATGAGTTCAAGTGATTCTCCCGCCTCAGCTTCCTGAGTAGCTGGGATTACAGGCGCACACCACAACGCCCAGCCAATTTTTGTGTTTTTAGTAGAGACGGGGTTTCACCATGTTGGCTAGGTTGGTCGCAAACTCCTGACTCAGGTGATCCGTCTGCCTCGGCCTCCCAAGTGCTGGGATTACAGGTATGAGCCAGTGCACCTGGCTTATTGTTTTGTTTTAATTTAATTTAATTTAATTTTTAGAGACAGAGTCTTGGTCTATTGCCCAGGCTGGAGTGCAGCACTGTGGTCATAGCTTACTGCATCCTTGAGCCCTTGGGCTCAGGCGATCCTCCTGCCTCAACCTCCTGAATAGCTAGGACTACAGCCGCACACCACCACATCTGGCTAATTTTTAAATTTTTTGTCGAGATGGGTATCTCATTATGTTTCCCAGGCTGGTCTCTGACCCCTGGCCTCAAGTGATCCTCCCACCTCAGTCTCCCAAAGTGCTGGGATTATAGGTGTGAGCCACCATGCCTGGCCTTTATGGGAGATATACAGGCATATAAGAGGGCAACATCTTCCATTAAGGTTATAATTTAGTAGAGGAAGTAAGATATGCATGTATAAATATCCAGGATATTATGTAAGACACGATATAAGAAAAGTGCAAAGTACTTTCCTGGAGTGATTGGGACAGTATGTAGGGAGCCAGCCTTTGAGCTGGCACGAATAGGGCAAAAGCAGAGGGAAGGATCATCCAGGCAGAGGTAACTATATGGGGGAAAACATGGTCAAACTTCCTCCTCTGTGAAGTCTTCTCTGACCCTCTCCCCTTTTTCCTTAGCTGTTCCAAATGGAGATAGATTCCTTCTGCCTTCTTGCTTTCTGTAGTTGGTAAGCACCTTCATTGGAACAGTTATTAATATATCATAACGGTTGTTTGCCTGTCACTCCAAGAAATTATAAACTCCTTTAGGGCAAGAACTGTGTACTTTCATCTTTGTTTTCCTAGCACTTAGCAGGGCTTCTGACGTGTATAGCTACTCAATAAATACTTGAGGGAGTAGGGGAATCAATTATAGAATGTTCAAGGGGGAGCAAGTACTACAATATGGCTGGAATCAAAGATTCATGCAGAAAAGGAATTAAAGCTACAAAAGTAGGTTGGAAAGTAGGTCTGATAATATCAAGTGCTGGTAAAGAAGTGGAGGAGTAGAAACTCATACACTGCTGATGAGACTGTTAAGTTGGCACAACCATTTTGGAGAACTATTTATCAGTATCTAATAAAGTCTAATGCTCATATCCTGTGGCCCAGAAATTTCAATTCTGGGGAGTTTCTTGCACATGTATACAAAGGAGACAGATACAAAATATTTATAGCAAAAAGCTAGAAATAAATTCAATGTCCATGAACAGAACAGATGAATAACTAGAGATACATATATCAATGTGGGTAAATATATAAGTATAATATTGAGTGAAGGAAAAAAAAACCCAAGACTGCAGGAGAATCCCTCTTTTTCTTTTTTTTTTTTTTTTTGAGACGGAGTCTGGCTCTGTTACCCAGGCTGGAGTGCAGTGGTGCGATCTCGGCTCACTGAAACCTCCGCCTCCCAGGTTCAAGCAATTCTCTTGCCTCAGCTTCCTGAGTAGCTAGGACTACAGGCGCCCGCCACCACGCCTGGCTAATTTTTGTATTTTTAGTAGAGACAGGTTTTCACCATGTTAGCCAGGCTGGACTGGAACTCCTGACCTCAGGTGATCTAACTGCCTTGGCTTCCCAAAGTGCTGGGATTACAGGTGTGAGCCACCACACCCAGCCCCTCTTATCTTTGTATAAAGGTTAAAATACTGGCAAACAGTACTATGTATTATTTAGGAATTATATATATATATTATATATTTATGTATTTATAAAGATACAAATATAAAGGCCAGGCCCGTTGGCTCACGCCTGTAATCTCAACACTTTGAGAGGCTGAGGCGGGCGGATCACTTGAGGTCAAGAATTTGAGACCAGCCTGGCCAAACATGGTGAAACCCCATCTCTACCAAAAAATACAAAAATTAGCCAGGTGTGGTGGCACGCACCTGTAGTCTCAGCTACTTGGGAGGCTGAGGCATGACAATTACTTGAACTTGGGAGGCAGAGGTTGTAGTGAGCTGAGATAGTGCCACTGCACTTCAGACTGGGCCACAGAGTGAGACAGTGTCTCAAAAAAATAAATAAATAAAAAGATATATATGTGTATGTAAAGAAATGCCTGGCCGGGCGTGGTGGCTCACGCCTGTAATCCCAGCACTTTGGGAGGCTGAGGCAGGGGGATCACCTGAGGTCAGGAGTTTGAGACCAGTCTGGCCAACATGGTGAAACCCTGTCTCTACTAAAAATACAAAAATTAGCCAGATGTGGTGGCGGGCACCTGTAATCCCAGCTACTCGGGAAGCTGAGGCAGGAGAATTGCTTGAACCCAGGAGGCAGAGGTTGCAGTGAGTAGAGATCGTGCCACTGCACTCCAGCCTGGGTGACAGAGCAAGATCCCATATCAAAAAAAAAAAAAAAAAAGAAAAAAGAAATACCTAGGCAAGATGAATACCAAATTTAGGACAGTAGGGAAGGAGATGTAATCAGAGAAGTTTACATAAGGGCCTTGATTCTGTTAAACTGGGTGGAGGGTATATGGGTCTTTCCTATTATATACATAGTATGCAAAAATAATATTATTAACATAGAAGGTTCCAGGCTTGCACTTTCCCCTGACTCCCTCACCCAAATTAGTCTGGTAGTGAAGAGGCAGAAAGAGGGCAAGAGGCCCTTGGTCTGAATCTCTCAATCTATCAAACTGGAGAGAAGGCAATTCTTTAACAAGTGTCATAAATAAACTAGAAATAAAAAAATTAAATGAATGAAAAAGTATAAAAACTAAAGAAAAATTTAAAAATATAAAAAGAAAGTAGATTCTATATATTCACAATTCACCTAGTACTCACATTAGACAAGTTAGAAGGACAAATTTAATTAAATTTGTTTGAAATCTAGGAAGAAGGGCTAAATGTAAGGGGCTTGGGCTTGGAGGTTTTGAGTTAGAATTATATTTGCTTTAAAATATCTTTGGGCCGGGCGCAGTGGCTCATGCCTGTAATCCCAGCACTTTGGAAGGCCGAGGCAAAAAGATCACCTGAGGTCAGGAGTTCGAGACCAGCCTGGCAAACATGGCAAAACCCCATCTTTACTAAAAATACAAAAATTAGCCAGGCCTGGTGGCATGCGCCTATAATCCCAGCTACTCGGGAGGCTGAGGCAGAAGAATTGCTTGAACTCAGGAGATGGAGGTTGCAGTGAGCTAAGATCACGCCACTGCACTCTAGCCTGGGCGACAGAGCAAGACTCCGTTTCAAAAATAAATAAATAAATAAATAAATAAAATAAAATGTCCTTGTAATTGAATGTATCAGTAGGCAAAATAAAAATCCATGGAGTTGAAGATACTCTTTCCCAGTTGTTGATATGGCAGGAAGGAATCAGGATTGTCCTCGGCCCGACTGGCCTCCTCCAGTCTGCCAAATAAATTTCTCCAACTGTTGTTTTTGTTTGTTTGTTTGTTTGTTTGTTTGAGACAAAGTCTTGCTCTGTTGCCCAGACTGGAGTGCAGTGGCATGATCTTGGCTCACTACAACTTCTGCCTCCCAGGTTCAAGCAATTCTCCTGTCTCAGCCTCCCGAGTAGCTGGGATTACAGGTGCATGCCACCACACCTGGTTAATTTTTTGTATTTTTGGTAGAGATGGGATTTCATCATGTTGGCCAGGCTGGTCTCGAACTCTTGACCTTGTGATCTGCCCACCTCGGCCTCCCAAAGTGCCGGGATTACAGGCATGAGCCGCCGCACCTGGCTTTTTTTTTTTTTTTTTTTTTTTTTGGGACAGGGTCTCACTCTGTCAACCAGGCTGCAGTGCAGTGGCGCGATCTCGGCTCACTGCAATCTCCACCTTCTGGGTTCAAGCGATTCTCCCACCTCAGCCTCCCGAGTAGCTGGGATTACAGGCACGTGCCACAATGCCCGGCTAAACTTTTTTTGTATTTTTAGCAGAGACACGGTTTCACCATTTTGGCCAGGCTGGTCTCGAACTCCTGGCCTCAAGTGATCCACCCACCTTGGCCTCCCAAAGTGCTGGGATTACAGGCATGAGCCACTGCACCCGGCCTCTCCAACTGTTTTAAAACATTTTTAGACCAGGCACTCTGGCTCACACTTATAATCCCAGCACTTTGGGAGACCAATGCAAGAGGATCGCTTGAAGCCAGCAGTTTGAGACCAGCCTGGGCAACAAAGTGAAACCCGACTCTACAAAAAATTTAAAAAATTATTATTTTAAAAAGAGGCTGGTTCCATTGTAGTAGGTTATCAGAACTTATTAACATTAGTGTCATTAAAGTGGTATACAAACCCTCACCGCTAAATTTGACTGGCTTTAAAAAAAAATTTATAAAGATGTATAATGTTCAACAGATTCATCAATGCAACAAAGTATTTACACTACATATAAAAAGACTGTTTAAAAGGCTGGGCGCGGTGGCTCACGCCTGTAATCCCAGCACTTTGAGAGGCCGAGGCGGGCGGATCACGAGGACAGGAGATGGAGACCATCCTGGCTAACACGGTGAAACCCCATCTCTACTAAAAATACAACAAAAAATTAGCCGGGCATGGTGGTGGGCGCCTGTAGTCCCAGCCACTCGGGAGGCTGAGGCAGGAGAATGGTGTGAACCCGGGGGGCAGAGCTTGCAGTGGGCCGAGATCGCACCACTGCACTCCAGCCTGGGCGACAGAGTGAGACTCCATCTCAAAAAAATAAAAATAAAAATAAAAAAATAAAAAGACCATTTAAAGATGGGTGTGTGTGGTGGCTCATGCCTGTAATTCCAGCACTTTGGCAGGCCAAGGTGGGTGGATTGCTTGAGTCCAGAAGTTCAAGACCAACCTGGGCAACATGGCAAAATCCCATCTCTACTTAAAAAAGAAAAAATTCACCAGGTGTGGTGGCATGCGCCTGTAGTCCCAGCTACTCAGGGGGTTGAGGTGGGAAGATCACTTGAGCCCGGGAGGTGGAGGCTGCAGTGAGCCCTGATGGTGCCACTGCACTCCAGCCTGGATAACAGAGTGAGACCCTGTCTCAGAAACAAACAAACAAACAAAAGTTATATATTTTTTCCTTCTTCTTTAAAAAAAAAAAAATTTTTTTTTTTGAGACAGAGTCCTGCTCTATTGTCCAGGCTGGAATGCAATGGCACAATCTCGGCTCACTGCAACCTCCATCTCTCGGGGTCAAGCAATTCTCCTGCCTCAGCCTCCCAGGTAGCTGGGATTACAGGTGCCTGCCAACACGTCCAGCTAATTTTTTGTATTTTCTTTTAGTAGAAACGGGGTTTCACCATGTTGGCCAGGCTGGCCTTGAACTCCTGACCTCATGATCCGCCTGCCTCGGCCTCTCAAAGCACTGGGATTACAGGGGTGAGCCACGGCGCCCGGCCAGAAATATATGTATTTTAAAGAAAACTGAAAATAGAAACAAACAAACAAAAAATAATAGAAATATATATATTTACAGTTGCAGTTCCCTCAAATCTTTGCTCAAATTTTGCTTCTTCAATGATACTTACTTTGATCCTTCTATTATTATTATTATTATTATTTTTGAGACTCAGTTTCACTCTGTCACCCAGGCTGGAGTGCTGTGGCATGATCTCGGCTCACTGCAACCTCCACCTCCCAGGTTCCAGTGCTTCTCCTGCCTCAGCCTCCCGAGCAGCTGGGATTACAGGCACCTGCCACCATACCCAGCTAATTTTTGTATTACTAGTAGATACGGGTTTCGCCATGTTGGCCAGGCTGGTCTCGAACTGACCACAAATGATCTGCCTGCCTCAGCCTCCCAAAGTGCTGGGATTATAGACATGAGCCACTGCGCCCAGCCTGATCATTCTGTTAAATACTGCAGCCTACCACCTGCCCATTACTCCTGATTCAGCATTTCCTGCTGTACCATTTCTCTCTCTCTTTCTGTTTTTTTATAATAGAGATGGAGTCTTGCTATGTTACTCAGGCTGGTCCCTAACTCCTGGCCTCAAGCAGTCCTTCAACATCAGCCTCCCAAAGTACTGAAATTACAGGCATGAGCCACAGCACTTGGCCCTACTTTTTTTCATAGTGCTTTTAAACCTTATCTGCTGGGCGCAGTGGTTCACGCCTGTAATCCCAGCACTTTGGGAGGCTGAGACAGGTGGATCACCTGAGGTCAGGAGTTTGAAACCAGCTTGGCCAACATGATGAGACCCTGTCTCAACTAAAAATACAAAAATTAGCTGGGTGTGGTGACGGCACCTGTAATCCCAGCTACTCAGGAGGCTAAGGCAGGAGAATTGCTTGAACCCAGAAGGCAGAGGTTGCAGTGAGCTGAGGTCGCGCCACTGCTCTCCAGCCTGGGTAACTGAGCGAGACTCCGTCTCAGAAATAAATAAATAAATAAACCTTATCTATCTAATACTTACTATATAATCTACATATTGGGCCGTGCGCAGTGGCTCACGCCTTAATTCCAGCACTTTAGGAGGCTGAGGCAGGTGGATCACTTGAGGCCAGGAGTTCAAGGCCAGCCTGAGCAACATGGCAAAACCCCATCTCTATTAAAACTACAAAAATTAGCTGGGTGTGGTGGTGCATGCCTGCAGTCCCAGCTACTCAGGAGGCTGAGGCACAAGAATCACTTGAATCCCTTGAACCCGGGAGGCAGAGGTTGCAGTGAACCAAGATTGTACCACTGTACTCCACCCTGGGCGACAGAGAAAGACTGTTTCAAAAAAAATTTTTTTTTAATCTACATACTTAGATTTAATTTTTATAATCTGTTCCTCTGTTGTGCGTACACACACTAGAATGTAAACCCCACAAGTGTAAGGATATTCTATTCTGTTCCCTAATGTATCCAAATATTTGAATAGTACCTACCCTGATGAGGCACCCAGTAAATATGTGCAGGATAAATAGGTTCTGAGAGAGAGATTCAGGATAAAGAAGACATTTTGAACACATGCATTTGCTCCCTCCCCAAACTATAGTAAAATAACAGTAAAGGGTTTTTGAGAGGTATAATCCCACAAGGACAAAAGAATGGGGAAGAGACCACAATAAAATTTTGGAAGGTGGAAAACAGATTATGAGTAATAGCTGTCTTAGTAGAACCTGGAAAGCTGAAGCTTCAGCAGGCAGCGGGGGTAGCCAAAAGCAAAGTAGTTTACACCAAAGAACCCACAAAGGTTCAAGATTTGGTGGCCCCAGCTACCTTTGGAAGGGGAGGAGAAAGGGGAAGGTATGGCTAAGAATAGAATAATTGTTGAAGAAATTGTTAGTTCTCCTGACTCCAGGTAAAACACTGGAGGTCGATTCATCAGAAAGAGTGAAATCAAGGATCTCTTGACTGGGGAATACCAGAATCAGTTAAAGGCTGAGTTATAGCATCAGTCTGGGTCCATTCAGGAGACAGAAACTACACGGTATTATAGAAAAAAAGAGCAAAGGCTAAAGACTAATATTTGTATACCGAATGTTGGACTTCTTAGTCTTCCAAGAACTTCTCCTCTTTCAGCTTCTAGAATGCTGGTAACCAGGCCTGAACTCTCAGGCTGGAGATTGGAGGAAGCTTCTCTGCAGATTCTGACAACCTAAAAGAAAAAAAGCTATGATATAGGCAGGATGCAGTGGCTCACGCCTACAATCCTAGGGCACTTGGGGAGGCCAAAGCAGGCAGATCACTTGAGGCCAGGAGTTCAAGACAAGCCTGGGCAACATGGTGAAACCCTACCTCTATTAAAAATACAAAAACTAGGCTGGGCGCAGTGGCTCACACCTGTAATCCCAGCACTTTGGGAGGCCAAGGTGGGCGGATCACGAGGTCAAGAGATGGAGACCATCCTGGCCAACATGGTGAAACCCTGTCTCTAAAAATACAAAAATTAGCTGGGCGTGGTGGTGTGCACTTGTAGTCCCAGCTATTCGAGAGGCTGAGGTAGGAGAATCGCTTGAACCTGGGAGCAGAGGTTGCAGTGAGCCGAGATTGCACCACTGCACTCCAGCCTGGCAACAGTGCGAGACTCCATCTCAAAACAAACAAACAAACAAACAAAACTAGCCAGCATGGTGACACAGACCTGTAACCCCAGCTACTTGGGAGGCTGAGGCACAAGAATCTCTTGAACCCGGGAGGTGGAGGTTGCAGTGAGCTGTGATCACGCCACTACACTCCAGCCTGGGGCCTGGGCAACAGAGCGAGATCCTGTCTCAAAACAAAAACAAAACAAATAAACAAAAAAACTGTGATACTAGTATTGGGAATTACTCTAAGAAACCATCCAGTCAGAAAGACAGAGATGTGCTCATACTGAATGTGGCCTACCACATGTGCAGAGCCTCCAGCTGGCTTTTTGGTGCCGCATTGTTATACATAAACAGATAGCCAAGGATCATTCATTATCTGCAGAAACAAATCTGCCAAAACAGAAAACAGGACAGAAAAAACTTGGAGGGCAAGAGACTTTGTAGGGAAAGAAAAATATTCCCCAACTAATCACTAATATTCTTAAAGGAATAAGAAAATATTGCAGGCTGGGTGTTTTGGCTCACACCTATAATCTCAGCACCTTGGGAGGCTGAGGCTAGATAGAGGATTGCTTGAAGCTAGGAATTCAAGATCAGCCTGGGCAATAAAGCAAGACCCTGCCTCTAAAAAACAAAACAAAACAAAACACAAAACCCAGAAAATATTGCATCCATGGAAGCAGACAAGATACAGTAAAAAGGAAACATTCTAGCAGAATCTTTGAAAATTAAAGTATGATAACAGGTCTTAAAAACTCAATAGGGCTGGGTGTGGTGGCTCACGCCTGTAATCCCAGCACTTTGGGAGGCCGAGGCAGGTGGATCATCTGAGGTCAGGAGTTCAAGACCAGCCTGGCCAACATGGTGAAACCCGTCTCTACTAAAAATACAAAACTTAGCCGGGCGAGGTGGCGGGCATCTATAATCCCAGCTACTCGGGAGGCTAACACAGGAGAATCACTTGAACCTGGGAGGCGGAGGTTGCAGTGAGCCGAGATCGTGCCACTGCACTCCAGCCTGGGCGACAAGAGCGAAACTCCATCTCAAAAAAAAACCAAAAAACAAAACAAAAAAAACCCAACTCAATAGAAGGTTTGTAAGATGAAGTTCAGGGAATCTAGAAAGCCAAGCGAAAGTAAAAGGCATGGAAAATAATATAGGAACTTTTAAAAATAGAGAATCAATTCTGAAGACTCAAGAAAGAACAAAGAAAATGGAAGAGGAAGATGAAATCATCAATGAATCAAAAAACATCCTCAGAAATGAAGGAAAAGCATTTCTAGATTGAAATGGACTAGGAAACGTCTTTGATAATGGATGGAAATGGATCCATACCAAAGCACATCATCATGAAATTTTGGGAAACCAAGAACAAAGAGAATATCTTTAAAATATGCCTTTTTCACAAGACTAATAAAGAATGAGTTTCTCAGCTGGGCGCGGGGACCCACACCTCTAATCCCAGCAATTTGGGAGGCCAGGGCAGACAGATCACTTCAGGCCAGGAGCTTGAGACCAGCCTGGCCAACACTGTGAAACCCCGTCTCTACTAAAAATGCAAAAATTAGCCCAGCGTAGTAGTGCATGCCTATAGTTCCAGCTACAGGTTGAGGCACGAGAATCACTTGAACCTGGGAGGCAGAGGTTACAGTGAGCCGAGATCACGCCAGCACAGCACACTCCGGCCTGGGCAACATAGTGAGACTCTGTCCCAAAAAAAAAAAAAAAAAAAATAGAATGGGTTTATCCAAAGCAAGGGAGTAAATCAAGAAAGAGGAACACAAAGGATCCAGGAACAGGGGATCTAACACAGGAGAGAACAAGGCTGAAGAGAATTCCCAGGACAAAAATTATGTATGCAACAGGTTGAGAGAGTAACCAGTCCAGATTGGAGCATGTGAGGGGGCTCCAGGAGAGATTTCTTCAAGAAAATGAAATTGAAAAAATATCTGATGTGACCAAGTGTATTGAGAAGAGATGTAGACAACTGGGGCGGAGGTTGAGTTAAATTAATATATTAAGTACATAGAAAAATACAACTATTAGGTCCAAAAAGCACAAAAAGTTATGCAAGAGAGAAACATTACTCAGCTTACTTGGGTACATTACTTCGCTTATTTGTGAACAATATTTGCATAGTCACAGCAATATAAACACTGACTTTTTTTTTTTTTTTTTCCTGGAGACAGAGTCTTGCTCTGACTCCCAGGCCAGAGTGCAGTGGCGTGATCTCAGCTCACTGCAACCTCCGCTCCCCGGGTTCAAGCAATTCTCTGCCTCAGCCTCCCTAGTAGCTGGGATTACAGGCACCGCCACCACGCCCGGCTAATTTTTGTATTTTTAGTACAAAAATTTAGTAATTTTGTATTTTTAGCTCAAGCGAGGCTGGTCTTGAGCTCCTGACCACCGTGATCCACCTGCCTCAGCCTCCCAAAGTGCTGGGATTACAGGTGTGAGCCACCACACCCGGCCAACACTATTTAATTAACCAAATTTTTTACAACACAAGTGTATTGAGAGGACAGAGAAAGTGAAGCATGCAGATACTATGTGAATGAGTGAGGATGTGGTAGGGATGGCACTGGTGATGGTGAAAAAGATAAAATTCTCATCTTCTCTGGTGAGAAGTTCATAAATAATGTAAACATGTTTAAGTTAATACGTAGTCATATAAGCCTTTAGAGATAAGTCATTTAGAGATACAGAGGTAAATGCCAGAAGGTTCCATTAAGAGAAGTTGAAAGTGGTTACCTTTGAGGAGCTGAAAATGGTGAGGAGAGGAGGCCAGGGCACTGCTATTTCAAAACAAGCCGTATGGCAGGGGTTGGGGAGTGGGGGGGATGGGGAAAAGCCTTATAAGGCCATTTAACTCTTTAAATCATGTACAAGTATAACTTAGATATAAAATAAGAACAAAATACAAAGAGACTATAGGAGACTTTTCCAAGTGAACAGAGCCCATGGGAGGCCCCCACCCCCAATCTATTTCTCTGACATTGTCTTATGTGATATCCCACCAATCTTCCCCCAGCCCCGCACTCAAACAAGGGTGCTGACAAGAGCAGAAGGGAGACATTGGTTGAGTCTGGATCTGCCCTGTCAGGCTCTTGTTAGAAGCCCGAGTCAGCAGCCCATTAACACTAGATTACTTCTCTCTAGGCAAGTTAAAGATTTTTCTACTGAAATTACAAATACCAAAACCAGACTGACTCAATCCTAATGTGTTTCTTCTTCCTTACATTCCACTGAACATCTTGATTCCAAAACCCATGATTCTAAACACACCTTCTGCTCCTTTCTTGAGGTTTTCCTCCGTTCATTGCTAGAATGGCCTTGGGGTCCATCTGCCTTTGGTAGCACTCACACTTGCCAAGTTTTTTAACACTTGGGTAACAAACTATGTTGTTACCCTTTCACCTCACTCTCTTGCCTTCACTGAGGATAAAAGGCAGAGGTACTATTAGCTGTGCTTTTTTTTTTTTTGGTGAAGAATATTACCTTTACCTAACAAATTCTACAATATTTTTCCTTTTCCTTCACTGGCTATTCTACTGGCTCTGATTCTAAGGCTGGTCCATGACATAAATAAGGAACTGTTTGGGGAACAAAGATGGAATGACCTTGGTAAACCAGGCGTGCTCATCCACTCACTGCATAGTACTCAAGGGAGAAGAATGTCTCATTTCAGATTAGTTCAAAACAAAACGTTTCACTTTGTCCTTGTCTCTGACCTAGACAACCCTCTTATCTGTGATAAAGAAGGCATGCTTATGCTATTTTCCACTAAATAAAGCTAGAAGAGATATTTAATATCTTGGAAGACTGAATTGGGATTCATAAAGCTCTCAATAGGTTCCAAAGTTAGAATTAACAAATAAATGAAATTTACCAGGGAAATATATATATATATATATATATATATATATATAATATATATATTTATTGAGATGGAGTCTTGCTCTGTCGCCCAGGCTGGAGTGCAGTGGCGCAATCTCAGCTCACTGCAACCTCCGCCTCCTGGGTTCAAGCCATTCTCCTATCTCAGCCTCCCGAGTAGCTGGGACTACAGGCGCATGCCACCCTGCCCGGCTAATTTTTTGTATTTTTAGTAGAGACAGGGTTTCACTGTGTTAGCCAGGATGGTCTCGATCTCCTGACCTCATGATCTACCTGCCTTGGCCTCCCAAAGGGCTGCAATCACAGGCGTGATGAACTGCACCTGGCCAACCAGGGATACATTTAAAGTCCCATGCTTATGTTCAAAATATTAATTTCACCAACATAGGATAAGGAAGACTTAGCTTAACAGTTCAAGTGAAAAAGGCTATGAGTCTTGGCTGACTACAAACTTAACAAGTTGTTTTTTTATTTTTATTTTTATTTTTATTAGTTTTTTAGGCTTAAGGAGTTGAGAGCAGGAAGTGGCTAGGGAGTGACTACCAAAATGTAAATACTTCTCTTTTTACTTCTGACAACACAGGCAAGACTGAGTGCATCTATCAGTTCACAAATAAATATTTACTGAGGATCTGCTATGTGTCTAGTATGAGGAAGGGGCTGTGGCAGTAGAACAAAAGGAAAAACCCAAGGATCTTTGAACAGGTTGGACAGACAACATATACATAAAAATAATAGCAGTGATGATCACTTACATTTCAATAGTGCTTTATTATGTCTTTCATTTATACGACCTCTTTTTACTTCATAGCTGCCCTATGAGGTAGTAAGTCAAATACAGTTATCATTTTATTTATTTATTTTTTAATTTCTGAGACAGAGTCTCACTCCGTCGCCCAGGCTGGAGTGCAGTGGCGCAATCTTGGCTCACTGCAACCTCTGCCTCCTGGGTTCAAGTGATTCTCCTGCCTCAGCCTCCCAAGTAACTGGGATTACAGGTGCGTGCCACCCTACCTGCCTAATTTCCATATTTTTAGTAGAGATGGGGTCTCACTGTGTTGGCCAGGCTGGTTGCGAACTCCTGGCATCAAATGATCTGCCTGCCTCAGCCTCCCAAAGTGCTGGGATTACAGGCATGAGCCACCAAGCCCGGCCAGTTATCATTTTAAAGATGAGAAAACTGAGGCTGAGAGAAGTTAAAGCAGTGATTCTCAAACGTTTAGCTCTCAACCCCTTTATATCCTTAAAATTATTTAGGTACCTCACACTACATACAAAAATGAAATCAAAAGGGATCGAAGACCTAAATGTAAGAGCTGTAATTATAAAACTCTTAAAAGAAAACTAAGTGTAAATCTTTGTGACCTTGAAACAATGGCTTCTTTAATGTGACACCAAAAGCACAAGAAACAAAATAAAAAATGGATAACTGGACTGCATCAAAATTAAAAAGTTTAATGCTTCAAAAGATACTAGCAGCGAGGTGTGGTGGCTCACGCCTGTAATCCCAGCACTTTGGGAGGCTGAGGTGGGAAGATCGCTTGAGTCCAGGAGTTTGAGACCAGCCTGGGCAACATAGTGTGATCTCATATCTACAAAAAAAAATTTTAAAAATTAGCCAGGCTTGGTGGCACACACCTGTGATCCCAGCTACTTGGGAGGCTGAGGCGGGAGGATTGCTGGGGCCTGGGAAGTTGAGGCTTCAGTGATTTGTGTTCAGGCCACTCCATTCAAGCCTGAGCAACAGAAAGAGATGTCTCCAAAAAAAAAAAAAAACAGATAAAATAACAATAAAAACCTATTACTATTATAACAGTTTTTTAAAGGAAAATAACTATTTTCCAAAGCAAACAAATATTTAGTGAGATGAGAGTCATTCTACATTTTTACTAATCTCATTAATGTCTGACTTAATAGAAGACAGCTGGATTCTCATATCTATTGCCATATGTTGTTTGGTTGAAATAGATGAAGAAAATCTAATCTCATTCAAATATGTAGTTGGAAAAGGGAGGAGGATTTTTTTTTTTCTTTTTGAGATAGAGTCTCACTCTGTCACCCAGGCTGGAGTGCAGTGGGCCAATCTCGGCTTCCTGCAACCTCTGCCTCCCAGGCTCAAGCGATCTTCCTGCTTCAGCCTCACAAGTAGCTAGGAATACATGCACATGCCACCACGCCCAACTAATTTTTGTATTTTGGTAAAGATGAAGTTTCACCATGTTGTCCAGGCTGGTCTTGAATTCCTGGACTCAAGTGATCCATCCACTTTGGCCTCCCAAAGTGCTGGGATTATACATGTGAGCCACCACAGGGAGAAGGATTTCAATAGATAATTGTGGATATTCTTCTTTGATACTACACTAAAACTCAACAAGTGTAGTGTCACGCACGTCCTTGTGAAGAGACCACCAAACAGGCTTTGTGTGAGCAACAGGGCTGTTTATTTCACCTGGGTGCAGGCGGGCTGAGTCCAAAAAGAGAGTCAGCAAA
Source organism: Homo sapiens (assembly GCF_000001405.40). Taxonomy (NCBI): domain Eukaryota; kingdom Metazoa; phylum Chordata; class Mammalia; order Primates; family Hominidae; genus Homo; species Homo sapiens. Next base: position 100,388,288 of record NC_000010.11, on the reverse strand, counting down.
GGGTGGTAGGATTATCATTAGTTCTTATAGGTTTGGGATAGGTGTACAAAGTACATTCTCAAGGGCGGGGGAAGAATATATGGTATCAGTTAGCGTGGGGCAGGAACAAATCACAATGGTGGAATGTCATCAGTTAAGGCTACTTTCACTTCTTTTGTGGATCTTCAGTTGCTTCAGGTCATCTGGATGTACACGTGCAGGTCACAGGGGATTTGATGGCTTAGCTTGGACTCAGAGGCCTGACACTCCTATCTTCTTATATTAGTATGAAAAACAAAACAAAATAGTGGTGAAGTGTTGAGGCAGCGAAAATTTTTGGGGGTGGTATGGAGAGATAATGGGCGATGTTTCTCGGGGCTGCTTTGAGTGGGATTGGGGTGGCATGGGAACCTAGAGTAGGAGAGATTAAACTGAAGAAAGATTTGGGTATAAGGGGTGATATTGTGGGCTTGTTAGAAGGAGTATTTGTCGTATAGAATGATTGTTGATGGCCTGGATGCAGTTTTGTATGAATTGAGAAACTAAACAGAAGGAAGACACAAGGTCCGAATAAGAGAAAGAGAAAAATAGGTATTAAAGGACTAAGAATTGGAAGGACCCAGGACATCCAATTAGGGAGTGCCCAAGGGGGTTCAGCATAATTATTTGCTTGGTTGGCGAATTTTTGGGGTCTATCCTTGAGTTTTTTTATGTTGTCATACACCAGGCCAGATTGATTTAGGTAAAAACAACACTCTTCGTTTAAAAATATACAGGGTCCTCTTTTTTTAGCAGTGAGTAAGTCGAGGCCTTGGCGATTTTGGAGGAAAGAGAAATGCAAAGCCAGCAGTTGTTTGTTAAAGAAGGATTAGAGGGCCGGGCATAGTGGCTCACGCCTGTAATCCCAGCACTTTGGGAGGCTGAGGTGGGCGGATCGTGAGGTCAGGAGATGGAGACCATCCTGGCTAACATGGTGAAACCCCATCTCTACTAAAAATACAAAAAATTAGCCAGGCATGGTGGCAGGCACCTCTAGTCCCAGCTACTTGGGAGGCTGAGGCAGGAGAATGGTGTGAACCCAGGAGGCGGAGCTTGCAGTGAGCCAAGATCACACCACTGCACTCCAGCCTGGGGGACAGAGCAAGACTCCATCTCAAAAAAAAAAGAAGGATTATAAACGGGGCTAGGAGAGAGTGAGATTGATAGTGTGGTGGAGATAGCTGGGGAGAGGTAGAGGGTGGCATAAGATCGGGAACCAGAATAAGAATGAGTATAAAAGTAAAGAATAGGACTTCATCAGGGTGAAAGTATCGGAGGGTACCTTGCCACTGAAGATCTATCCACTTCAAGAGAGCCTTAAGGGTGGTGTTTTGAGGTAAAACCAGGAGCCACTAAATACCAAGAGGCTGAGAAGCTGCTTGGGTGATTTGACTAATAAAGGCCGGTCTGTTTTCACACTGTATAGAGGTGGCAAGGCTAAATGGAGGAATTATGTCTGACAGAAGGGAAGAAATGACCGTGGTGGCCTTCTCACACCCTGTGGGAAAGGCCTGTACCCATCCAGTGAAAGTGTCTACCCATACCAAGAGGTATTTTAGTTTCCTGACTCGGCACATGTCAGTAAAGTCAATTTGCCAGTCCTGGGCAGGGGCAAATTCCCCAGCTTGATGTGTAGGGAAGGGAAGGGGCCTGAACAATCCCTGAGGGATAGTAGAATAGTAGATGAACACTGAGAAGTGATTTTCTTCAGGACAGATTTTCACGATGGAAATGAAATGAGAGGTTATAAGAGATGGGCTAGCGGCTTGTAACCTACACGGAAGAGGTTATGAAATGACGACAGAATAGAATGGGCCTGTGAGGCTGGAAGGAGATATTTTCCTTGATCCAAGAACCATTTGCCTTGTGTGGGAAAAGATTGATACGTGGAAGTTTCAATGAGGGAGTAGGTGGGAGTGACCGATAAGAAGGAGAAAAACTGGCCCTGAGGGACAGAAGTTGGAATGCTAGCTGCTTCTTTAGCTACCTTATCAGCATAAGCGTTGCCCTGAGTGATGGGATCTGATGCCTTTTGATGGCCCTTGCAGTGAATGACTCCAGCTTCCTTTGGAAGTAAAGCAGCCTTGAGAAGAGTTTTTATTAAAGAGGCACTAATGATGAAGGACCCTTGCATAGTGAGGAAACCTCTTTCAACCCATATAACAGCATGGTGGTGGAGGATATGAAAGGCATATTTAGAGTCAGTATAAATATTGACACGTAGTCCCTTTGCAAGAGTGAGGGCCCGAGTTAAGGCAATGAGTTTGGCTTGCTGAGAGGTAGTGGAGCGGGGCAGAGCGGTAGCCTCAAGGATAGATGTGGAAGATAGTATAGCATAGCCTGCCTTTGCCGGTGAATGGCGATTAGGCCTGGTGGAACTGCCATCAATAAACCAAGTGTGATCAGGGTGAGGAACAGGAAAGAAGGAAATATGGGGAAATGGAGTGAATGCCAGGTGGATCAGAGAGATAGTCATGGAGGTCAGGTGTGGTATCAGGAATAATGTGGGAGGCCGGATTGAAGTCCAGGCCAGGAACAATGGTAATTGTGGGAGACTCAGCAAAGAGTGAGTATAGGCTGGGTGTGGTGGCTCATGCCTGTAATCCCAGCACTTTGGGAGGCCGAGATGGGCAGATCACTTTAGGTCAGGAGTTCAAGACCAGCTTGGTTAACATGGTGAAACCCCATCTCTACTAAAAATACAAAAAATTAGCCGGGTGTGGGGCACACACCTGTAATCCCAGCTACTCCAGAGGCTGAGGCAGGAGAATCGCTGGAACCTGGGAAGCGGAGGTTGCAGTGAGCCAAGATTGTGCCACTGCATGCCAGCCTGGGAGACGGAGTGAGACTCTGTCTCAAAAAAGAGTTGAGTATAGCTGAAGGAGCCAGGGAGTGGAAAGTATATGCGTCAGGTATGAGGAAGAAAATAGATTTTGGAAGTTATGAGAACTGTAGAGAGTGAGTTGAGCATAATGTGATTTTGAGGGCCTCTAAAAGTATCAAAGCAGCAGCAGCCACCACACACAGACATGAGGGCTAGGCTAAAACAGTAAGGTCAAGTTGTTTGGACAGAAAGGCTACAGGGCATGCTTCTGGCTCTTGTGTAAGAATTCCGACCACACAGCCCTGCACTTTGGCTGTGTGTAATGAAAAAGTTGGGATGAGTTAGGGAGAGCTAGTGTGGGAGCAGCTTTTAGGGCTGTTTTTTAAGGAATGGAAAGGGGAGTGGGGAAAGGATTTAGGATTTATGGGGTCAGCTAGGTTTATTTAGAACAGAATAATGGGTTGTGGGAGGGAGGTATTGAGGATAGGAGGGTATATGGGTTTGGCACTATGGGGTGCATAGGCAAGACAATTTTGTTGATAAGGCACAGATCCTGAACTAACCTGTAAGACTTGTCTGGTTTTTGGACAGGTAAAATGGGGGAATTGTAAGGAGAGTTTATAGGCTTTAGAAGGCCATGCTATAGCAGGCGAGTGATAACAGGCTTTAATCCTTTTAAAGTGTGCTGTGGGATCCTTTTAAAGTGTGCTGTGGGATGGGATATTGGCATTGAGTGGGGTAAGGGTGATTAGGTTTTAATGGGATGGTAAGGGGTGCATGATCGGTTGCCAAGGAGGGAATAGAGGTGTCCCATACTTGTGGATTAAGGTGGGGAGATACAAGGGGAGGATGCGAAGGAGGCTTTGAACTGGGGAAAAGGGCGGCAATGAGGTGTGGCTGTAGTCCAGGAACAGTCAGGGAAGCAGATAATTTGGTTAAAATGTCTTGACCTAATAAGGGAGCTGGGCAGGTAGGGATAACTAAAAAAGAGTGTATAAAAGAATGTTGTCCAAGTTGGCACCAGAGTTGGGGAGTTTTGACAGGTTTAGCAGCCTGGCCATCAATACCCACAACAGTTATGGAGGCAAGGGAAACAGGCCCTTGAAAAGAAGGTATTGTGGAGTGGGTAGCCTCTGTATTAAGAAGGGGACAGACTTCCCCTTCACTGTAAGAGTTACCCAAAGCATCTGTGATGGTCCAAGAGGCTTCTGAGGCGATTGGGCAGCATCAGTTTTCAGCCGCTAAGCCGAGAACATCTGGGAAGGAGTCAGAGAGTCTTGGGCCAGAGTTCCAGCAGCTCTGGGAGTGGCTCCTGGGTAAGTTGGACAGTCTGATTTCCAGTAGGGTCTGGCACAGATGGGACATGGCTCAGGAGGAATCCCAGGCTGCAGGCATTCCTTGGCCCAGTGACCAGATTTCCAGCACTTGAAGAAAGATCCTGGGGGAGGCGGTCCTGGAGGAACACCTGGCCGCTGCGATTCAGGTGTTTTGAAGTTCTTGTGTGCTGGAGATGTGGCTGGGGTTTCTCTCACAGTGGAGGCAAGTAATTGCAACTCAGAAATATGTTGCCTCTACTCTATTACTGTACACCTTGAAGGTGAGGTTAATTAAGTCCTGTTGTGGGGTTTGAGGGCTGGAATCTAATTTTTGGAGCTTTTTCTAATGTCCGGAGCGGGTTGGGTAATAAAATGCATATTGAGAATAAGACGGCCTTCTGGCCCCTCTGGGTCTAGGGCGGTAAAGCATCTAAGGGTTGTTGCCAAATGGGCCATGAACTGGGCTGGGTTTTTATATTTGATGAAAAACAGCCTAAACGCTAACTGATTGGGAGAGGTCAGATGAAGAAAAAGGAGCATTAACCTTGACTACGCCTTCAGCTCCAGCCACCTCTTTTTTTTTTTTTTTTGCCTTGAAATGTTTTTAATAGAATTGGTCTAGCAGTCATTCAGGATTTCAGGGTCCCTGTCTGGACACTGCCAACCCACAGCTGGAGGGGCATTTAAGGCACATCATTTTGTGATTAGAATTACACAAAGTTTGATTAATATTACAGCTGCAAAATTAACATACACAATTTTCACTCATAATTTAAAATACTTTGTTTTGATGAAATGCTTTGCTTTCACAATAGAAGATCAGTAGTACACAGTATATTGAACTCTGTAACAAAATTATTTTTTGAGAAATACAGAAGTGAGAAATAGTGATTTCCTCAATTTGTTTATAGTCTTATCACAAAGTAGGCCAAAGTTCAGTATTAAATAAATAGATATCCTAATAAAAGTTTGTACAAGTCTTCCTAAGGAATTACATTCGTAAGACTGTTTACCTTCTGTTTGACAGCAGTGACAGGAACGTGGGGATTCCCACTCATGACGAGTCCCTAGCACTTGGCTCCTAGCACCCACAGCCTAGGCGCACTGCATCACCTGGTGGGGTGCAGCCTGGGCTTCTGCGAGTGAGGTTTCCTCACCTGGAACTCTGGTTCCATGTTTGTGCTTAGCCTGTGCGATTCTGGTAAACACAGAAAACCTGCCTGTCCACCCCCAGTGCTGAAGACTGACTGGTCAAGGAGGTGTTAGTGAGAGTGTTGTGTTCACCATGTGGAGATCAGGCGGTGATTACCGCATCTTCTTTGCTGACTTTAGTAACTGGGTGTCCAGAGAGGAGTGACCGGGAGTGGCCGAGCGGTTGCCTGGACTCAGCTTCTGATTCTGCAGCCGGGAGTCAGATGCAGGCCCAAGGGTCAAGGGGAGTTGTTCAGCGCCTGGAATCACCATGCACTGCGCTGTGGGCCGCACGACACTCCTGCTGTGTTCTCCCAGGCACCAACAGGCACTTGGAAGGCAACTTTGCTCCTCTGGCCACCCGGAGACCTCTTGGCGGTGCAGATGGGACAAACTGGGGGCCTGTCAGAACACCCACTCATTCCAGGAAGGCCAGGCACCAGCCTGCTCTGATGAAGTCAGGATAGTCAGCCATCTCTTTAACAGGAAATTGTTGGGCAGATCGGGGAGAGCTAGTCGAGGAACGAAACTGTAAGCTGGACCAGGTGTGAGGAGGGGAGGTGATAAAAGGATTATAGGGTGGGGGAGCAGAGGCTAAGTGAGAATTGGGACCTGGCTCAGCCTGGCGAGGAGCAGCCTGGGGAGAAGGGGGGAGGTCAGATGAGTCCATAGAAAAGAAGGATTCAGAGGACTCGGAACTTGGGGTGGAGACCGAAGGAACAGAAAGGAGAGAAAGAAGAAAGATTTGGGATGAGTCACATTGGGAGCAGAGACTAGGGAGGGACCAATGTGTAAAAGAATGCCTGGACGTCAGGCACCTCAGACCATTTGCCCATTTTATGACAAGAATTATCTAGAACTTGTAGGATGGAGAACTCGAAAGTGCCGTTTTCTGGCTATTTGGAATCATTGTCGAGTTTGTATTGGGGCCAAGCGGTGTTGCAGAAGAAAATAAGACACTTAGGTTTTAGGTCAGGTGTGAGTTGAAGAGGTTTTAAGTTTTTGAGAACACAGGCTAAGGGAGAAGAAGGAGGAATGGAGGGTGGAAGGTTGCCCATAGTGAAGGAGGTAAACCCGAGAAAAGAGAGGGTAGAGGCACGGAGAAGGCGGGTGGGGCAGCGGGGGGCATTGAGCAGCCCTGGGCTGCAATGTGGGTGAGCAGCCAAAGCAGGTGTCCCCGCAATTGACTTGTCACCAAGGGAATGTGGGTGAATGACCAAGGCAGGCATCCCCGTGGTGATCAGACACCAATGGAGTGTGGGTGAATAATCAGGCAGGCGTCCCCACAGTGATTAAACACCAAGGGAAGACTGTCTTCCCGAGTCCGTGACTGACGCTGGAGTTTTGGGTCCACAGATAAAATGTGTCTCCTTATCTCTACTAGAGAGGAAAAAGAACGGGAATTGGAAGGACAGGGAGATTGAAGGGTAGTGAGAGAGGAAGATTGAAGGGTAGCAAGAAAGGCTGGAGAAGAGTGAAAAGACCACTTACCCGATTTGAAATTGGCAAGATGTTCCTTGGGCTGGTTGGTCTGAGGACCTGAGATCATAGGTGGATCTCCTCACGGAGTGAGGGCGACAACAGGGCACTGGTCTCCCAAAGGAGTCCTCCTGTCCTGGGTCTTCAGCACCAAATGTCACATGCATCCGTGTGAAGAAACCACCAAACAGGCTTTGTGTGAGCAACAAGGCTGTATATTTCACCTGGGTGCAGGCGGGCTGAGTCTAAAAAGGAGTCAACAAAGGGTGGTGGGATTATCATTAGTTCTTATAGGTTTGGGATAGGCGTACAAAGTACATTCTCAAGGGCAGGGAGAATATCACAAAGTACCTTCTTAAGGGCGGGGGAGAATATATCGTATCAGTTAGGGTGGGGCAGGAACAAATCTCAATGGTGGAATGTCATCAGTTAAGGCTATTTTCACTTCTTTTGTGGATCTTCAGTTGCTTCAGGCCATCTGTATGTATACATGCAGGTCACAGGGGATATGATGGCTTAGTTTGGGCTCAGAGGCCTGACACGTAGTATCTTAAAGGTTAATTGCACTGGGAATTTGAAACCATAGCAATGAATTTTTTGTATTTCATTACATTATACTTCATTGGTCTAACTTGCATTTCTTTTTTTTTTGTTTTGTTTTTGAAACATGGTCTTACTCCATCACCCAGGCTGGAGGGCAGTGGCACAATCATAGCTTCCTGTAACCTCAAACTCCTAAGCTCAAGCCATCCTCCCACCGTAGCCTCCCAAGTAGCTAAGACTTCACGCGCATGCCACCATGCCTGGCTAATTCTCTTACTCTTATTATTTTTAGAGATAGGATCTTGCTATGTTGGCCAGGCTGGTCTCAAATGCCTGGCCTCAAGTGATCCTCCAGCCTCTGCCTCCCAAAATGCTGGGATTAGAGGCATGAGCCACCACACCTGGCCTCATTTGCATTTTCAATGCACCTTTTATCCATGCATGATTTTGTAACATTATGTTTTGGTCATTTGAAAAGTATTGGTTCACTGAGTTATGCAAATCTTCTAAAATGTTGGCACATTTTATTCTATAATATTTAAAAATTGACATTTTTGAACATCACCACTGATAGCATCAGAAGAGTTTTTAATTATTAGGAAGCTGTCAAGCTTAGTACCACATGCAAGATCACTACAATTCTGAGTTTTGCTTGAAAGCTATTTTTTCTTTTCTTTTTTCTTTTTTTTTTTTTTTTGACAAGATCTTGCTCTGTTGCCTGGGCTGGAGTGCAGTGGTACAATCATGGCTCACTGCAGCCTTGGCCTCCCAGGCTCAAGTGCTCCTTCCACCTCAGCTGGTGCATGCCACCATGCCTGGCTAATTTTTTTTTTCTTTTTGGAGAGACTGCCCAGGCTGGTCTCAAACTCCTGAGCTCAAGTGCTCCTCCCGCCTCAGCCTCCCTAAGTGCTGGGATTATAGGCATGAGCCACTGCCAAAAGCTCAAATTTTATCATTGGAACAAATATTGCAAGTTGTTACTTTGAAGTAACAATTTTACTTTATTAATGTTCTTGAAGCTGCAAAATACCAAAGTCTGAACAACCAGTTTGTCAGTCATTCTTTCAAACAAAAAGGATATTACATGAATAAAGGGGTTAATTCAGCTCACAACTATAATGATCACACTAATGTTTTCCCTCAAGACAACCACTGTTCTTTGACATATAGCAGAAGTACTTTATAAGTACTTCCTACTTCCCATTTCATGCCACAGAATTTTTAAAAGGTGCTCTTAAGGATCAAAATTTAATAAATTAATAATTTTTATTTTATCAAGAACATCTTGGCTGGGCATGGTGGCTCACACCTGTAATCCCAGCACTTTGGAAGGCCAAGGTAGGTGGATCACCTGAGGCCAGGAGTTCGAGACCAGCCTGGCCAACATGGTGAAACTACTAAAAATACAAAAATTAGCCAGGCGTGGTGGCAGGCACCTGTAATCCTAGTTACTTGGGAAGTTGAGGCAGGAGAATCGCTTGAACCCAGGAGGCAGAGGTTGCAGTGAGCCGAGATCATTGCATTCCAGCCTGGGGGACTGAATTCCCCTCCAAGTGCAGGGCAGTGAGGAATGTAATGCCCACTGGTACAGTTTGGTGCTACTACCGTGATTCCTATCAAGGTGCAAAGAATTTCCCACCATCAGAAGAAATGTCAATGTGATGGTGAAAAAAGGCAAATAAGGCTTAATATCACCATGAACATCATTTTGGTCTTATGGATACCCTGAAAATTATTTGGGGTACGCTCAGGGGTCCATGGACTACACATCGAAAACCTCTGCATAAATGCCTTTCCCCAAAGCCATACATCTATTAAGTAGTAGAACCAGTACTTGAAACTGGGTCACACTGACTCCTAGCCTAATGGTTTCTCTATTGTACCATAGTATGCAAAATGAATGATATAGATATGAAGTATAATAAGAACTAACATTAAGGGCCGGGCATGGTGGCTTACCCCTATAATCCCAGCACTTCAGGAGGCCAAGGTGGGCAGATCACGAGGTCAGGAGATCAAGACCATCCTGGCCAATATGGTGAAACCCTATCTCTACTAAAAATAAAAAATTAGCCAGGTGTGGTGGGCACACATGTAGTCCCAGCTACTCGGAAGGCTGAGGCAGGAGAATTGCTTGAACCCGGGAGGCGGAGGTTGCAGTTAGCCAAGATCACGCCACTGCACTCCAGCCTGGCGACAGAGCGAGACTCTGTCTCAAAAAACAAAACAAAACAAAACAAAACAGCTCACATTAAAACCAAATAATTAAATTTCTACCAGCGGCCTACTTAGAAATGCAATTAGTATTTATCAGCCAGGTATGATCACTTTAAGCTCACCTAGTCCAGATCATAAAGACAGCTTAAACAGATTTGATCAAAACCATGAAGAAATGGGAACTAGCTTGACAATCAAAAGAGATGAGATTGACATCCATTCCATAGACTGAAAATAACATAACTCCTATTACCTTATGTTTGGTTGAAGAGCTTTGATGTGCTTTATATCATAGTCTTAAAACTAGGTGGAACCTAAGAGGTATCTAATCCATTATCTCATCCCATTCAGGAACATGTTTACAGAATCTTGGACGAGTTGAACAAATATGGTGAGAGAAGCAGCTTATTCCTCCCAAGACACTGTAGAACAGCTCAAGTTATTTGAGCTGCCTTCCTGTCCATAGCCATGCTTGCTCTCATTCCCACATAGTTTTATTCCTTTATTCAACCCTCTGGACAATAAGGAATAGGTTTATTTCCTCATTTGTGTCATATTCTAAGTCAGCTACCAAGGTCCCTCATAAACCTTCCCCCCCCTTTTTTTTTTTTTGAGACAGTCTCGCTCTGTTACCCAGGCGGGACTACAGTGGTGTGATTGTGGCTCACCAAAGCCGCAACCTCTCAGGCTCAAGCAATCCTCCCACCTCAGCCTCCCAAGTAGCTGGGACCACAGACGTGTACCACCACATCCCACTAATTATTTTTTATTTTTTGTAGAGACAGGGTCTCCGTATGTTGTCCAGGCTGGTCTTGAACTCCTGGGCTCAAGCAATTCTCCTATGTTGGCCTCTCAAAGTGTTGGGATTATAGGCATGAGTCACCATGCCCAGAGCCCTTTTTCAGTCTTAAAGTTTTCAGTTTCTCAACTTTCCTTTTTGTCTGGACCCATTCTAGGGTCTTTTATTTGTTGGTGGTTTTGTTTTAGAGGCCCAGGTGTGGCCTTTACCCATACTCCGGGCCTTGCTCCCAGTCTCGCCTCCTCCGTGCTGTGGTCCTGGGTCATCCTTCCCTTCTCTACTGATTGAGCCCTTCTTATATTCCAGGCAGTATGCTCTGGTCTGCCATTTAATCCCCAGGACAACGCTGTGAAGTGGGTACCATCAACAGTCCCCCTCTTGTTAAAATTAAGGCATTCAGCTGGGCATGGTGCCTCATGCCTGTAATCCCAGCACTTTGGGAGGCCGAGGTGGGCAGATCACCTGAGGTCAGGAGTTCGAGACCAGCCTGGCCAACATGGTGAAACCCCGTCTCTACTAAAAATACAAAAATTAGCTGGGCGTGGTGCTGCACACCTGTAATCCCAGCTACTCCAGGGGCTGAGGCAGGAGAATCACTTGAACCTGGGAGGTGGAGGTTGCAGTGAGCCGAGAGCATGCCATTGCACTCCAGCCTGGATGACAGAGTGAGACTCAGTCTCTAAAAAAAAATAAATAAAATAAAAAATAAAAATTTAAGGAATTCTAGTTTGAGTGTAGCAGGACGAGCCGCAGACAAAACCCCTTAGACACCGAGTTAAAGAAGGAAGGGCTTTATTTGGCCGGGAGCATCGGCAAGACTCACGTCTCAAAAACCGAGCTCCCTGAGTAAGCAATTCCTGTCCCTCTTAAGGGCTGACAACTCTAAGGGGGTCCGCGTGAAAGGGTCTTGATCGATTGAGCAAGCAAGGGGTATGTGACTGGGGGCTGCATGCACTGGTAATTAGAACAGAACAGAACAGGACAGGGATTTTCACAGTGCTTTTCCACACAATGACTGTAATTTAGAGATAACATAACTGATTAGGTCAGGGGTCGATCTTTAACTACCAGGCCCAGGGTGTGGCGCCGGGCTGTCTGCCTGTGGATTTCATTTCTGTCTTTAAGTTTTTACTTCTTCTTTCTTTGGAGGCAGAAATTGGGCATAAGACAATATGAGGGGTGGTCTCCTCCCTTATGAGGATTTTGGATAATTGTACAGAGCTGTGTATACATTACCTCAACAAACATATAGAACAGTTCCCTCATCCTAAAAGTTTCCTCATGCCTTTTTTTTTTTTGAGACGGTGTCTCACTCTGTCACCCAGGCTGTAGTACAGTGGTGCAATCTCAGCTCACTGCAACCTCCGCCTCTTGGGTTCAAGGGATTCTCCTGCCTCAGCCTCCTGAGTAAGTGGGACTACAGACATGTGCTACCACACCTGGCTAATTTTTGTATTTTTACAAAATACAAAAATTGTTCTATTTTGTATAACAATTATTGGCTAGGCTGGTCTCAAACTCCTGACCTCAGGTGATCAGCCTGCCTTGGCCTCCCAAAGTGCTGGGATTACAGGCATGAGCCACCCAGCCTTCTCATGCCTTTTTGCAGTCACATATGTAATTTTTAAAAATGGTACAATTATATATACATATACACACACATATATATACATATATACACACATATATACGCATATATACACACATATATACACATATATACATATATACACACATATATACACATATATACACACATATATACACACATATATACACATATATATACATATATACACATATATACACATATATACACATATATATACATATATACACATATATACATATATACACACATATATACATATATACACACATATATACATATATACACATATATATACATATATATACACACATATATATATACTTTTTTTTATTTTGAGATGGAGTCTCGCATTGTCACTTGGGCTGGAGTGCAGTGGCACAATCTCTGCTCACTGCAACATCTGCCTCCCAGGTTCAAGTGATTCTCCTGCCTCAGCCTCCCAAGTAGCTGGGATTACAGGCACCTGCCTCCATGCCGGGCTAATTTTGTATTTTTGGTAGAGACAGGGTTTCACTACATTGGCCAGGGTGGTCTCAAACTCCTGACCTCGTGATCCACCTGCCTCAGCCTCCCAAAGTGCTAGGATTACAGACGTGAGCCACCGTGCCCAGCATATATACTATTTTTTAACCTGAGTGTTTCTAAGATGCACTGGGGGAAAAAAGATGCATTGAACATCTCTTTATGGCAATTATATAGTTTTGCAACATAATTTTAATGGCTGTATTCTATCAAATGAATGCTTTATAATTTATTTAACCAATGTCTTACTGTTTTGTACATACATAAACAATGTCCTGCTTCCTCTTCCTGGAATTATTTTCTTATTTCTATTACAGTATCGTAGTTTGCTTTTTTTTAATTTTTCATATCTTTCTGATACTTCTTTGTCTGTTTTGCTAGCTCTGTGTCCTCTTTTTTTTTTTTTTTTTTTTTGAGACAGAGTCTCACTCTGTTGCCCAGGCTGGAGTGTAGTGGCACAATCTCAGCTCACTGCAACCTCTGCCTCCTATGTTCAAGCCATTCTCCTACCTCAGCCTCTCGAGAAGCTGGAATTAACAGGCGCCCGCCACCATGCCTGGATAATTTTTAATAGAAACAGGGTTTCACCATGTTGGCTAGGCTGGTCTTGAACTCCTGACCTCAGATGATCCACCCACCTCAGCGTCCAAAGTGCTGGGATCACAGGCATGAGCCACCACACCTGGCCTCTGTGTCCTCTTTCTACCTTCCCAAGATTCTGTACTTGAATCTTCTTTTTTTTTTTTTACTTTTGAGACAGGGTCTTGCTCTTGCTATGTTGCCCAGGTTGGAGTGCAGTGGCACTATCTCAGCTCACTGCAGCCTAGACCTCCCCAGGCTCAGGTGATCCCCCCACCTCAGCCTCCCAAGTAGCTGGAATTACAGGTATGTGTCACCACACCCGGCTAATTTTTGCAGTTTTTGTAGAGTCGGGGTCTCACCATGTTGCCCAGGCTGGTCTCAAACTCCTGGGCTCAAGCAATCCTCCTACCTTGGTCTCCCAAAATGCTGGGATTACAGGCATGAGCCACCGTGCCCTGCCCAAATCTTCTTATTCTATAATTTCTCTTTAGGTCATCAATTTCTCTCCCGATCCACTATAAACCCTTTGGATCTCATCTCTACTTTTCTTCTCGACACCAGATCCTAATTCCCAACTGTCTACTGGGTATTACATCCACAGGGATGTACTTCTTGCAATTCAAATGCCACATGTCAAAAACTGAACTCCTATTCCCTTTGCAAAATCCCTCTGCTTCTCTCTTTCTCTCTCCTTTTTGCTACCTATTTCAGGTAGGGGAAGTGGTGTCCTTCCAGCCACTCAGGCTAGAAACCTCAAAGTCCTCTTCTGATTGCTGTCCTCACTCATCTCACACATCCAGTCAATAAAGTGCTATTGATTCTCCTCCCAAATGCCTCTCAGCTTGTGCCCTTCCTTTCCATTCCCACCGTGACTATCCCAGCTTTTGAGGTCCCATGACTCTTCACCAGAGTGGTAACAATAGCTTCCCAACATCTCCCAGCCCCCATCCCCCCGCTACTCTGCTCTGTTGCCATGAGAGTTAACTTTGCGAAACAGAGAGATTATTTTCCTCTCCTGCTTGAAAATATCTGATGACTTCTTATCACTTACAGAAGCAAGTCTAAACTTTCCACTGTCTCCTCCCACTCTCCCACCACACACCACCTTCCTGCGCCGGTTGCGTCAGCCTCGAACGTTCCTGAACGCTTTGCTGTTCCTGTGCTTTTACTCACGTTCTCCCCAGTGACTGCCCAATCTTTAGTGTGTTTTGCTGACTCCTGGCGCTCTGGCTTTTCCATAAGAGGCGTTTTTGCACGATTGCAGACAGGAATAAAAATGAGCTCTGCCTACTGGGCCGTCCTGGTTAGCAAGGTCTACACCACCTCAAAGGCAGCTATGGACTAAGAGCCCACAAAGAATCTCGGGTTATGAGGGAGGGGCTGGCCGTGGAGACGGCTAAAGCGCCTCATTTGTCTTCCCAGCAGGGAAGCGATGGGACCTCGGCGGGCAGGGAACGCGATCTCCACCCGTCTGGAAAACTCTCTGAGTTCTGGAGCACTGTTCGCGGCCGGACTGAGTGGCATGTCCGCATTTTCCCCATTCCAGGGTAGGGCAGACTGAGGTAGGAGAGCAGAGCCCCGAGGCCGACTCCCCGGGAAAAAAAAAAAAAGGAAAAAAGGCTCCCGCCGACCTGTGATTCACAGGAGCAAGAGGCTGGAAGGACCGCGCCTCCTGATTGGAGCAGACAGAATCAGACAAGCTTGGGGGCCGCTGATTGGCTCCGGCGTGGTCAGGCGCTGGTGGGCTGTTGTAGGTGTAAATAGCTCTTGAAGGCCCGGGTCTGTGACCGGCAGTAACCCCGGCGAGAGTGGGTGGAGAGGGAGGCGCTTCCTCTCCATTCATGTCAGCTGCCAGCCAGGCCCGGGCAGGCCGGCCCTTTAGCGGAGGGGACTGGGCAGGACGAGGCGATGGGTGTCTTCGGAGATCTTAAGCTGGGCTGAAAGTTAAACACTCACCCGCAGGGCTGAGCCAGAGCTGGCACCTTCCACACCGAGCCCCTTCCTATCTGTGACTGTTGAAAAGTTTAATGTGATGTTCTGGGTGAGGACCGAGGCGTTGGAGGTCGCTAGGAGGGTAGTTTTACGGAGTCGCGTTAATGGCTGTAGTGGGTGTACCTTAGTGACCACAGGGAGGTGGCAGCCTGTCCTCTCCTCCTCCTGGTCACCGTATTCTATTTGCGGAAAAGGTAAGAATGGAGGCTTGGATAGTCTTTCTACTAGAGATGCAACTTCTCCCACCCTCTACTCCAGGGGAAAGAGAAGTCTGTGGGGAACTGGCTTTGTAAAAAGTAGGAAAGAGGAAAGGGACAAATGGGTACACGTTAAGAAGAGGGTGACTCTCATACATTGCTGGAGAAAATTTAAAGTGGTGCAGCCACTGGGGAAACAGTTTGATGGTGCCACAAAAGGTTAAATATCAAATTAGCATCTGGCCCAGCAACTCCACTCCTAGATATAAACCCTAATAAATTATAAACGGGTACTCATATTTGCACTCAAATGTTCATGGCAGTGCTATTCACAATAACCAAAAGGTGGAAGCAACTCCAGTGTTCATCAATTGATAAATCAGTAAACCAACTGTGGTGTATTCATACAATGGAATATGAATAGGTAATAAACAGGAATGAAGTACTGATATATGCTCCAATGGGGATGAACATTGAAAGATTATGCCAAGAGAAGGAAGCCAGACACAGAAGGTCATATATTGTACGATTCCATGTATAGGAAATATCCTGAAGTGGTAAATCCACAGAGACAGAAAGCAGACTGATGGTCACCAGGGGCCGAGTGTGGGTGGGAAGATGGGGAATCACTGTTGAATGGGTTCAAGTTTTCTTTTGGGGTGAAAATGTTTTAGAACAAAAGGTAGTGTTTGCACAATGTTATGAATGCACTAAGTGCCACAGAACTGGTCAATTTAAAATGGTTAGTTCGGCCTGGCACGGTGGCTCACACCTGTAATCCCAGCACTTTGAGAGGGTGGGGCGGGCGGATCACCTGAGGTCAGGAGTTTGAGACTAGCCTGGCCAACGTGGTGAAACCCCATCTCTCCTAAAAAAAAAAAAAAAAAGAAAGAAAGAAAGAAAAAAAAAGATGGGCATGGTGGCAGGTGCCTGTAATCCCAGCTACTCAGGAGGCTGAAGCAGGAGAATCGTTTGAACCCGGGAGGCGAAGGTTGCAGTGATCCGAGATCATCCCATTGCACTCCAGCCTGGGCGACAAGAGCAAAACTCTGTCTCAAAATAAATAAATAAAATAAAATGGTTAGTTTAGCCGGGCACGGTGGCTCACACCTGTCATCCCAGCACTTTGGGAGGCCAAGGGAGGAGGATCACTTGAGCCCAGGAGTTTGAGACCAGCCTGGGCAATATAGTGAGACCCCTATCTCAATAAATAAAGTGGTTAGTTTTATATTGTGTGAATTGTCTCTCAATTAAAATGTATCTCTCTCTCTCTCTCTCTCTCTCTCTCTCTCGCAAACAAACTGACAGACTAAAAGGTGAGTCCTTCCTGCTGTCCATAATTCTCTAAGAAAGAAATAAGAAACAGCAATTCTGAGTCCTCTGCTGCCTTTCACTTCCACTTTCCTCTCTGTTTTTTGAAGTCTGGCATGGTCCTGGTTACTGACTGCTCCCCATGGAAAATGGCCAGGAGGGAGAGGGCCCCTTCCGCCCCTCTGAGAAGGTCCTCGCCTGGGCCCAGAACCACTGTGAGTCAGCCCGGCATACACACACTGAGCCTTTGTGAGCGCTCTGTGGCCAGGGTGTAGCTGGCTGGGCGGGACCGCGTGGGGGAAGGGCAGGTCCGGGTCCTGAAAGTGGGAAGGCTTCTGCCTCCAGCAACCCCAGTATGGAATCTCAACTCCTTGGAGCCTGCAATTAGGGCCTGTGGCATTTGTTCCAAAGTCAGTGTACAAGAATCAGCGCTTTGCCTGCAGCACGGAAAGTTAACTACAGGTCACAAAATATGACTCCTACTCCCTGTGACATTTCACACAGTTTGTAGCAGTGACAGAATTTAGAGCAAGACATGAGCTCATTCTGTCATTTCCAGTGCTGACTGTTTAGGGGCAGGGAGACATTTCTGAAAGAGGAAGATGCTTTTGAGGAGCTCACAATCTTATAGGAGGGTGAAGTGTAGTTTAGGAAAAGTAGACAGGAAATGTTGGGTACGTATCTATGGTTTGAGAGGAAAGCTTAAAACCCAGGTGTGACTGAATGTTAAGACGGGTCAGGAGGTGGAGTGAGCTGGGTTCTTCCGGAACAGTGGATGCATCTGCTGTTTGTGCAAAACTTAAGCTCCCTGCCACTGCCACCCAGGGAGGAGGGTCACATCACCAGGCTTTGCCTCTGAGTATAACTGAATATTGCCAGGCATACAGTTGGACATATGACAGATTACGACATATCTAGTTTGTCATCTGCTCCACACCCAGTAGAGCCAGTAGTTAAGACCATAGGTCTGGAACCAGATCATAGCAACATTACACATTTTCTCACAGCTTTTTCTCCAAGTGAACTCAGTTACCTCATCAGTAAAATCCAGGTAACAATAACACCTGCTTCGGATGTGGTGCGATAACACACTGCCAAGCATTCAGTACAGTGCCCAGCTCTAGTAAATATTGTTATTGTTATTATGATTGTATCCACAAGTCTGATGGACTCAGAACTTTAATTTCCCACTCAAAAGGAAGTTAGGTCTGTGTTTATGCAGTTGCCTAAACCCCTTTAACTAAATGTAGAACATGGTATCTCGATTTTTCCAAGTAACTTGGTACAGCCAAATTGTCATATTATACTCCAGTTTATAGCAGCTTGCCTTTTCTCATGTGGCTAGTCTTTGTCCCTTTGAAGTTTGAGACTAGAGACTACATCACTGCATAATTAAGAGAACATGGACTGGGTGTGGTGTCTCATGCCTGTAATCCCAGCACTTTGGGAGGCCGAAGTGGGCAGATCACTTGACGTTAGGAGCTCGAGACCACCCTGGCCAACATGGTGAAACCCCATCTCTACTAAAAATACAAAAATTAGCCAGGCATAGTGGCAGATGCCTATAATCTCAGCTACTTGGGAGGCTGAGGCAGGAGACTCGCTTGAACCCGGGAGGCAGAGGTTGCAGTGAGCAGAGAACGTGCCACTGCACTCCAGCCTGGACAACAGAGTGAGACTCTATCTCAAAAAAAAAAAAAAAGAGAGAGAGAGAGAATATGGAGCACTTCCTTTAATCAAAAAATTTATTTTCATCAGTACTTAATATATTTGGGTTTGTGTCTCAGCTACAACTAGTGGTAAAACATTAAGAGGGTTTTTTAAAATATAATTTTTTATCAAGATATAATTTATATACCATAAAATTACTCTTTTAGTGTATGATGCAGACATTTTTAGTATATTCACAGAGACATGCAACCCTTACCAAAATCTACCTAAAGAACATTTTCATCACTCCCCACAGAACCCATGCACATTGGCAACCCTTCCCCCAGTCTCTAGCAACCACAGATCAACTTTCTGTCTCTAGATGTCCCATTCTGGACATTTCATAATAAATGAAATCATACGATATATAGTTTTTTGTGTCTGACTTCTTTGCCTTCTTTGACTTTGAATAACATTTTCAAGGTCCATCCCTATTGTATCATGTATCAGTACTTCATTCTTTTTTATGGCTAAATAATACTCCATTATATGAATATCCCACATTGTGTTTATTCATCTGTTGATGGGAGTTTGTGTTGTTTCCACTTTTTGGCTATTATATAATGCAGCTATGAACATTCATGTGCACGTTTTTGTGTGGACATATGTTTTCAATTCTCTTGCCTATATACCTAGAAGTAGAATTGCTGGGTCATATGGTAACTGTGTTTTTAACCTTTTGAGGAACTGCTATACTGTTTTCCAACGCAAATGCACAATTTTAGATTCCCATCAGCAATGCATGAGGGTCCAAATTTCACCACAGCCTCACCAACACTTATTAACTTTTTAAAAATTACAGGGCTAGGGTGTGGTGGCTCACACCTGTAATCCCAGCACTTTGGGAGGCCAAGGCAGGAGAATTGCTTGAGCCAGGAAAGACCAGCCTGGGCAACATAGTGAGACCCTATCTCTTAAAAAAAAAAAAAAATTATAGGCATCCTAGTAGGTATGAAGTAGTATCTCATTGTGTTTTTTAAAAAAAAATGTTTTAAATGTTCAGCTCCTATCTGTACCAGATCATTGTGGTCCTAAAGTAGTTTCTTGATGACTAATAATGTTGAGCATTTTTCATGTGCTTCTGGTCATTTGTGTATATTTTTTTGAAAAATGTCCATTCATATATCAACTACTTGGGAGGCTGAGGCAGGAGGATCACTTGAGCCTGGGAAATCAGGGCTGCAGTGAGCTATAATTATGCCACTGCACTCCAGCCTGGGTGAGACCCTGTCTCAAGAAAAAAAAAAAGTTTTTAATTTTGATAAAGTTCAATTTATTTTTTTTTATTTTTTTATTTTTTTAGACAGAGTTTCACTCTTGTTGCCCAGGCTGTAGTGCAATGGTGTGATCTCAGTTCACTGCAACCTCTGCCTCCCGGGTTCAAGCAATTCTCCTGCCTCAGCCTCCTGAGCAGCTGGGATTACAGGCATGTACCACCATGCCCTGCTAATTTTGTATTTTTAGTAGAGACGGATTTCTCCACATTGGTCAGGCTGGTCTCGAACTCCTGACCTTAAGTGATCCACCTGCCTTTGCCTCCCAAAGTGCTGGGATTACAGTGTGAGCCACCATGCCCGGCCTATTTTTAAAAGTTTTGTTGTTTGTGCCTTTGCCATCGTATCTAAGAAATTATTGTCTAATCCAAGGTGGTGAAGATTTACACCTATGTTTTCTCCTAAGAGTTTTATAGTTTTTGTTGATCCATTTTGAGTTAATACTTATACATGGTGTGAGGTAGTGGACCAACATTCTTTTGCATGTGGATATCCAATTGTCCCAGCAACATTTGTTGAAAAAACTATTCTTTCTTCATAGAATTGTCTAAGCATCTTTGTCAAAAATCAATTGGCCATAGATGTATGGGTTTATTTCTATACTTTCATGTCATTGATCTATATGTCTGTCTTTATGCCAGTACCACACTGTCTGCGTTACTGACCCTTTGAAGTAATTTTGAAATCAGGAAATGTAAGTCCTTCAACTTTGTGCTTTTTTGCATCATTTGTTTTTGGCTATTCTGGGTCCCTTGAATTAGAATGGATTTTAGCATCAGCTTGTCAATTTCTCTAAAAAAAAAAAAGGAGCTGGAATTTAATAAGGATTGCCTTGAATCTGTAGATCAATTTGGGGAGTATGACCTCCTTAACAATATTGTCTTTTAATCCATGAACATGGGATTTCTTTTTATTTATTTAGCAGGCCTTCTTTAATTTCTTTCAACAGCATTTTGTAGTTTTCAATGTAACAAACTTATGTACTTTTTTTGTTAAACGTATTCCTATTTGTTTTATTCTTTCTGGTGTTGTTATAAGTGGAATTCTTTAATTTCATTTTCAAATTATTGATTGCCAGTTTAGAAATACACTTGATTTTTTGCATATTGATATTATTATATCCTGCAACCTTGCTGAGCTCATTTATTAGCTTTAATATGTGTATGTGTGTGTATTCTCTAGGATTTTCTGTATACAAAGTCATGTCATCTGCAAATAGAGATAGTTCTTCCTTTCCAATCTAGATGCCTCTTCCTTTTCTATCCTGGCAGACATCTTTAGGAACTATCTTGGTTCTTCTAGGGAAACGTGAAAAAACTGGTGGCCATTTGGGCATTGGGAATTTCATTTCTATGCTGTTCTCCATTATTACCTTAATCTATTTTTTGTCCTTTTGCCCCACGGTTAATCTTGATTCCTAAACAGAACCTTAACTTCCTTATACCTTCCCATATGAAACATATCAAAATCAGGGTTCATTACTTTGTCCCCCTAAGAGCTCTTACTCTACAAATCACCCTTTCAGGTAAGCTCATCACATGTTCCTTCTCTGTCTTGAATTCAGTTGACCATGTTGATCAACTCTTTTCCACCTCTCTGATATATCTTTTTTCTTCTTCCTCTTTGGAACTTTTGCAGCTAATAATAAGAAAACAGCCCCAGATGAAATAACAGATATGCAAAATACAGATTCCTGGAGGAAGCATGGAGGTGTGTTTAATCAGAGGGAGCTCAGCCAATTGTGAAATAAGAGGAAATAAGAAAGTAGCAAAGGCCACATGTGGTGGTGTGCACCTGTAGTCCCAGTTACTTGGGAGGTTGAGGCAGGAGGATCGCTTGATCCCAGTAGTTCAATGCTGCAGTGAGCCATGATTGCACCACTGCACTCCAGCCTGGGTGACAGAACAGGACACTGTCTGAAACAAAAGACAAAAACGAAACAGAAAGCAGCAAAGAGAACAGTGAGGATAAATTGTATAAATTGAGGCTGGGTGCAGTGGCTCACATCTATAATCCCAGCAGTTTGGGAGGCCGAGGTGGGTGAATCACCTGAGGTCAGGAGTTCGAGACCAGCCTGGCCAACTTGGCAAAACCCCGTCTCTACTAAAAATACAAAAATTAGCTGGGTGTGGTGGCGGGCACCTGTAATCTCAGCTACTCGGGAGGCTGAGGCACAAGACTCGCTTGAACACAGGAGGCAGAGGTTGCAGTGGGGTGAGATCGCACCACTGCACTCCAGGCTGGGTGACAGAGGGGGACTCCGTCTCAAAAATTAAAATAAATAAATACATAAATATATTGGATCCTAGTTAATGGGAGACAAAGTAGAGACTTGGAAGAAACTGTGCAGTTACAGAATGGCTGAAAAAATATTCTGGCTTGAATATGTTAAGAAAAAGAGGGATAGGGACTCATGGCAGAAAACCGGATATTGATGAAAATGTCACCATTAAGGTCTAGCAAGGCCTCCATGTACATAGACTTTTGAGTTTGGATACTCTGAATTACTCTGAGGGACTCGTGCTTCTTGTCCAAGGTGAGGGCAACCTTAGATTAGAAAGCAAGGTGAGCTGGAGAACTGGCTCTGGGGAGCTCTTAGAAACCCAGGTATTGCTCAAGATGGCTCCTGATGGAATATGGAGCTTCTTCAAACTGTAAAAGAGTCTGCCCTTCTTTTTTCCATAAAAGGATTATCAGATAAAATATAGTAAAAGCTAGGCTGGGTGTGGTGGCTCATGCCTGTAATCCGAGCACTTTGGGAGGATCGCTTGAGCCCAGGAGTTTGAGACCACCCTGACCAACATAGTGAGACCGGCCTCTTCAAAAATAAAACTAAAAAAAATTAGCCAGGCGTGATGATGCATGCCTGTAGTCTCAGCTACTCGGAGGCTGAGGCAGAAGGATCACTTATGCCCAGGAGTTTGAGGCTACAGTGAGCTGCAATCACACCACTGCACTCCAGCCTGGGCAACAGAGGAAGACCCGGTTTCAAGAAAAATAATTTTAAAAGTATTAAAAGCTAAAAGGAAAAACCAAAAACCAAAACCGTTTCCACTTTGTGCACCTGTGAGCATGAAGCCCTCTGCTCCAGGAACATACAAGCCGTTCCTTGGATTGGTTTTCCTTTCTTCCTTCTGCTGTGCATATCAGCATTCTCAAGAAGCCATTTTATTCCCTAGAGGTGACTACTTTTCAGAAACAGGAAAAAGCTGGACTGCCCAGCCTGGGTTGCAAGGTAAAGAACTGCTTTTGGCTGGGCGCAGTGGCTCACACCTGTAATCCCAGCACTTTGGGAGGCCGAGGCAGGTGGATCATCTGAGGTCAGGAGTTCGAGACCAGCCTGACCAACATGGTGAAACCCCATCTCTACTAAAAATACATAATTAGCCGGACATGGTGACATGTGCCTGTAATCCCAGCTACTTGGGAGGCTGAGTCAGGAGAATGCTTGAATCCAAGAGGCAGAATTTGCAGTGAGCCCAGATCACACCATTGCACTCCAGCCTGGGCAAGAGCAAAAAACTGCTTTCCCAGGGAGCGCTTCTCCTGCTGGTCTTTTCCTCTCCCAGTGTCTTTATCTTAGGTCTATGTGACCGACCACGTGACACACCCGAGAACCCTGGCACTTCCCCAGGGCCAAGTTGCCAGCTGGTGTTAATGTGTTTGATTTAATGGCAGCAGACTCCTGGCTTCCTGCGTCCCAGAGTTTAACCTAAAGTTACCTTTAGGACAGCAGGGCAGGTTAATGGGGTATGAGTCAACCATTGTAACTTCTACTTCTTTTATACTCTTAAAGGTACAGACATAGATATGAGCCAGAGACAAATCCCAAGACTTTGAATCACAGCCAAAAGAAACTCCCAGACCCAGTGCAATCAGATTCACTTCACTTTTATTATGAACAAACACAATCTCAGATTAGTACAATTAGCTTCAGAGTTGATATTAATAGAAATTATTCCAAAATTATTCTTGTCACAAGTAACTACTATATCCCACATAAAAAGGGAAAAAATCCCACCCAATCACAGAAAAGGCATCCTCTGTATGTTTCCGTGGCAATGCGTTGTTTATGTATTCTCAAATTTTGTCTGGCTAGTTATCCACCGCTTCTCCAATGGATTCATTCAGTTTCTTGGAGAACCATATAGACTAATGACAGCATCTGGGACACACGGACGTATCAAGTTCATGGTGGACATTCCTATTATAAAAAATACTCAGGTCTTGAGAATTCCTGTGCTGAAGGATCCCAAAATGCTTTCTAAAAAGCATTAGTCATGCCTCAAAACTGCCCTTTGAGGTAGGTCAGTATTATTATCCCCATTTTAACAGAAGGAAAACTGAGGCACCTTATAGTTAAGTGACTTGCCCAGGGTCACACAGCAAGTCAGTGGCACAGTGGTTGGAGAGGCCCTGGCCTTAACCACCAGCATAACATGGCCACCTCGCTTTTTTAACCTTTCATGATGACCTATTTGAGCTACACTTACAGAGAATACACCCAAGATACTAGCAAACCAAGGAGAAAATTTTCCATTTTAAATGCTACAACCATCTTTTAACCCAAAAAAAAAAAAAAAACTTATAAATCAAATACATTCAAATTATTTCCACCCTCCATCAAATGTGGGCACTTAAGAAAAGCAGCCCTAACAAAAGTTTCCAGAATGAAGCCCAGAAGGGAATCCTGCAAATCGTGATACTGATAATCCTCCACTCAGGCCCCTTTTTCTACCAGCCACTTCAGTAGGGTCTCAGGTGCAAAGGGATTCTGCAGAGGGAGTGAGGGCAGGCTCATATGCAACACTGTGATTAGAAAAGATGTAAGGCACCTGAGCTAAGTTGTCAGCACACCCCCCAAAGCAAGGACTGTTAGAAATCCGGACTCTTGATCAGATCTGAGTTTATCATTAATGTGTCACTTGAATTGAGCTTTAGAATCTTGAAAATCGTGTTCCTTACTCAGCAGACACACTCCCACCCACACCCACAGCCACACATACATTGGGGCCCTCAGCCTGAGGTGCCATCCAGCCTTATGTAGGGTCATGGTACAGATCAGATCCATGGCACACGATTACAATAGGAAGAAGTGAAAGTTGTTTTTATTGTTTATATATTATCAAGCAGGCATCTGATGACCTGTGGAATTAGAAATACCAGCAGACATTTCCAAGGGGTAGGTGCACAGGTCAACAGAACTAAACTACAGTGATCTTCCCTTAGATCCTTTTCTACTGAGGTGAATAGCTCAAAAGACAAGGATGCCTTTAGTCCAGGCTAACCCCTGTAGCCTCTACGCAATTAACACAGAAGAAAGGCCTTCCTCCCTTCCAGCACTGGGGCTCAACAGTGGACTGAGTGTTTGGTAGTGTACATTTCCAATCTTAATAGAGCAAAGCCAGACTTCTGCTTTGATGACTGAGCTACAGGGACAGGAGTGGTCCAAGGTTCTCAAATTCTGTTTTTGTTTTTTTCCAGACTTCTATACTATTGTCTGCCCTAGGCTGTAGGGAATGCTGGTTAGTTTGCTGAACAGACACTGTGTTCAGCAGGGTTTGTGGTATCTCAAATCCCAGGTCTCAGCCAAAGCTTTGCAGTTCACCCTGACTCCAGGGAACAGGGCCTCCTTTCGAGGTGAGGCACTTGGGTTCTTGCCCTTGCTTCTTCCCAGTGAGAACTGTTTCCTCCTACTTCTACAAGCATTGCACTGCCAGCTGAGAGCACTGACTCAGGCGGGGCACCCTCACCAAGTAAGCAGGGGGCATTCAGCATGCCCTCTGGTTCTGACCCAGAGAGAGGGGACTGAAAATAAACCCTCTTTTGCTCTGTGGCTGGCCCACTGGCTCAACATGAGCGCTTGGCTTGGCTGTGCCTCATGAGAGAGGGAGGGAGAGAGAGGCTTTCTGGGCCAGAGATGTTTCTGGGAGGGTTTGCCAGCCTTGTCTTGAGCCATCAGTGTGGCAGGGGAGCACAGGGGTGTAGGTGGAGACACTGCGGAGGCCACGTGAAAGTGGCAGCTAGCTCTACTTTCAAAAGAGAAGCAGTGGTTCAGTGACCCTGAGCATTCTGTGTGCAGGAGGGAGCTGCCTGGACAGCAAGTCATCACTGCCTCTGAATACACACAAAGGAGGCTGCCTGTCCAGGGAAAGAAGAAAACGTTCAGGGAAGAGAAAGATCTGGTCAAAGAAAAGGGACAGACAGGGTAGAGCCAGGAATCAAGAATCAGGGTAGTGAAGAGATTCCTAACCCTGCCCCCCAGGCAGTTGTATACTTTAGGCTAGATGTTAACAGAGACCCCCTTCTCCTCAAAAAAAAATGAGTGAAGGGGCACAACACTGTGGAGAGAAGCCTTCTAGTTTTTACTCATTTCAAGGAGAAACTGGAACTAATTAATGAATGGACCTAATATCTAGTTTATTTTATTAAGACTCCCAATAACTCACTCAGTAACCTTCTCAAGCCCCTGGCAACGTGTTCTCAGATCCCTTCCTATGTGAAGTTCGCTCTTAGAAGCTGCCTATAGATCCTGTCCCTCAGCCTCTCCATCTCATGTCCAGCAGTGGAGAGGAAATTGGCATCCCAACTAATTCCTCCTCTCCTTCAGAGTTTTTTCCAAACATCCCTCTTTGGAAGGGAAATACTCTAATAGTTTAACGTTCTAAGCAATGTATATATGTATATATATTTTATTTTTGACCCGACTTCACCTCCTTAAATCCTTCCCTTTTTTTGGATGTTTGGAAATGCCACAGCCATCTTATTACTATGAGGGGAAGAACCAATATCCTGAAGATGGCAGAGCAGAAAGAGGAAAGAACTGTAATGAGCAGCTCATGGAATACTCAAAATTCTATGAGCTGCTGTTTTTACCAATTCTGGAAACACCCAACTTCAAGACTTCTTGATATATGAACTAAGAAATCTCCTTGTTATTAAAGAAAAAAAGAAAAGAAAACCCTTCCCCAGCAGAGACCACTTTTACTACAAACTTAAAATGTCTTTTCTTTATCCTCGGCCTCAACTATATGTTGCGGCATTGAATTAGCATTGCCAAACACCGCAGCCACTTTTTACCCCGAGCCAGGAGAGAAAGGAAGCATGCTATGTGGTGGGGCTTGAAGTCCTCATTAGGTAGGCAGCTGTATGTCTGATCATGGCGAGAGGTTCCTCTTGCTTCGCTTCCCTCATCCTTACATTCATACATGCTAACTCTCTCCCCCGACAATTTACCTGCTTTAGAAGCTTTGTGTCAAATGAAGTTGCTTTTCCATTCCATCTAGCAAAAGCCTGGGCTGAAGATAATCAACAGGGGACTACCCAGAAGATTCTGTTTTATCTCTAGCTCAAGCCACCTACTTCAAAGCTCACAACAGCTCAAGGAAAGAGAGTTATCTGGAGCAAAGACCATTCGTTTTAGGCTACAGAAAGGTTGTCTAGGCTTTGGAAGCTGGACACTGAGCAAAGACTGACCAGCTGCTTGCCTGGGAGGCAATAAGGGAAAGGAGGGCGATAGCAATAAAGTGAAAAGGAGGACAATGGGCCTAGAAGAGAGAGAGGATAAGAGAAGAAATAATATCAGCTTAGCATCATAAAGGCAGAGTTGTTGGCTTTCAATACTTTTGAATTTTAAAAGAATACTGTACTGGAATGGGTTAACATCATCATCTTTAGCATCCTGGTAGCATTATTCAGTAGTTAATAAACAGACATTAAAACCTCTGCCTGGCTGGTTTTTGAAAAAGGAACCTGAGGGACCCCAAACTCAGCCACTCTTGTAGTTTCCATCTCCGGTTCTTTTAATCCTGGCCAAGATGGCGGCCTTGGAGACTTTCTTCCGGTCATAGGCCAGACCGAGGGCGGCCATGCAATCAATGAAGAATGTGGTGAAGTTGATGTGCCAGCGGTACTCACTGGCAGAGTAGTCATAGGGAAAGGAGTGGTGGTAGTTGTGGAAGCCCTCACCTGAAACAAAAGCGAGAAGTTATGGAGTGACGGTGCATTGAGGTTTTCTTGATTTGTGCACACCAGTTAGCTAGCAGGGTACCTCACACCTGGGAGAAACTCGCTATTGTTGAATGGATGAATTCAGTCTCTTTTAATATGAACCAAACAGATCCCCTCAGAGGCATCTTTACTTTTATTATTTTACTTTTTTTGTAGAGACGGGGTCTTGCCATGTTGCAAGCAACCCTCCCACGTTGACCACCCAAAGTGCTAGGATTACAGTCATGAGTCACTGCGCCCAGCCAGTCAAAGGCATCTTAAGGAGTGATTGGAGACCCTGGTCACCCGTGGCTGTCTGGGAGCCTTGTGGGAGGAGAACTGACAGTTTCTCAGAGGATAAAATGACTAGAGAGAAGCTCCTACTTTTGGGAATGGGTATCAGGTTGGAAAATTCCAAATTCACTCTTGGCCCTGCCCTCAAGGCTCTGTGTGCATGTGCATGTGCACGTCCTTGCAGAATGAAGCACTCTGGCTATGACTCTTAAAAAAATGAGTAAAGAAGCACACCTTTCCCCACCACACTGGAACCACCTCTAGGGGTGGGAGGTTCCAAAAGAGTGGGCCCTGCAGCCAAAGATCAGAAGAAAGGCCAGCCCAGGGGCTGGAATGTCCTCAGCCACTGCAGTTCCCAGGGGCTGCTCCAACTTTTTTGAGCTTTGACCCTGGTGTGGGGGAGGTGCTGATAAAACAGAAGCTCTCTGAGGAAGAAAAATACCCTGTAACCTCTGAGATTTTGAGGACTCTTGGGATGAACATTTCACTTTGCTGGAGGGAGGAAAACAAACAAATTCTGGATTCACAGCAATTTCTCTAACGTGTAAAGCTTTGGAAACTCGACAGATAGAGAGTTTGCCAACGCTTGGCAGGACTCTTCTTTCTGAACCACAGCCAAAAATAATACTGACCCTAATCAGGCATGGATAAAGAATAGCTACTAAGAGCTAATATTTGGCTCTTTGTAGATAACAGTACCCTCAGACAGACCAGTCATGACATTAATCAGAAGCAAGGCAAGGAAGTCCTGCAAAGTAAATGACATCATCTAGGGCATTTCAAGGTATGTCCTCTCTCTGTGACACCTGATGATCTGCAGTGTGAACTGGGGAGGAGGGGGGTAGAATGCCAGGAATAAAGGTACTGAGGATTATTAATGTCCATTAATGGTTTTGCAGCTGGGCTGTGTGTAAGCACTAGCCAGGCCTTTGGTTACCAGATTTAAAATGGAATCAGATGCACACAGAGACAAGGGAGGAAAAAAAAAGAAGAGGGTCAACGGGTAGAAAGAAGACAGGACTTTGCAACTGGGGCAGCAAGAGACAGCCCAAGAAAGGCTCAAGGGAGAAGGTTAATTTGGCAGAGAAGATGAGCATGTGACAGTGGGGGAGGTAATTCAAGAAACAAAAAGATTAGGGTGGCAGGAAACAGAGCTGGAGGAGAACAAAGGGTGAGGTGATAAGGGAGGAAAGCAGCAGGCAAGGAGGAGTGAATGATAACAACAACAGGTCAGATATTGGCAGCCACTTTGAACTCATGGCCACCCAGAGGCTGGAGGTGGGGAAGGTCATTATAGATCCATTTGCGATACAGGAAACATCTCATGCCAGAAACTCCATTCCTATGATAATCTCAGATTTATACAGTGTATATGATTTATTTTAATCATGGGTTAAAGTAAGAATAGGCACAATGGTAAGAAGGTGCCTGAAAAGAGATATGTGAAAGTTAAAAAGAGAGAAAAAAAATGCTTTTATTTTTATTATATATTTTTGAGATGGAGTCTCTGTCACCCAGGCTGGAGTGCAGTGGCACAATCTCGGCTCATTGCAACCTCTGCCTCCCGGGTTCAAGCGATTCTTCTGCCTCAGCCTCCTGAGTAGCTGGGACTACAGGCACGTGCCACCATGCCTGGCTAAGTTTTTTGTACTTTTTTTTTTTTTTTTTTTTAAGTAGAGACAGAGGTTCACCATATTGGCCTGGCTGATCTCTAACTCCTGACCTCAAGTGAACCACCCACTTTGGCTTCCCAAAGTGCTGGGATTACAGGTGTGAGCCACCACGCCTAGACAAATAAATCTTTTTTTTTTTTTTTTTTTGAGACGGAGTCTCGCTCTGTCGCCCAGGCCGGACTGCGGACTGCAGTGGCGGAATCTCGGCTCACTGCAAGCTCCGCTTCCCGGGTTCACGCCATTCTCCTGCCTCAGCCTCCCAAGTAGCTGGGACTACAGGCGCCCGCCACTGCGCCTGGCTAATTTTTTTGTATTTTTAGTAGAGACGGGGTTTCACCTTGTTAGCCAGGATGGTCTCGATCTCCTGACCTCATGATCCACCCGCCTCGGCCTCCCAAAGTGCTGGGATTACAGGCAATAAATCCTTTTAATAAACATAGTAGGCCAGGCGCAGTGGCTCACGGCTATTATAATTCCAGCACTTTGGGAGGCCAAGGCAGGAAGATCACTTGAGCTCAGGAGTTCGAGACCAGCCTGTGCAACATGGCAAAACCATGTCTCTACAAAAAAATAGAAAAATTAGCCAAGCATGGTGGCATGCACCTGTAATCCCAGTTACTTGGGAGGCTGAACCCCGAGGATCGCTTGAGCCCAGGAGGTCATAGCTGCAGTGAGCTGTGATCACACCACTGCACTGAAACCTGGGCAACAGAGTGAGACTGTCTCAACAACAATTTAAAAGATAATAAAGATGGTTAAGGTTGAGAATATAAAGGAAGATTTTTAAAGAGAAAAAGAAAATGAGTGTTAGGCAATGACCTGCCTAAATGTGTGGAGTAGTGTGGTTGTCTAGATATTATTGAATGACCAATAGCACCAATTACTGGAAAGAAGAGGTCGCCAGATCTATTTAAGGAAAATTCATTCAGGGCCTTGGTGAAAGTCTATATTCAGTTGGAAAGAGGGACAGAGAAAAAAATGTAGATACTTTGGGAGGCTGAGGCAGGAGGATCACTTCAGCCCAGGGTTCAAGACCAGCCTGGGCACCATGGTGAGACCCTGTCTCATTAGAAAAGAAAGGAAAAGAAAAGAAAAGAAAGAAAATGAAAGGAAAGAAAAGAGAAAAGATAAGATCAACATTAGAGAATTGAGCAGGAACTTGTGATCACACTGCTTTATTGGGAGATTCCTGAAGGCATGTTGGGGGAAGGGATGTTCCTAGCCCAGAATAGAAGTAGAAGAGAGAAAAATAGAGGACAAGAGGAGACAAGAGGGTAGGTGGTAGTAAAGGGCCACCAGCAGTTATTTTGATGCCCTTCATAATGGCATCACCAAACAGTAAGGCACGGCACACTCTTAAAGCAAGGCATATCTGAGTAGAGTGGAAAGATAAAAAATACTTTGTGTGCATACTTGAAGTTCATAAAACACCAGGCTTACTGGCCACTCAGATGATCCCATTGTTCTATTTATGCATTCCTTGCCTCAAGCAAGACTGCAGTCCAGCCCAGAGTTGATGAAAGAAAGGAAAACTCTAAGGTGCTCATCATGTATGGCATTTGGTTTTCTTTTTTGTTTGTTTGTTTTGCTTTTTAATAGAAACAGGGTTTCACCGTGTTGGCCAGACTGGTCTCAAACTCCTGACCTCAGGTGACCTGCCCGCCTCAGCCTCCCAAAGTGCTGGGATTACAGGCATGAGCCGCCGGGCCCGGAGCATACATGGCATTTGGAAATTGTTTTAGAACCTGGAATCAAAATCAGTGTTTTTTTGTGTTTTGTTTCTTATCCTTTCATTTTTACATAAAACATGTTGCCTGACTCTCAAAAGCGTTTTCCAGTATACTGCCCCCTAATTTTATAGTGGAAAAACTGAGATACAAAGTAGCCATAAAAAACAGATTTATCTAGTTTTTCTGGCTCCTAGCCTAATCCCCTAATCAGCAGACCACTGGATGTAGTCTTACTTGGACAGCTGACTTACCCACAGCTCCAAGTGAAACCAGGATATTCTCCCGGGGGCTAATGTTCTTGTCATAAGGACGATATCCGAAGAGGTGGGCAGCACTGTTCACCAGCCAGGTGGCATTAAGCACCACAGCATATCGCAAGAAAGTGGCAACGAACACACTGTTTTGAAAAGTTTCACCCCAGAAATACCAGGGCACAAGCGTGGGCAGGATGAAGCACATCATCAGCAAGCCAGGTTTGTAGTACCTACATTGACAGACCAGACACCAGGTCAATGGAGGGGGACTCCACACCTACATGGATCTTCCACACTAATTGGGAGGGGATGGGCTGTCTTTCTTCCATGTTGAATTGCTTGTCTGACTCTAAGTTCATTGTTTTATTTATTTTTGTTTGTTTTTTTTGACAGGGTCTCACTCTGTTGCCAAGGCTGGAGTGCAGTGGCGTGACCTTAGTTCACCACAGCCTTGAACTCCTGGGCCAAGAGATCCTCCCACCCCAGCCTCCTGAGTAGCTGGGACCACAGGCATGAACCATCGTGCCCATTTAGTTTTTAATTTTTTGTAGAGATGAGGTCTCACTATGTTGCCCAGGCTGGTCTCGAATGCCTGAACTTTCCAGCAATCCTCCCGCCTCAGCCTCCCAAAGTGCTGGGATTACGGGCATGAGCCACCATGCCCGGCCATCGCTGACTTTTTACTAGAGCATAATACCACATTGGTAAGATAGGTGAGGTCCAAACTACAAACTAATGAACAGACGTCTCTCCATCCTTGGCTGGTTTTCCCATCTGCCTTTGGGCTCCTTTCTCTTTCTAATCAGCACTCTTTTTCAGTCTGTGTTTAGTGTCATGCCTCCATTTTCTGCTAGCTACTCCCTAATTCTTTGGTCTTCTTTTCCCTCAGAGACCCATTGAGTGTCCTTGATCACCTGCAGCTCTCTGTCCCTCAGGAAGCCCTTTCTCAGTCTTCATTCTCAATGTAGACCAGGCCATTGACATTCCAAGGGCACTGATTCCCTACATTCCTTCAGCAGTCAAGTCTTTGACTTTTACATCACTGACATTCCCTGCACCCAACTCTTTTCTCCATTTCTGCCACTGCTTCGCTAGCAGGGGTCCTCATTACCTAACTTATGTCCCTACCTCTCACTTTGGCTCAGTGGTTTCTTACACTTGTTCTAAAAGCAGCCTTCCTAAAGCACGTCCGTAACTATGCCACATTGCAGTTCAAAAGATGTAATGGCTTCCTATTGCTTATTGAATTAAGTCCTAAGTCTGCTTTTAGGACTCGACAAGAATGGCATTAGTCTCTCCAGTCTTACTTCTTCCCATACCCTATACTTCAAGCAAAAGGACTCTATTGCTGGAACATGCTTCGTGTTTTAGCTCATTCTGTTTCTTCTGTTTGCACTGTCTCTCCCCACACATAGTTGTAAAAATTTCTATCCGTTGGTGGATTCCAACACTATTTATT
This sequence comes from Homo sapiens, assembly GCF_000001405.40. Lineage (NCBI taxonomy): Eukaryota > Metazoa > Chordata > Mammalia > Primates > Hominidae > Homo > Homo sapiens. The sequence continues at coordinate 100,355,302 of NC_000010.11, read as the reverse complement.
TCATATCACTTCCTTGGTGTTGCCCATTGAGCAATCTCCCTCCCCTTTGTACCTCTCATAGTACAGAAAATATTCTGCCTTATGCCATGGTTATCTGGATACTTGGCTTATCTCTCCACCCCGATAGGCTACAAACTTTTTGAAGGTAAGAACTAAGCTACCGGCCTGGGCAATATAGTGAGTGAGACCTTGTCCCCACAAAAAATTAGCCAGGCATGGCGGTGTGTGCCTGTAGTCCCAGATACTCAGGAGGTTGAGGTAGAAGGATTGCTTGAGCCTGGGAAGTCAAGGCTGCAGTGAGCCATGATTGTGCCACTGCACTCCAGCCTGGGCAAGAGAGAAAGACTGTTGAAACACAAACACAAAAACAAACAAACAAACCTAGGCAACTAGGCTATAATCATCTTTGAATCTATGACTGTCCTAGGACAATAAACATCTCTTGAATGTAATGGGTTTAATTAAGATAGTCAGAGAGAAAGAAATGGAGCAATAGTCTATGGCTACGGGCCCGTGGGATGTTAAAAATTGGGATTTTAAATTAAGATTGTGAACATGCAAACCCAGCAAATTTCTCAGCTTATATTTTGAAAGTCTCAGGAGAAAAAATGGGGTCCCTAATGACCAGGTGCCAGGGCCATATCCCCACCTCCATCAGGGCTTCACTCACCTCCTCTGGAACATCACCAGTTTCTCAGCTTCTAGGTCAGACAAGTCTAGCGTACTCCCCTTCTCTTTGACAGCTGGGTGTTTGCGCACAAGCAGCCAACCCACGTGAGAGAAGAAAAAGCCACGTCGGGAATTATGAGGATCAGCATGTGTTTCTGAAAACTTGTGGTGGGCACGGTGGTCACGAGCCCATTCATAGACATCATTCTGGGGAGAGAGAGAAGAGGAATGTAAGGCTTGAGGATAGACACCCTATTAGGAGAATCCCAATGGACAGGTATCAAGAGCCCAAGGCGCTCAGCCCAACCTCACAAAATACCCAGGAATCTGGGCTCCAAAGGAGTCATGGAGTTGCCTCCCTTCTTCTCCCAACTTGCCACTGAAGCTTAAGTAGAAAAAAGCAACTTAAAGTCCCAGGACCATAGCAATAGAACTGCTGTTTCTTGAAAGTTATATGGTGGGTGGAACGGAGGTAAATCATACAGAGCTCAGAGAGTTTCAAGAAGTGAGAACATTGCAATTCTTTAAGCAAGGAATGTTGGAAAAGATCCTCATGGGGTACCTAATCCCTAGGCATGGGGAACATGAGGCAGGCAGCCTTGTGTCCTAGGGTCTCAATCAGTAGATAAGCTGCAGCTGCAGGGTGCACCATTCTGGTGCCTTGCAAAAGAGCTCATACAACCCAATAACAAGGCCAGGCATGCAACTCGTGATCATGACTGCATTTTCAAACGACCTCTGGGCTTCTTCATGACTTTTTCCATCCCTTAAAGAATGTACCAATATCTCTCTTCCTTCCTTTTGCTCCACAGGACAACTTTGGAAGCCTTCAAGGTATAAGCTGCTATGGCAGAGATGATCATGCAAATGTGGCAAGTTCTTGGGATATTGCCACCACTAAGTTGGTTTCCTTTCTTCCTCTTGCTCCAAGCTAAGCCAAACGCCACATGCTATCATTTGCCCATTGCTACAGCTTAATGACTATGATGCATTCCCTTTCCCCATTTCCCTTCATTCTGTCTTTGCTATAAACTTTTTTTTTTTTTTTTTTGAGATGGAGTCTTGCTGTTGCCCAGGCTGGAGTGCAGTGGCGCGATCTCAGCTCACTGCAAGCTCTGCCTCCCAGGTTCACACCATTCTCCTGCCTCAGCCTCCCACGTAGCTGGGACTACAGGTGCCCGCCACCACGCCTGGCTAATTTTTTGTATTTTTAGTAGAGACAGAGTTTCACTGTGTTAGCCAGGATGATCTTGATCTCCTGACCTTGTGATCTGCCCACCTCGGCCTCCCAAAGTTCTGAGATTACAGGCGTGAGCCACCGTGCCCAGGTTTGTTTTTTGCCTTAACAAACCTCAATGTTTTACTTAGCCACCATGGCAGCCCAAGAAAGGGCCACAATGTTGGGCTGGTCTATCTAATCTCTCTGTAACTTGGTTTCCTCATCTGTAAAATGGGGATAATAGTACCTATTTCCTAAGATTTTTGTGAGGACTTTATATCAAATGCTTAGAATAGTGCCAGGCTCATAGTCAGTGCAATAAAAGTGTTTGCTCTCATTATCTCAAAATAAGAGTTCACGAGTCTGGGAACATCAACTTCAATCCCACTGTGGTGGAGTCCTAAGTTATTCACTTTTGAAATTTTTTTTTTAAAGTTGGGGTCTTGTCACCCAGGCTGGAGTGCAGTGGTGATATCATGGCTCACTGCAGCTTCAAACTCCTGGGCTCCAGTGATCCTCCCAGCTCTGCCTCCCTAAGATATTTACCTTAAATAGTGAATTTATTGTCCAGTGTCTGCCCAGGAATCTAAGGTCAGTCTCTGGCTTATGTGCCAAAGCCCCTTATGATGAAGAGCCACAACGGCCAGATTGTGTGACAACACAGGGACCTTAGGATCAAAAATATTCCTACACATCAGGAGTATTTTCCAATTATCTTCCAGTTCCCTTTTCCAAGACTCAGAAGTCTCTTCATGCTTTATGGACTTAAGGACTGAACTGGAACTTGAGGTGACTACAGGAGAGAGGAAAGTGAAATGGCTGTCAGGTGTGGCTCCTCTCTGGTGCTGATCCCTCCTTTCTGTCCCCGGATCATTAATAGTGTGGAGGACAAACAGCTGAGCAGAGACAACTTCTTACCTGGAATGCCATTGTGTTGGCAATGATCAGAAAGAGCCGTAGGGGCAGCCGAGCTTTGTAAGAGCGGTGGCTCCACAGACGATGAGCTCCTGCTGTTATGCCCAGGGCACTGACAAAATAGTAGAATACCCCTGCCAGGAGAAGACAGTGGGGGAGTCACCAATCAGTGTGAGTTCCATCTGGGAAAGGATGCCAGAGACACTCTCTGGATGCTAGAAACTGTCTTCGTCAGGCTTTGGGTGAGAACTGGCTTTACCATGAACTCTAGGGATAACCACATCCCTTAGATTTTACCACTTGAAAAATATCACCCCCCAACCTCTCAACCCAGGAAAAAAAGATAAGCTAAAGAATCCCAGGAACTAAGGAGTCAGAAAGGCAGGAGAGAGAATAGTGCTCTTACCACTCATTCTTCATCTTAAAGGCATTCTCCCAGGGCCTAGCTATCTCCTTTCACCTCTATCTAGGCCTTCTCTAAGGTTTTAAGGGCCACAAACTACTCCTGCAGAGCTCAGAACCCATAAGCCAGGGTGTTATTAAAATAACAGCAGAGGGCCAGGTGTAGTATGAACCACTTTGTCATCCCAGCATTTTGGGAGGCCAAGGCAGGAAGATCCCCTTGAGCCCAGGAGTTCAAGACCAGCTGGGATAACATAGGGAGACCTTGCCTCTACAGATAATTTTAAAAATTAGCTTGGCATGGTGGCACCTGCCTGTGGTCTCAGCTACTCAAGAGGTTGAGGTGGGAGGATCTCTTGAGCTCAGGAGGTCGAGGCTGCGGTGAGCCAAGATCGCGCCACTGCACTCAAGCCTTATCAACACAGCAAGACCTTATCTCAAAAAATAAAATAACAGCCAGTACAATCTGGGCACTGACCAATTTGAGAAGCCCTTAGTTGTAGGGGACTCTTAGGGCATTCAGACTATGGCCATTTATCAACTGGTACAAAAAAGCATTTAAATATTCAAGCAGTCAGTGTGGCCAAATCAGGGAAAAATTAGCCCTGTGCATAAATCCAATTTGTACAGTGTCTTAAGCTTTACCAAAGATTTCACGTTCCAGCTATACCATCCACCTCCCCCAAGATACATGCACAACTCCTCTGTCTCGCCTTTGCCACATCCCTGTCAGCCCATACTCTCACCGGGCAACGCTCTCTAGACAATGGTGGGATATTCTTCAAGCTGTCAGTGAAGCACCCCACCATTGTCTTCCCTCACCTTCCTGGAGGCCTGCAGGCTCAGGAGGTGCCAGATATAATCTCTAACTGGGAAGTGGGCTGCTGGGCGTCCCCATATCTTCCTCTGTTCAGTAGCTCTAGCAGGCAGAAGCTGTGGCCTTGATAGAAACTCTTAACAATGTTTCATTCCTAGGGAAACAGCTAGAAACAATAGATCCTCAGTGGCCACAGAACTTAGTTGCAGTTGGAGACACCACACATTGTAACAAATTGTCCTGTGTTCTTTTGCAGCCATTGATAGCTGTTTCCTAAACAACCTCCTTTTCCCCCCAACCCTACCTCCTTTCTTCTCTTCTATTCCTCCTATAAGATCTCCAGGAGAGCCACAGAGCCAGTCAGCCCCAACAAGAGCTCTCTCCACATTCCCTCAGAGTGGGGACTGAGGCCCCAGGTGATCTGCCCTCAAGCCAAGTGGTGACTGACATCTCCCCAGATACAGTATCTACCTGCATCTTACTCGGGAAACCATCAGTTGAGCCAGAGCTCTCTCTAATGAGCAAGGGAGCTTCTAGGGTTGTTATTTGCTGCAAGACCCTAGGGCAGTGTTGACTCAGAACGTATATAAGATCCTATATTAACAGGGAAATTGGGGAAAGAACTCAGGCACTCTGGTGCCTTTTCTAGAAACACCTCTAAGCCTATCAAATAGAAGGGCTTAAATCAGTTGGAGATTTATTCCTTCTCTCCTCCCCAGGGGAGGAAAATGTCCAGATTGATGGTTAAGCAACATCTCATTGCTCTGGCCTTAAGAAAGAGACTTGAATGGTTTTGCCTCTGGCTCTCAGTGTTGCCAGAGGCATTCTCCTAAGGGCTTCTTTGGGAGACTCCAAAATGAAAGAGATTTAAGGCTCTCAAAAGTGCTCAGTCATAAGAAATGCTGGAATCACGACCAGTTGCTAATTTAACATTGTCCATAGGGATTAAAACAAGAAAGGTGAAGCTCCTAAATTCTGAAGGTGGGAAGAGAAGATGTCCAAGTTGAGACCTCTGACCCTCCTCCCCTCACCCTCCTTGTTTCTCAAGACAGAGGAGTTCTGATATCCCCACATCGACATGGTCATTCTTTCAGCTAAGCCATCCACCAAAGGGCCCAGTAAAATAAGTTACCATCTAGTCTCTGTGAGCCACATTTATCTGCCCAAGGGCACAGCACACACCCATGGGCAGGTCACCAAAAAAATGTAGCAGGCACAGCCTTCACTTTGGGATGGAATTCTGCTCCTTGCAGTAGCAACTGAGGATAACCAAGCAGAGGCAATCGGGTCAAACTCTGGGCTTCAGGAAACCTACAGGGGGTGCTGAGGCTGGAAGGAGCTTGCAGGAGAGAAAACTACTTGTGAAGACTATCCTCTTGGGGAGAAAGGGTGGAGAGAGGCATCCACAGACTGCCTGGGGAATGCTATCCCTGCTCCTCATCCCTCAGCTGCAACTGAAGTTCTGCTGGATCCTCAGAGGGGCTAGACAACAGATGTCGCCCTCCCCTCACAAATACAAGAGCTCTTCCTGGTATGCAGATGAACTGATCTGCACCTGGCCTGTTCTGTCTCTGCGGCTGTGACACATATGTAACCCAAGGAATGCTACCTTCCCCATCCTAAAAAAGTACTGTTGCCCACAGGTGGTACCTAGAAAAACTGAGATCCTGACAAAGGGGCTCTTCTCAGTTGCATTTCACTGTAGCACCTGGAGGATTTCTGGAAACAAAAGCTCAATGAACCAGATCTCACCATCTTCAGAAGACCTAAGAGGTCCTGAGGGAAACAGCTAAAACTTGGCCTACCAGCCCTTCTGCATAACTACCCTTCAAGAGCGAGCTGTCAGAAAGTTTCCCACACCAGAAGTCCTGGCTCACCACCCCTTAGAGAGTAGCAGTGCAGGGCCCCTGGATCTGCAGAGCTCCCTGCTTTCCCTTCCCAACTTAGGCTCATAGTGACAGAGGTGAAAAAGCCTGCAAAGCGCATGTGTGTATCCAGGGGGCAGGGCCATGCCATCAGGCCACACCAACAGGTCCCTGAAAGAGCTGAGCTAAGGGCAGGTCGGGGACAAACTGGGAACTGTCTCCCTCATTACAGCAGCCTCAAGACCGGGCTCTCTTTTCTGGCCTGGCCTCGATGTCCCTGGCAAGGAGGGATGGGTAGGACTGGTGTTGGAAGGTGCAGAATTCTTGGCACTTCATGGCATCAGTAGGGGGGCCTGAAGCAGGCTGGACGGGGGATGGAACATGAAACATATCTTCAGCCTGATTTCATTCTAAGAGCATTTTGTTGACTGGTATGTGCAGCACCCTGGAATGTAGAGTAACAGAGCAACACACACCTGTGTGACTTGGGTTGCACGGGAGCTTCATCTTCCTCTGTAACGAAGAAGCCTGGTCTGGCCAAGGGGTCAGGTCAAAATAGTTTTGTGGATAACAACCTCTCTTTTCCTCTCTTTCCAATGAGCTCTCTCCTCCCTTTCCAATAAACTCTCTCCCTGAGTAGTTTCCCTTGTGCTAGCCTATGATTGCTCAACACAAACCCTAGAAAGCCAATGGTTTAGTACCATGTTCCCATGCCTCCCAGGTAGAGGGGTTTGATTCTTTTGTGGCTGGCAGGGGTGGGACAGGCAGCCAAGCAAATGACTCAAACAGAAAAGCTCTTTCAGGGAAAGCTGACTCTCCAGCACAGCACACTTCAAAGCCCACAAGCACAAGGTTCCAAAGCTCTCAACCCCCAGCATTGACAGTCCTGCATCTCAGTACCCCCAGGTTCTTCCCAGCCCACTAGGCCTGAAGCAACCAAAGAGAAATGCCTGAGAAAAACCCCAACCGGGAGGCTGGGAGGGGCTGGTGTCCTCTGTAAGATCCTACCTTATTAAAAGAGCAGTGAGTACCTGGAGGACTAGGTCAGGAGGACAGGGAGGCTGCTTACCCCAAAGCCAGGTGTAGAACTTGCAGGTAGGAATCAAAGTGATCCCATACAGGGCTCCCAAGTGTAGCAGAGACATAAGGATGATGTTTCTCCAGACATATTCAACCTTGGGGCTTGGGCCTTCCTTATCCTTGTAGGTGGGGTCATATATATCATCTTTTATATCAGGGCGAATGTCGTCTTCCAAGTAGAGGGGCATCGTCTCCAACTTATCTCCTCCATTCTGCAGGACCCTGGAGGGAGGCGCTGTAATGGTGGTGGTGGTGGTATAGGAGCTAGAGATCTGGAAGGGGGAGGAAGAGGAGAGTCAGGAGAAGAGACACGTGGAGGCAGCTGGGGCCACTCCGCTCTCTAATCACGCTGGGGGAAGGGTGGACAGTACGGACCCTTCCGCAGCGCCGTAGTTCACTGAGGGTAGGGTGTATCCGAGACGCAACGGAGAAAAGTTCCCTGAAACTGTACAGATACATTAGGGGCGGAGGGCGAGGGGGACGAGGGGCGCGAAACCTATCGGGAGGCGGCAGTAGGAAGGAGAAGTAAAGCACTCACATCCCCACGAAGACAAAGGAAAACCCGCATAATTCATAAAAGCACCAGCACGACCGGATTTTTCTTTAAAGCTTAAGAAACTAAAGTTGGAGACTCAAGTCCCCAAATTACAATCCACATTCCCAACTCACGGAAGGCAGCACAACTCGAAAAAGATGACCAAGTCCTCCGCGGAGCTCTCCCCTCTCTTCTGCCACCAACCCGTCCCCTGGAAGCCCAGCCCGCGCCTGCGACCCGGCGGTACGGGGCCAGGCTGGGAAACTCACATCGTCCTGCAGCAAGTGGGCCGGCATCTTGGCTCTCGGATGCCGGGATCACTTTCCAGGGGGCTGAGGCTCCGGAGCGGAGTTCGGGGTCGCCGGAGGACTGCGGTTTCGAAGCCCGCCGGTACGCGCTGAGCCGCGGCGCCTTGCACGCTAGCTGGTTGTCGGCGCTAGCCGCGGTGCGTGGAGGTCCCCGAGCCGGGAATTTAAAGGCTAGAGCTGGCAACGGGTGACCGTGTCCGGTATTTCCTCAGCCCCCTTTTATCCGCTGCCAAGCAGGGGCAAAGTGCGAGGAGTTGACTGGCGCGGGCGGTCCCGCGTGGAGGTAAGGGCGGGAGGGGGAGGAGACAGAGGCCGAGGCTCGCGGCGACCGCAGCAGGGCGCCGGGGATGCTGCCGACACCGACACCACACCACCCGGCCTCTGCCCCTGCCCCTGCCTCTGGGGAAATGCTAATGAGGCTTCTGTAAACTCCGGCTCGTCATTGGCCGAAGGGAATTTGGTGCCACCTCGTCCTGCCGTTGCCATTGGCTCGGCGCAATCTGCTGTTCCCTCTGCCGCCAGCTCCTCGCTCCCCCTCCCCTCTGTTTCTCCTTCTCAGCTTCTCTTCCACCCGCCGCTGGGCCTCTGCCCGGCATCCCGCGTCGGGAGCTTTCTCTCTGGAAGGGGCTGGGGACCCGGTTTGGGGCTGGGGCGCGGAGCCTAGCCCAGGACCGGCCCTCGGGCACACGGAGAACGGGTGGGTGGGCACTGGGGAAGTTTCTCAGGAAACAGTGGTGAACCCTCGGGGGGCGCCCACCACTAACATCTCCGTCCCGTCTTCCGTCCCCCCAGGCGCGTGGCAGGGAGACGTGGCAGCCACCCCAGGATCTGGAGCTTGGGGGACGCGGGAAGCCCCGCCTCCCTCCCGGGCGAGCGCGGGGGACTCGGTACGCCTGCGAACAATGGCTCTGCCCCGCCCACCAGCCACGCGCTGCTCACCCGGGACCGCACCGGACTCCGGCCGCACACACAGGCTGGCTGGTGTGTGTGTGCCTGCGCGCACGCATCCTGTTCAGGACCCGGGCGGGCAGTCCCATCCCCAAGCCCGCGCCTCCAGGATGCGTGCGGGATGTTTTGGAGATTCTTCAGACTGGCAGGTTGTAATTTTGGAATCTTCTTTGTGGAAACCGTCAGGAAACACTGACATGTGTTTTCACCCAGCAGCAGGCGAAAGGGCTTGGATGTGGAATAAGAATAGCTGGCAGGTATTGAATTATTACTGCAAGCCAATTCACAAGAATCGTTTTCTGTAAGCCTCTCTGTGACCCTGGGAGGTGGGTACCCCATTATTCCATTTTAAAAGTGAGGAAAGAGATATGGAGAGATGGAATAACTTGCCCATGGTCACAGCAACCAGTAAGTGATGGAGCTGGCAGTTGAGCCCAGAAACACCATATGAGAGCCCAAGCTCTTAATCCCTGCTCAGGACCATATTGCCCTCGGTCCCTGAGATGCTCTGACCCTACTGATCTGTCCCTGTGCCCCCATCTTTTCCGTGTCTGTAGGAGCCTTACCATGAGAGCTCAGAACCAGGCAGGCTATGCATTCACCCGGTGTCCTTCCATGCCCATGTCTTTCCCAAATACTGCCCTAGGATCCTTCCCCTGGGAAGAGGAGAAAATACGGAGTGCTGCGCCAATGATTCACTTCCCAGGAAGACAAGCACCTGGGATTTCCTGGGAGGTAGACTAAGCAGCTCCTTTGTTGGCCACTGGTCTCAGGGTCAGGCCAACTCTCTGGCCAGTGACCAGGAGACTGCATTCCAGTCCTGGCTCCCTGTCCGGTGTGAAAGTTCTGAACAAGACTGGATGATTTCAGATGTGGACAGCTCATCCAGTCATGCCTCAGAAGTACTTGGCATGTGGCACAGAAATCTGTACGTGGTCTGACCCCCTTCAGGTTCTCTCTGCAATGTCTAATTTGCTTAATTCTTTTGTTTTTTGTTTTTTTGAGAGGAAGTCTCGCTCTCTCCCCCAGGCTGGAGTGCAGTGGTGTGATCTCGCTTCACTGCAACCTCTGCCTCCCGGGTTCAAGAAATTCTCCTGCCTCACCCTCCCAAGTAGCTGGGATTACAGGCATGCGCCACCACACTTAGCTAATTTTTTGTATTTTTAGTAGAGACGGGGTTTCACCATGTTGGCCAGGCTGGTTTTGAACTCCTGACCTCAGGTGATCCACATGCCTTGGCCTCCCAAAGTGCTGGGATTACAGGCATGAGCCACCACGCCTGGCCCGGAGAATATTTTCATTCTATTTCTCTTTCGAGCAGAGATCACCTCTACTCCTGAGGCCCTGGTCACACTGTGGTTCTCAAGTGACAGTGGTCAAACCAACACACTGATTTGGATTCTAAGATTTATTTTTTTTGGTCTGGGGGCCCTACCTCAGCAAAAGGAACAATAGTTACAACAATTATGACAGCAAAAAGTTTGAGACCAGCTTGGCCAACAAAGTGAAATCCCATCTCTACTAAAAATACAAAAATCAGCTGGGCATGGTGGGAAGTGCCTGTAGTCCCAGCTACTTGGGAGGCTGAAGCAGGAGAATTGCTTGAACCCGGGAGGCGAAAGTTGCAGTGAGCTGAGATCACACCACTGCCCTCCAGCCAGGGTGAAAGAGCAAGACTCTTTCTCAAAAAAAAAAAAAAAATTGTGATTTTTTATTATTTTGTTTACAGCCAAGCTCCTTAATTTTGGTATTCAAAGTGCTTCATGATTTTACTCTGAACGCCCTATTCCAGCCTTAATTCTCACTTCTCACTTAGTATAACTTGTATCTTCATCAAACTGCACATTTGTCAACAGAATATAAAATAAAACTCCGAAAAACCCCTGCACTCTTGCTGATTTCTAAACATGCTTCATTTTCCCAAGTTTTTCTTCCCCTGAACTCTGCCTGTCAAAATATTACCCGGGATCCAGCAATTCCACTCCTAGATATAAACCCAACAGAAATGAAAACATATGCCCACACAAATGTATACATGAATATTCACTGGAGTATTATTCATAATGGTCAAAAAGTGGAAACAACCTAAATGTCTGTCAACTGACTAATGAACAGATAAGATGAGCACTTTGGGAAGTGGAGGTGGGGGGATCATGGCAACATAGTGAGACCTTGTCTCAACAATAAAAATACAGCCTGAGCAACATAGCAAGACCTCCTCTATACCAAAAATCATTTTTTAAAACTTAGCTGGGCCTGGTGGCACAAGCCTGTAGTCCCAGCTACTCAGGATGCTGAGGCCAGCGGATTGCTTGAGCCCAGGAGGGGAGGCTGCAGTGAGCTATTATTACGCCACTGTACTCCAGCCTGGGCAACAGAGTGATACCCTGTTTCAAGAAAAAAAATATCAGCCAGGCATGGTGACACGTGTTTGTAGTCCCAGCTACTTGGGAGGCTGAGGCAGGAGGATCACTTGAGCCCAGGAAGTCAAGGCTGCTCAGCTGTCACCATGCCACTGCCCTCCAGCCTGGGTAACAAAGTGAGACCCTATCTCAAAACAACAACAACAAAAAAGAAAGAAAATGAATACATAAAATGAAAATTAAAAAAAAAAATTAGCCAGGTATGGCTGTGTGTGCCTGTAGTCCTAGCTACTCTGGAGGCTGAGGTAGTAGGATCACTTGAGCCCAGGAGTTTGAGGTTACAGTGAGCTATGATTGTGCCACTGCACTCCAGCCTGGGTGACAGAGTGAGAACCTGTCTCTAATAATATGATATGGGATACCCACACAGTGGAATACCATTTGAGAATAAAAAAGAATGAAGTACTGCTAAGTACTGTAACATAATGAGCCTTAAAAATAGAATGCTAAGTGAAAGCAGCCAGTCACAAAGTCTCACATGTTGTTTGCTTCCATTTATATGAAATGTCCAGAATTGGCAAATTTATAGAGACAGAAAGTAGATTGGTGGTTGCCCAGGGCTTGGAAGGAGGATGGAGGATGTTGGGGGGTGATGGCTAAGGAATGCAGGGTTTATTTTTGGAGTAATAAAACTGTTCTAAAATGGATTGTGATGGATGCACAACCTGTGAATATACTAAAAGCCATTAAATTGTATGATTTAAATGGATGAATTCTATGGTATATAAATTATATCTCAATAAGAAAAGTATAAAAAAAAAAAAAAACTAAAGACTGGGCATGGTGGCTCACGCTTGTAATGCTAGCACTTTTGGGAGGCCGAGGCGGGTAGATCGCCTGCGGTCAGGAGTTCCAGATCAGCCTGGGCAACATGGTGAAACCCCGTCTCTACTAAAAATACAAAAAATTAGCCCAGGGTGGTGGCGGGCACCTATAATCCTAGCTGCTTGGGAGGCTGAGGCAGGCTGAGGCAGGACAATCGCTTGAACCTGGGGGGTGGGGGTGGAGTCTTGCTCTGTTGCCCAAGCTGGAGTGCAGTGGCACGATCTCAGCTCACTGCAACCTCCACCTCTGGGGTTCAAGCAATTCTCCTACCTCAAGCTCCCAAGGAGCTGGGATTACAGGCGTGCACCACCACACCCGGCTAATTTTTGTATTTTTAGTAGAGATGAGATTTTGCCATGTTGGCCAGGCTGGTCTCAAACTCCTGACCTCAAGTGATCCACCTGCCTTGTCCTCCGAAAGTGCTGTGATTACAGGCGTCAGCCACTGTATCTTTATAACTCTAGATGATTGAGCTATAGGCTCCAGAGGAAAGGTACACTCCAGACCAGCTCCAGAGAACGAGAGAAGACTTCCCGGAGGAGACGGTGCTAAATCCGAAGGGACCATTAAGGGTGAGTGTGGAGAAGGGCAGTTGGCAAGTTCAGAGACCTAGAGGAGGAAAAGACTGACCTGATATACTATGAACGAGGACCCTTGAATATGGCTCCTCCTGGGCCCCAGGCTGGATAGATGGTGTAGCACGTCTTTCCCCGGTAGAGAAGAGGCCAGTGCACTAGCCCCACACCTCCCTCTGTTGGCAGACATCTGTCTCTCCACACTATCCACAGAGCCATGATCTTCCTCTCACTCCAGCCCTTTCTGTGTGTGCTCACACACGGGAATGTCTGCACACACAGGTATGCATACTGGCGGACGGGCCTCCACCAACTTATTGTTACCTATCCCTGGGGCCCTGGGGTACGTCCTCAGATCAGATAGTGCGTGTGACTGGAAGCAGTTTATGTCTCAGGGCAGAATGTGTGAGATGGGTACTGACAGTCCCAGCAGATGAGGCCTGGGGACAAATGTCTTAGGACCAGGACCAGGGCCAGAGATTTCTGCAGTGGTCTGACCTTACAAAGATGCCTTTTCCCAGGCCACAGACTACTCCCTCCCTCCTCTGGAGGCCCATAGGGGATCTTTCCCCAGCCTGGAAGGCTACCCCATTCTGAGCAAGCCATCTAGGATGAACACATGGAGAGGAAAAGCAAACACAGGCCTAGGGCCTCCAACAACAAATAAACAAGCTGAAGGGAAAGTCTCTCTTGCCCTGACTCAGCTTCTGAGCCAAAGTAAAGAGAGAAGAGCAGCTTGCCCCCGCGTTTTTTCTTTCTTTCTTTCTTTTTTTTCTTTTTGAGACGGAGTCTTGCTCTGTTGTCAGGTTGGAGTGCAGTGGTACAGTCTTGGCTCACTGCAACTTCTGCCTCCCAGAATCAAGCAATTCTCCTGCCTCAGCCTCCCAAGTAGCTGGGATTACAGGTGCATGCCACCCCTCCTGGCTAACTTTTGTATTTTTAGTAGAGATGGGGTTTCACCATACTGGCCAGGCCAGTCTCGAACTCCTGACCTCGTGATCTACCCGCCTCAGCCCCCCAAAGTGTTGGGATTACAGGCATGAGCCACCGTGCCCGGCTCCTGTGTTGCCTTCCTGGTCGTAGAGAGGTAAATCCCCATTTGCTTCCTGCAGTTGCTAAGAGTGCTCCCAGGAAGGTCACACTCTCTTCCAGAGTTCTGAACCCATGCCTCTCTCCCTGCTGTAGGTGAAAGGAACAGGCAGGCCCTGGCCATTCCTGGCCCTTCACCCCTTTTGCTTCTCTCCTCCCAACTGCCCCTCCCAAGCTGCTGCTTCCCCTACAAGGGAACTGTTTCCTGAGTCCTTCTAGCCTCGTGCCCCAGCCAGCCATCTCTCTCCTGGCCTTCCCTTTGCCTGACAGTAACCTCTCCCACAGCTGATGTCACCCTGGCTTTGCACTGACACAGCAGCTGAGCTGGGCACAGCAGGGCTGCGAGGTCCAGAGGGCAGCTGGCTATGTCTGAGGCCAAGCTTCCCTCAGTGCTCGCCCAGGGCTTTTCCTCAGCCAAGAGCCTGCTTCTCTCCCATTCTGTGCCTCTAAGCCAACGTAGCCACATGGGGATAGAGTGTTGACTGAGCCTCCCCTGTGCCCAGCGGAAAGTCAATTCTCTGCTGTGTGGGGGAGAATGGAGCCAAAGTTCTGCTCCCACCCCTGGGGAGCTCACAGATTTCTAAGAGAAACAGGACAAAGCACAATAGCAAACTGGGCAGGCTAGCATCTGATGAAGGCAGAGTGTAAACATACTATATTAAACAGGGTCGGAGTTCAGGGAAGAGAGAGGGGCGCCCTTCCTAAGAGGTGCCCCTAGAATCGGGTAGGGGAAGAGAATGGGCTGGTGACAGAGTCATTTAGTGTTTTTTTAAAATTTATTTTTATTTATTTAAGCATCTATTTATGTGCACTGTGCTAGGTGCTTTGATAATCTACTAATATTTACCCACATATTTACCTGTATTTTGCAAGGCTCAGAAAAGTTGTACCAGCCTGGGAGCACTGAGGTGGGGGATGTGATGGGGATTTGTCTGTACCTAACATCTGCTAGGTGCGTACTAGGTACTTCATATGTTTTGTCTAGTAACTCATTCTTTCCAGCCACAGAACAAACATGCTGAGCAGAAAGTCAGAAGGACACTTGCTGGGCGCTGCTTCTCCCCTGCCCTGCCACCACTCACCACTTCCCCCGTGATCACATTCCCTGCTGCATAAACCCTAGTACCTAGGAGGCCTGGCCTCTGGGCAAGTTACATTCTGGAAGGCTCCCCAGGTCGGCTAAAAGCTTGATCTTTCTACTCCAGCCCCCAACTCCACCTTTCTTCCCCATCTCTCCCTACCCAAGAGAGAAAGGGAAAATCCCATGCTAGCCCTCAGCTTTACCTTCAGCATCTAAGGTGTAAATTAATGTAATCAAGGTGAATTTCCATGCTGTTATTCTGCTCCTCCCACACCCGGGGTTGGCTGGATTCCCTTTTAAAGGCCAGAGTTATTCCCTTCTCATGTCCTAAGGGACTCTGGATTTGCAATGTCATCTGGCCCAGATACGTTCTTGCAGAATATTTGGTGTCCCCATGTCCTCCTTTCAGGCAGCAGCCCAGAAAGCCAACTACCTTTATCCCATCCTTCCTAAGCCTGCAGTTGAGGACCAGCCAGGGAGATGGAGGAGCGAAGCCTGGAGCCCCAGGCACTGCAGGCCCCTCAGCCCTACCTCAGTTCCTGCAGCCTCAACAGCACTGAGAACCCCAAAGGGGGCTGTGGACCCTGTTGTTCCCAAGAACACGCCAAGAACCCATCATTCTTTCCCTCTAACATTCACTTTACCAAACCTCTGCTTTCCCCAGCCAAGTGTCAATGTCTTTTTTCTGATCCCCAAGAGCTGCTTGGCTCTCTGAGCCACCTGGCAAAGCTATGGCTGCCTATCGCATAGTTCAGGGAGGTCTATGAGGCTCAGCTGAGTCTGGGACCTCACCACCAACTCTGGCACCAGAGGATAGATGGTCACTTGAGAAACAGGGACCCCAGGAAAGGGATGGGGCCTGGTGCTGGCCAGCTAGCTTCCAGCCAGGGCAGGCTGACACCTGGGATCCGGGCTGAAGCCACCATTCAGGTAATACCATTACCTCCTTCATGTTTTAGGGCTTCTAAGCAAGAAGCAGCCAAAGGCAGAGGAATGGAAATGTAGGGCTTGCTTGGGAGGGTGAGTGTGCCTGAACGCTTCCAGGAGCAGGCACAGAGTCTCATCCAGGGCATGGGAGGAGCCATGATGGAGGGTGGGGTCATGGGGAGAAGGAAATGAAATTGGGAAGTGAAATCAGCACATGAGGTGAGAGATGAAGGTTCAGTTGTCTCCCTGAGAGGTGGAGAGCAGATGTGGCACTTGATAGAAACCCCGGAGGGCTGAGGCTGTCATTTCTCCAAAGGAAGGCATGGAGGCAGTGCGAATGGGCCTCAGAGACCGCAGACTACAGGTAGGGCGGCTGACCAAGATGTTCACCTGGGTCATACTGCCCCAGGCCTGCTCCCACCTAGAGCAGCCTCACCAGTAGCTAAGTGTGGCAGGGATGTGAAGGCAAGCCCATTCTTGGGGGACACAGAACTCCCGATGGCCTGTTGTGGCTCCCAGAAGGTTTCACTGAACCTCTCTTTGACTATGCCACAGCTGCCCTCCCAATCTTCCTACCCTATCTCCTTCACTCAGGCAGGACTTTCCTCACTCTCTGACAGCGCTGTCAGCCTCACTCAGCTCCCTGTTTTCTCTCATAGATGTTTCCCCCATGAAAAACCACACATAGTTGCCCAGCCTTAGTGTCTGCTTCTCAGAGGAGCCAGTTTAATAGGGGCCATTACTAGACCTCTAGAATGATAAAGCCCTATGGGTTTAGGACCTGTTAGCCGGCCCAGATCTGAACCTGCAGAGTTATCCAGAGGGAAAAAAAAAAAAGGTAAGGTATAGGAAGAAGCTGTGGAGAAAAGTGGTCTCTAGATTGAGGCCCCTCTGAAGGCTCAGCCCCTCCAAACTGGATTATCTGCTCTTCTACATCCAGAAAAGAGCAGGCTCTCCATATTGACATATATGGGGCCAGGGTCCTGCTGCCACCCAGTGGCCCTGGTAGGTAAAGCACCTTTGTGGCCTCCCACTGGGTCCTTTGATTCCGCTGGTGAAGGTAGGAGTGAAGAATTTGTTCTGCTGGTTGGGGTTCTCTCCCTCTCTCATTTACAGCATAAATTACAAAAATCCTGACTTCCAAACTTAATTCCCAAACTTTCCTCCTTTAAAATTAAAACCATAGTCGGCTGAGCACTGTGGCCCACCCCTGTAATCCTAGCACTTTGGGAGGCCGAGGTGGGTGGATCACCTGAGGTCAGGAGTTCGAGACAAGCCTGGCCAACATGGCGAAACCTCGTCTCTACTAAAAATACAAAAATTAGCCAGGCATGGTGGCGAGCGCCTATAATCCCAGCTACTCGGGAGGCTGAGGCAGGAGAATCGCTTGAACCCGGGAGGCGGAGGTTGCAGTGGGCCGAGATTGTGCCACTTCACCCCAGCCTGGGCAAAAGAGCAAAACTCTGTCTAAAAAAAAAAAAAGCACCATAGTCACACACATCTGTGAATGTACTACAACCATTGAATTGTCTGTTTTAAGTGGGTGAATTTTATGGCACGTGACTCTATCTCAATAAAGCTGTTTTAAAATCAGCACCATAAGAAGAAGTGGGTGAGGCTTTTAGTACGTGAAGATGAGGATGGTTGTTTCCGTTTCTTAGGATATCCCCAAACCGATATGAAAGAAGGTCACACAGTAGGTACTCAACAGATCTTTAATAAATTACTAGTGTTGTTAAATGGAGCCAGTTTTTTTTTCTTTTTTTTTTTTGTAATTCCTTTTTTTTTTTTTTGAGCCACTTTTTTCATTGCCTCACCACTTACCCTTGAAGCTGTACACCTTCATTCCCCCAAATCTGTAGGCATCAAAAGCCTTCTTACTTTCCAAGGTCACCTGAGATCTTCTAGTCTAAACATCCAAAAGCTTTTCATTGATCAGAACCCTCCTTGAACTTTTTTATTTTTTTGAGATGGAGTTTTACTCTTGTTGCCCAGGCTGGAGTACAATGGCACAATCTCAGCTCACCACAACCTCCGCCTCCTGGGTTCAAGCTATTCTTCTGCCTCAGCCTCCTGACTAGCTGGGATTACAGGCGTGCGCCACCACACCTGGCTGATTTTGTATTTTTAGTAGAGACGGGATTACTCCATGTTGGTCAGGCTGGTCTCGAACTCCCAAAGGTGATCCGGCCCACCTCGGGCTCCCAAAGTGCTGGGATTACAGGTGTGAGCCACCGCGCCTGGGCCCAAAAAGGATCTCTTTAAAGACATGGGGCCAGGTGCGGTGGCTCATGCCTGTAATCCAAGCACTTTGGGAGACTGAGGCGGGAGGATCACTTGAGGCCAGGAGTTTGAGACCAGCCTGGGCAACATGTCGCTACAAAAAATACAAAAATTAGCCAGGTGTGGTGGTATGCCCTGTAGTCGTAGCTATCTGGGAGGCTGAGACAGGAGGATTGCTTAAGCCTGGGATGTTGAGGTTGCAGTGAGCTGCAATTGCACCTCTACACTCCAGCCTGGGCAACAGAGTGGGACTCTGTCTCAAAAAACAAACAAAAAACAAATTTTACTATTTTTCCCACACAGATGACTAGCGGGATATTGATGAAGCTTAAGGTCTCATGCCCAGGATGCTTTCTTATAGGTACGTGATTCCCAATGTCTTCCATTAAGAATCATTGTCATAGTGAGCCATGGTTATTTATGGACTGTGTCCTATGGTTTACACTTACTGAGGTGGAAACGGTTAAGAATCAGTATGTAGTATACAGAAGGTGGTTTGAAGCTTGCCTCTCCCTGTAGAACTTGGAATGTGAATTACCCCAAGATTCTTTTTTTTTTTTTTTTTTTTTTGAGACGGAGTCTCGCTCTGTCACCCAGGCTGGAGTGAGTGGCACAATCTTGGCTCACTGCAAGCTCCGCCTCCCGGGTTCACGCCATTCTCCTGCCTCAGCCTTCTGAGTTGCTGGGACTACAGGCGCCTGCCACCATGCCCGGCTAATTTTTTGCATTTTTAGTAGAGGCAGGGTTTCACCATGTTAGCCAGGATGGTCTCGATCTCCTGACCTTGTGATCTGCCTGCTTCGGCCTCCCAAAGTGCTGGGATTACAGGCGTGAGCCACCGCGCCCGGCCAACCAAGATTCTTTTGTCTGGAATATGGAAGGCAACTTTCCCCAGGGGTTCCTTCAGGAGAACTTACAAGGTCATGGGCCACAAGTTTCCTTCCCATAGACTTTGCTATTTCTGGCTCTTCATTGGAGTGCAGTAGATCTGGGGGTCACTGAAGAAGCTTGTTGGGATGGGCATACTGTGAAAAGGGAGCTCACTGGTGGCAGAAATGGGGTAATCTTCACCCCAGTGTCTACACTTGGACGGCATATTACCAAAAACCACATCCCAGTGAAGCCATGGGACCAATTCGCCAAGTGGGTTAAAAAGCTTCCTGATGAAGCTGAGCGTGGTGGCTCACGCCTGTAATCCCAGGACTCTGGGAGGCCGAGGCCGGCGGATCACAAGGTCAGGAGATCAAGACCATCCTGGCTAACAGGGTGAAACCCCGTCTCTACTAAAAATACAAAAAAATTATCTGGGCATGGTGGCGGGCGCCTGTAGTCCCAGCTGAGGCAGGAGAATGGCGTGAACCCAGGAGGTGGAGGTTGCAGTGAGCCGAGATCACGCCACTGCACTCCAGCCTGGGGCGAGAGAGCGAGACTCCATCTCAAAAAAAAAAAAAAAAAAAAAAAAGCTTCCAGATGAAGAGGTGCTTCTGGCTTTGATGGGCTATAAGGCTTGTCATGTGGTTATAAAATTCATCTAATAGGTGCTGTCACTCAAAGATTACCTTTGGAATTCTCTCCAGGCCAAATGGTATCACTCCATTCTACTGGTGTCAGCTGCTTGAAATAGTGTAGACACAGAGAATTCTGGGACCCGTGTCGCTCAGAAACAATGTCAAAGTCCTGGCTGAAGGTATCTACATTACCCACGAATTGCTGTATATGAGTGGAATGTACAAGCATGGATGCAACAGCAAGAGAACTAAATTTGTTTTGTGCTTCAAAGTACACAGTTTATAAAGACTTCTATATTCTATTATCTAAATCCTAAAACAGTCCTTAAAGTCAGCAGGGCAGGCATTGCTATCAACACTTTGGAGATTTGCAGATAGGTAAACTGAGTCTCAAAAGCGACTTGTTCAGAACCATATACTAGTAAGTTGCTGAGCCCTGCTAAACCCAGGGACTTTATTCACATTTTTTTGTTTGTTTGAGACAGAGTCTTGCTCTGTTGCCCAGGCTGGAGTGCAGTGGCGTGATCTTGGCTCACTGCAACCTCCACTTCCCAGGTACAAGTGATTCTCCTGCCTCAGCCTCCCGAGTAGCTGGAATTATAGGCACATGCCACCATGCCCGGCTAATTTTTGTATTTTTAGTAGAGACAGTGTTTCACCATGTTGGCCAGGCTGGTCTCGAACTCCTGACTTCAGGTGATCTGCCCGCCTCAGTCTCCCAAAGTGTTGGGATTACAGGCATTAGCCACCACGCCCGGCTGACACTGCTTTGTCGATGGCATCGACAAGAGGAAAAGTCAAGTGCCAGTAGGAGCTTGGGGACATGGAGAAAGGTACTGGACACAAGATAATCAGGAGATGCCACTTGATTACCACAGTTGCAATTTCTTGAGCAAGTTTAAACATCATAAGGATGCAGAGAACTTTTTGAGAACATTTCTCAAGCCGTGTTGCATAAGCTGTGCTCCTGGGGCCAATACGGGTTGATCCACACACATGGGGAATGCTTAACCCTAAGCAGGAGAAAGCAATCGGATTTTGCCCAGGTAGGTGACCAAAGGTGAATAAAGCAGTCCACTGGTGGCCTTGAACAATCAGAGATGTGAGACTTGTCACATGATGACCCTCCTTTAGCACAGTCAAACCCCTGCTGATCACAAGCCTCCTCCAGAATCCAAAATTACCCAATGGGAACCATATACCATCTCCTGTTGCTTTTCCTGCTTCTCTGGACCATACTGTTAGCTTCCTGCTCATCAACCCTATCCTAAGGTCCAGTTATGCAAGGCAGGGGTCTTTTTGCAATTATTTAAAAGGCTTGTAGGTGAGAGGTAGTGGCTCCCTTTTCCTTTGTCATCAGCTTATCTAACATAAGGTGGTTGATTCTGGTACAGTTCTTCCTCCTTTTTCTTTTTTTTTTCTGGAGAGTTTCCAAATTTATTGCTTATCAATGGACTCATCTTGGAAATTGAGCTGTAAAACACCAGGATAGAGGATAGTCTTGGTTGCCAAATCTGTTCCCCCACCAGGGCAGTGTTGTATACTTCCAAAACTTTCTAGGTCTCCTCCAAATGACTCAAGGGATGGGAATTTCACCACCTCTCATGGGAGGTTGTTTTATAGCCTCTTACATCTTACCCATGATGAAAGTTCTGATGAAACATTTTTTTCCCCTTTGGTTCATTCATTACCCTTAGATAATCCCCTAAAGAGCACCTTCACAATCCCTCTCCTTCTTTGGGGCTTATGCCTTCAACTATCTGCACATGGCTGTCAGGACCCCATCCCACACACATGCATCTGCACATGGCTGTCAGGACCCCATCCCACACACATGCACCTGCACTCCTTAGCTCTTCAGCCAGGCCTACCCACATACAGTTCTTTTCATCTTTCCTCATACATCAAAACCTCAAGTGAATTGGAAGCGGGATTATGGCTCTCTTCTCAAGATTTTCTCACGTCAGCTGCATCCCTTCTCCTCAACCACATGCCAGGTTTGTGTATGCCAATAGCCATTCACCAATGGAAATGAGGTTTTTCTGGAATGCTGTGTTCTATAGTTAAAAAAAAAAAAGATTCCTCCTACCCATAGCTTATATCTAGGTTGGATCAATATTTATACAAACTATAATAAGGAGGAAAAATCTAAAAGAAGTCTGGGACTACCTTAAATCTCCAACCCCCCAAGAAACATTTAAACTACAAATAAAAATCTCAAAATAATATATTTCCCTTAAACATAGGCTATGAATTAATAAAATAAATTCAATCACCTTTTGGTAAAGGAAGCATGAAAAGATTGACTACTCATTTCTTTATGGATGAAAAATTAGCATGGATGAGTGCCCCAAATGAAAAAGAACCCTTCCTTTTCTTCTTATTTTGTCATTTCCTTCCCACTGACTTGGTCAGAAGCCACCTCCTTTTGTTCTTCAACCACTCTGAATAGCTGGTAGTTTCCATGGTCTCTGAAGGGATTCACGCACACCACAGTTCTCGGCGGCAATAGGGACCACCAGAGGTCCTCACCCTCGTTATGCAACCTCAGGCCTTCCCCCTCCTCTGTTTTCTCCCAACTGCACTAAGGGCCAGTCTTCTACAACCCTAGGGGCATCACAGACATCTTCAGAGCCCCAAGACCCCACCTATCATTCCTATGCTTAGAAGGAACCTCTTCTTTTCCAAACCTTCCCATCCAAACCTGATGGGGCTCTTCCTTCCCAAACCTCGCCCATCCATCAAGATCTAGCTTCTGTTTCATTTCCTCCAGAGGAAGCTTCCTTTTCCCCTAAACTTCATAATGTTTAGTGTCTATACCATTAAAATAGGCTACCTCACATTATTCATGCCTCCATTTGCTGCTGCTGCTTTTTTTTTTTTTTTTTTTTGAAACAAGCTCTTTCTCTGTCACCAAGGCTGGAGTGCAATGGCATGAACACGGCTCACTGCAGCCCTGACCTCCCGGGCTCAAGCAATCCTCCTGCCTCAGCCTCCTGTGTATTTGGGATCACAGACATGCATTACCATGCCCAGCTAATTTTTTGATTTTTTTGTAGAGACAGGGTCTCACTTTGTTGCCCAGGCTGGTCTTGAACTCCTAGTCTCAAGCTCGGCCTCCCAAAGTGCTGATGTTAGCCACTGTGCCTGGCCCATTTGCTCCATTTTTTAAAGTTTTATTTTATTTTTAATTGATAAATAATAATTCTATATACTTATGAGGTACAATGTGACATTTTGATACATGTATACATTGTGGAGTGATCAAATCAGGTGAATTAGCATATTCATTACTTCAAATATTTATCATTTCTTTGTAGTAAGAACTTTTTAAATCCTCTCTGTTAGCTATTTTGAAGTACACAGTACCTCATTATCAACTGTAGTCACCACACTGTGCAACAGAACAACAGAACATATTTCTCTTGCCTGATTGAAAGCTTTTATCCATCGACCACTCTCTTCCCCTCTCACACACCCCTCACCCCCAGCCTCTGGTAACCACCATTCTACTCTCTACTTCTACGAGTTCAATTTTTTTAGTTTCCACATATAAGTGAGAGCATAGGGCATCTGTCTCATTATGCCTGGCTTATTTCACTTAACATAATGTTCTCTAGGTTTATCTATGTTGTCGTAAATGACAGAATTTTCTGTGTTTTTTTTTTCAAGGCTGAATATATTATATTGTGCATATATACCACATCTTTTAAATCCTTTCGTCAGTTGATGGATACTTAGATTGTTTCCATATCTTGGCTATTATTAATAATCCTGCAATGAACATGGGAGAGGAGACATCTATTCAACACACTGATTTCAATTCCTTTGAGATTCTTGGAACATATGGTAATTCTATTTTTAGTTTTTTGAGGAACCTCCATACTGTTTTCCAAGATGTCCGTACTAATTTACAATACAGCCAAGCATACAAGGGGCCCCTTTTCTCCACAGCCTTGCCAACACTTGTTATCTTTCTTTCTTTCTTTTTTCTTGAGACAGGGTCTTGCTCTGTTGCTCAGGCTGGAGTGCAGTGGTGTGATTTCAGCTGACTGCAGCCTCAACGCCTCAGCCTCCCCAGCTCAAGTGGTTCTCCCACCCCAGCCACCTGAGTAGCAGCTGGGACTACATGCACGCACCCCATGCCTGGCTAATTTTTGTTGTTTTGTTGTTGTTTTGTAGAGGCGGTGTTTCACCATGTTGCCCGGGCTGGTCTTGAACTCCTGAGCTCAAGTGATCCTCCTGCCCTGGCCTCCCAAAGTGCTGGAATTACAGGTGTGGGCAACCACACCCAGCCAAGATCTCTTTATAGGGACACTCAAGACTGATTATTTTGACAAGGCTGATGTTTTGCTGAATGTGAAGGTGGGCTTCAGGCCAGTGAGTAGCCCTGGGTGGGGAGCCAGGAGTTAGGAGAGGAAAGTCTCTGCTCTAGCCTCAAGGAGGAGAAACTGCAGGGTGACCACCACAACCTGTGGGATCAGCCCCATTCTGGGGCATCATGCATGCCTATAGGGGAGCTGGAGCAGGTGATCAGAAGCTGGAGCAGGGCATAGGCAGGGATGTGCTTGGGGGCCCATGACACAGTTTTAATTCAGAGACCTGCAGTTATAAAGAAAGCAGATTAATCCTGATATCATGGATAGTTCCACTTTGTGCTCAAGTTTACGATTCTAGGCCCAGGACTAAGCAGAGCCATGGGAAAAGGTTCCCAGCTCAGCTGGGTCCAGATATCCACTCCCCTTTAGTCCCACATCATACTGTCCTTGTCCTTTGTTCTCCGATCCAGCCTCCCAACCAGGTCTTAGCCTTTTTCCCATACTGAGCCCCACACCCTTAAGGAACCCCCTCTCTTGGTGTATCTCACCTGTAAGCCATGGAAAGGCAAGCTTCAGAACAAGGAATATAGACAACCTAGGACTCTGTGGTCCTCTCCCCTGCCCCCTCAGTGCCCTGAAGTATGTGAGACTGGGGTTCCTCCTGCCACTGTCCTTTCCCCACGGCTGAGAGGGTGAAGTGAGGGAAGGGAGCTGCCCATCTCTGCTCCACCAGGGGACAGCTGAAGGTGAGACAGGACAGGAGCCTCAGACCCATTGACTGAACCTGGGAGGTGGGCAGAGCCTGGGAGGGGGACAGCGCTCTTCAGCTTTCCTCCCAGCCTTGGTCCCCACCCCAATCCATGTCGGCCCTTTTAGGAGCTTTTAGTGGAAATGAGCTCAGACCCGCAGCACAGGCCCCCGGCTCCCCTCCTGTCTCAGCTCCTCCCATTGCTCTTTGATCGTCTCTTCTGTCCGACCTCTGGGCCATCTCTCCACCAGGCACATCTGCGAGCAGCCCCCTTCATCCCCAGCATCGCCTTTTCCTCCCGTTTCTCCTTCCACTCCCAGCTCCACATCCTCCTCCTATTCTCCCCTCTCCCCTCTTCAAACCCCCACCTTCCAGTTCCCTCACCTCCCCTTTCGGCTGGTCCCCTGGGGCTTGCAGCAAGAGGGAGAGAGAGCTCCTGACAGGATTGATGGTCCTTCCCCACCCTGTCCTCTCATCCGCTCCCTCCCCAGCAGGCACAGACATCCCCCTACAAAAGGCAGGAGCCCAGGCTGTGTGGAAACAGCTGCTCTCAGACGCCTTTCCATTTGCTCTCTGCTGGCTAGGCTGGGCTGTGCCTCTGCTCCCTCTTCCTCTAGCTGAGAGTGGGCACCTGGGGTACCGGGCCCCCCCACCTCATTCCCCATGAATGCTGTGGGAAGTCCTGAGGGGCAGGAGCTGCAAAAGCTGGGGAGTGGAGCCTGGGACAACCCCGCCTACAGTGGTCCCCCTTCCCCACACGGGACGCTGAGAGTCTGCACCATCTCCAGCACGGGGCCTCTCCAGCCCCAACCCAAGAAGCCTGAAGATGAACCCCAGGAGACGGCATACAGGACCCAGGTGTCCAGCTGCTGCCTCCATATCTGTCAAGGCATCAGAGGTACCAGATAGGGGGACAGTTCTCCTGGGATATTAGAATCAGGAGGAGTCACCAAAAGCTTTTGGGCAGGGGGTGGGGGTGGAATGTGATCTGAAGAAGAGGTGACCTTTCGGTGTCACTTTGGGGTGTATGAATTGCCCATGGTAGTGCTGCATGACCCAGAACACAGAGGCCAGCTGAGCGGTCTACCGGTTGTGGGAGCCTGGCATGGTCATCACCTGGGGATCCAGAGAGGTATGTGGGAGCTGGTTTGAGGGAGGACATGGATGTGATGATGCCCTAGACTACCCCACCTGGAACAGGTGCCTCCTTTCCATGCCTTCATTCTCTACAAGCCAGGGCCTTCACCCCTGTCGACCTCAGGGAGCTGATGGGAAGAGCAAGCATGGGTGTGGGTACAGTAGCCAGATTCAGCCAAGGATGAAGGTGATGGGCAAGGAAGGGCAGGGGTGGAAAGGGGCTAAAGTCCAGAGACAGATGGGTGGGGATGACTGGGAGGAACACTGCCACTGAGCATCCCAGGCATCTCTCCCATGCCCCTTAGGACTTTGGGGAACAACCCTGACTGAGAACACAGCTGAGAACCGGGAACTTTATATCAAGACCACCCTGAGGGAGCTGTTGGTATATATTGTGTTCCTGGTGGACATCTGTCTACGTGAGTAGCATCTGTGTTTGTGTACATCTGTCTGTGAGAAACATCTATGTGTGCACTATATGTATAAACATTCCTGTGGGCAACATCTGTGGAGCGAGCATCTATCTGTGTAAGCAGGCTATATCCGGGAACTTTAGATAACAATATTCCAATCCCATCTATTTACCTTTGCAGCTTAAGATATTTTGTTTAAAAGGAATTTGTCAGTAGAGGAAGGCAGTTTGGTCAAGAATTACAAGGGGAAACCAGTTTTTGGCAGCCATTGTTTTCTATTGGCTGAAAAGGTGAAAGGTGAAAATATTTTACCCTTCTGTAGAGAGTGGGCTGGCACGGTGGCTCACGCCTGTAATCCCAGCACTTTGGGAGGCCGAAGTGGGCACATCACCTGAGGTCAGGAGTTTTGAGACCAGCTTGGCCAACATGGCGAAACCCTGTCTCTACTAAAAATACAAAAATTAGCT
This sequence comes from Homo sapiens, assembly GCF_000001405.40. NCBI lineage: Eukaryota > Metazoa > Chordata > Mammalia > Primates > Hominidae > Homo > Homo sapiens. The sequence goes on along the minus strand of NC_000010.11, from coordinate 100,328,749 downwards.
GGGTGGCAGGTGCCTGTAATCCCAGCTACTCAGGAGGCTGAGGCAGGAGAATCGCTTAAACCCAGGAGCAGAGGTTGCAGTGAGCCAAGATCGTGCCACTACACTCCAGCCTGGGGGACAGAGCAAGACTCTGTCTCTCTGTCTCCAAAAAAAAAAAAGAGTGGAAAACCACTCCCTTCTGTTTGGAAAGATAGTTTGGTGGGCTTCACGTAGTTATTATACTATATCCGATGCATGTTTCTTTAGAGGCAGAGAAAAAGATGGAAGAAAAAAGAGAGGAAGTAAAAGATCCAGGCGACCTTAGATCTCAGATCCCTGTTAAGAGAGGGAGGGAAACACATGGTATGGTGATGGTCCCATGTGAGAGACCACCATGTCACATGCCATTGGAGGAAGCTTATTGAGGCTCTAGCTATAGACACAAACTGAGAAATTTTGATCTCTAAGTTGAGAGAAGCAAGTGAAAAGATAGGAGGGCGACTGTGGGAAGATAGAGTCAAAGAACCGTAAATAATAATAAAATTGGACCAAACAGATGCTATTAGACTTGTAGGTAATGACAGCAACTTTGTATTTGGTTTATTACTTCTTTCAAAAGTTGCACAAGTGATGTTTGCCTAGTTTAATATAGTTGTGTGTGGGGTTGTGTTTTGATTAAAGCTGTAGGTTGAATCGTACAACTAAGATGCCCTCATTAGTAGGTGTTCTAGGCTCCGCAATACTCTGTTCTTGTCAGGGTGCATAAATCTTTTGAAAGTGGAGTCAAAGAGTCTCATAACATTAATGTTGATGAAATGTTGTCTTATTTTTTGAGCCACCCACATTTGTGCAAGCCCTCTAGGAAAGCTGGCAGAAAGCACTTTGTTCTGGCTGTGCTCTATCGGAACTCATTCCATGCTGGACAGAGGGGACAGTCCTCTGTGTTTGTCACTGGCCACTCTGCAGGGAGTGAAAGGACACAGTGCATGTGAGGAACAACGGCCGGCCCAATGTACATATTGTGGGGCCCTTTCAATTCCTTTCAGCAAATGGCTGTCAGAAATTCATTTGTTGACGTATCGATTATTTTTGTCCTAACCATCTGCTAGCAAGGAGAAGTCATCTCCTTTTTCAGATCCCGTGACAGCAGCTGAAACCCACAGGCAGAGCCTTTCTCTATAAATGACTTAAACGTCTCTCTTTCCAGATTAGCCTCTGGAACAGGACTGTTTCTAGCTCCCCAGAGTTACAGTGAACCATTTCTAACTCCATTGTATGGAGCTGGAAAGGGTGGAAGCTTGGGTTCTGGAAGTCCAGGAGTCCAATCCACTCATGTTCTCTGCTTTCTAAGATCTCAGTGCACTGATGCATTGCCAGATGGTCTGTGACTTGCCAAAATCTGAGTCACAGGCTTCGTTCAGTAATTACAGAGTCCTTGAGCAGACAGGGGTTTAGAGCTCATCTAATTTTAGGATGCAGAATACGTGGAATCCTTTCTCTGTGATCCTTCCCATGGTGCTCTGTCAGGTGGCCAACCAGCCCAACCTGGGGAGTGTCAGCGGGGCTGTCACTGTTTCATGAGGCAACCCATTCTACTATTGGGCAGCTCTGTTTCCTTCCTCTTATGGAGCCACCTCCTCTGAGCCAGACGTTGGACTGAGAAACACATAGATAACAGACACTTGGGCCTTTCCCCTCAGAGGCTCACTTCCTTTTCAGAACTTTCTTCTATTAAGCCAACTACTGAGGTGTTCCTGTTACTCTCTGAAGTGACAACCTTTCAACTGTTTGAATGAATATAGCTTGCCCTTGGTCATCTGTTCTCTAGGTTAAATAACTTCTATTTTATCATGGTACTTTTCTTAAACTAGTCATTCATAATACTATGGTTTTCAGAGATGGTATTATGTAGGGATTGAAGGCATGGGCTCCAAATTTGCACAGGTTTGGGTCAAACACTGTGCACTGCCATTCACCATCTGAGGGCCCTCAAGCAATTTGCTTAACTTCTTTGAATTTCAGTTTCCTCATCGTACTTACCCAATCCAATAGGATTATGTGAGATAATAGCCATGAAATCATCAACTCAGTGCCTGGCATATATTAAAAGCAATTTCAGAATGCTCTCCATACTGGTTGCCTGCCTGCAGACTTCATCTATGTGATGCCTGGCACTGGACAAAATATGCCACGGACAATCTGACCAGCACAGAGTACTGTGATGCCATTATTTCTGTTGTACCCAGATTTGGGGGATCTGTGAGGAAATGCAGAGGAAGTGATATCGGAGCTAAAACCTGAGAGATATGGAGGATTTATCCCCTTGAAAGGGAGGTGAATAGAAAGAAAGTCTCTGGGAAGAGGGGAGAGCATGTGCCAAGGCCCAAAAGGGACAGAGGGCACAGTTTGGTTAAAGTGCATCAACGTGGCTGGAGCAGAGAGTTTGAGAAGCAAAGTGGTAAAAGACGACAAGTCTGGCCTTATAAGAAGGGGCCGATCATGAGGGGCCTTATAAGGCATGAGAAAGAATTTGGACTTTATTCTGAGGGGGACAGGGAGAGCTATTGAAAAGTTTTAAGCATAGGAGTGACATGACAAATTTTAAGTTCTCCTGAGGAGAGGGCAGAAGTATAAACCTTGGGTCACAGAGGTATCTCTGGGAAAGTTGAGTAGGGGAGATGATAGTCCTGTGCTAAGGATATTAATGGGATTTTTAAAAACAAAAACCTTACCAGGGCCACTGAGTCAATCTGGTGGCAGTATAGCATGCTGGTTAAGCAGTGAGGCTCTGAAGTCGACTATGTGGGTTCAAGGTCTGGCGCTTCCCCAATTATCAGCTGTGTGATCCTGAGCAAGTTTGCTAACCTCTCTTATCCTTGGACAATGATCATACCCACCTGAGAAGATTCTTAAGCAGGTTAAATAAAATAGCTCACTAATATGCTTAGCACAGTGTCTGTCTGGCACATGGTAAATAGTGCCTATTGTCTTCAAGTCACAGCAGGCACTGTAAAACTATAAATGTGGCATCATAACCCAGCCAGCAGTGGAGGGTGAGGAAGGAAGAATTAATCTGATACCTTTAAACCTCGGAAAACCTCCAAGTCCTGTGGAATTGCACTCTTAATAAAGACCCTGAAATCCTTAGACTACCTGAAAATGTGCCATTTAACTGCCTTGGGCCTTGAGAATTAAAGTCCGCACCCACAAAGTGCCGGCCCCACAAGAACTTTTTATGAAAGAGAATTAGGAGGCCTTCACATTCTGATGATTCCTACGACATCTAGTAAGATAATACTAATACTAGTTTCCTAGCCCCTGCCTCTACCTGCCTCTTCCTTTCAGACATATTTTCAGGCGACATGGAGCCTTGGAATGGCCTCAGGAGGGCCACTTCGGTGCTCTCCAAGGTCCTGGCCTCACCCCGCTGATGTCTCAGCTCTCCATTAGGCTCCCTGAGCTCTGGCCAACTGCATCTAGACCATAGGTTCTCAGTGGGGACGATGTAGCCCCCAAGAGTGTAAAAATAGTTTCTCCAAGGGCAAAAAGAATGCTTTAGGTATTACAATGGCTTTTGGGCCACTGAAGAGTCACGGTACATAAGCAAATGTAGAGTCTGTCTGCAGTATCGGAATTGGGAGTGATTAGGAAGAAAATGTCTAAAGAGACTTTTGGGGAGACGGATAATGCAAAAAAGGTTAAGAAACACTGAACCAGATCCACTTAATTTGGCTAGTCAGTATGCTGACTGAGCTCTCCTGCCTAAGGATTGGGAATACACGTTATAAGCCTGAAAGCTGGCACCAAGCGGGGTGGCTGTTGTGTTGCTCTATCAGGATGCTGTTTTCTAAGAACTGGAGTGACGTGCAGTTGGACATGCAGCTGTGCCAGTGTGCTTTTCCATGTCAGTTCCCATGACCGGGTTCAAATGCTCCAGGACCTGTGTTTATTATTAGGTAAACACAGTGGCATGATGAAAACATAAAAACATTGGAGTCAGACACACTGGATTCAAATACTAGCTCCTCTACTTCCTGGCTTTGTGACCTTGAACAATTGTTCTACCAATAAGGATAATAACATTTATCTTCTGGAGATAACATGCATAAAGAACCAAACACAATCACTGGTAGTAGTTATCTTTGTATTATCTAGTCGAAAATCAAAACCCTCACCTGGTCCTCTAGACTGTTCATTAAAAAAATACCTTTCAAGAGAGAAGCCAATCTGAAAAGGTTACATACTGTGTAATTCCAACTATATGCCATGGTGGAAAAGACAGAACTATGGAGATACTAAAAGTTGTCAGTGGCTTCCAGGGGTTGGGGAAAGAGAAGGACGAATAGGTAAAGCACAGAGGATTTTTAGGGCAGTGAAACTACTCTGTATGGTGAATACCTGTCATTTTACGTAAAACCCACACAATGTACAATACCAAGAGTAAAACCTAAGGTACACTGTGGACTTCAGGTAATAGTCATGTGTCAATGTAGGTCCATTGTATAACAAAGGTACCACCCTGGTGTTGGATGTTGATAGCAGGGGAGGCTGTACTTATGTGAGGACAGGGGATCTATGGGAAATCTCTGCACCTTTCATTCAATTTTGCTGTGAACCTAAAATTACTCTAAAAAAATAAAGTGGGCTGGGCACGGTGGCTCATGCCTGTAATCCCAGCACTTTGGGAGACTGAACTGGACAGACTGCCTGAGGCCAGGAGTTCGAGACCAGCCTGGCCAACATGGTGAAACCCCATCTCTATTAAAAATACAAAAATTAGCCAGGCGTGATGGCGGGCACCTGTAATCCCAGCTACTCAGGAGGCTGAGACAGGAGAATCACTTGAACCTGGGAGGCGGAGGTTGCAGTGAGCTGAGATCATGCCACTGCCCTCCAGACTGGGTGACAGAGAAAGACTCTGTCTCAAAAAATAAATAAATAAATAAATAAAGTTTATCTTAAAAAGTGTATTAAAAACAACTTTTCAGTGCTGCTTGTGGAAACTTGGAAAAAATAACTTTCATGATTGCAGTTAATAATAATGTATTATATCTTTCAAAATAGCTAAAAGAGATGATTTTAAATATTCTCAACACAAAGAAACATTTGAGATGATGGATATGTTAATTAGCCTGATTTGATCATTCCATGATGTATACATCTGAAGAAACATTACATTGCACCCCATAAAGATACAGAGTGAGCCGGGCGCCGTGGCTCATGCCTGTAATCCCAGAACTTCGGCAGACCGAGGCGGGTGGACCACCTGAGATCAGGAGTTCGAGACCAGCCTGGCCAACATGGCAAAACCCCTACTCTACTAAAAATACAAAAATTAGTCGCGTGTGGTGGCACGCTCCTGTAGTCCCAGCTACTCAGGAAGCTGAGGCAAGAGAATCGCTTGAACCTGGGAGGTGGAGGTTGCAGTGAGCCGAGATCGTGCCACTGTACTCCAGCCTGGGCGACAGAGCGAGACTCCATCTCAAAAATAAAATAAAATAAAAGCCGTGATTATTTGTCAATTAAAAGTAAATCAATAAATAACATAAAATTACCTTTCAAAATTTTAGTTGGCTCCACATATAGGGATAGTATTATTTGAGTAGCATCCTTTAAGTGACATCAGACCTTTAAGTGAAAGTACTTTCCCTGGAAGCCCTCAGTTTATCACAACCGCCACCACCACCATCATCATTATTAACAGCACAAACAACAAACCTTTATTGAATAATTTTTCAATGCACCTAGCACTATATTATGTACTTTATCTCACTGACTACTTCCAATGACTCTATGAAATTGGTTCTGCCTATCACTCCCATTTTACAAATCAGAAAGATTTAGAAAAGTCAAACAGCTTGCTCAAGGCCACTCATGCAAGCAAGTGAAGAAAGAGGAATCCAACTCAGCAATTGGTTGCCTGATTTGAATCCCGAGGCTTTTAACCACTGGAGTCTACTATGGCCTCTCTATCTGGAAATGTATTGCTCATAAATTTACTAATACCCATCAACATCTTAGCAAGGACCACTCCGTGCCCTACCCTAATAGAAGCAGAGTATTGAGAAATTCTACTAGCTAACTACTATTCTTTCTTTTTATTGGTGTATTTAAAAGATGATATAAAAACATTAAAGAATATTTTAAAATATAGTTGGCTACCACTACATTAAAGAATTTTTCATTTTTCTTATTACCGGTGTTTATGCATACATTCTTACCTAGTTGTATTATATTGTATACTTTCATCATTTATAACATTTCATCATATTTCTAAGTAGTTTTTTTTTTTTGAGACAGAGTCTGGTTCTTTCACCCAGGCTGGAGTGCAGTGTCCTGCCTCAGCCTCCCGTGTACCTGGGATTACAGGCGCCCACGACCATGCCCGGCTAATTTTTGTATTTTTAGTAGAGACGGGGTTTCACCGTGTTGCCCAGGCTGGTCTGGAACTCCTGACCTCAAGTGATCGGCCCACCTCGGCCTCCCAAAATGTTGGGATTACAGGCGTGAGCCACCGTAGTTTTTGTTTTTGTTGTTGTTGTTGTTGTTTTGAGACCGGGCCTTGCTCTGTTGCTCAGGCTGTTATGCGGTGGTGTAACCTCAGCTCACTCCAGCCTCAAACTCTCAGGTGAGCCTCCCACCTCAGCCCTAAAAGTAACTGGGTCTACAGGCATGCACCACCACACCTGGTTAATTTTTGTATTTTTCATAGAGACGGGGCTTCCCCGTGTTGCCCAGTCTGGTCTCGAACTCCTGGGCTCAAGCCTTCCAAAGTGCTAGGATTACAGGCGTGAGCCACTGTGCCTGGCCTCTCAGTAGTTTTCATATTTCCTTCCTTCCTTCCTTCCTTCCTTCCTTCCTTCCTTGCTTCCTTCCCTCCCTCCCTCCCTCCCTGCCTGCCTGCCTGCCTGCCTGCCTTCTTGCTTGCTTGCTTTCCTTCTTTCTTTCTTTCCTTCCTTCCTCCCTCCCTCCCTCCCTCCCTCCCTCCCTCCCTCCCTCCCTCCCTCCCTCCCTTCTTTCTTTCTTTCTTTCTTTCTTTCTTTCTTTCTTTCTTTCTTTCTTTCTTTCTTTCTTTCTTTCTTTCTTTCTTTCTTTCTTTCTTTCTTTTCTCACTCTGTTGCCCAGGCTGGAGTGCAGTGGCACGATTTCAGCTCACTACAGCTCAACCTCCTAGGCTCAAGCAATCCTCCCACTTCAACCTCTCAAGTAGCTGGGACTACAGGGACACACCACCACACCCTGCTAATGTTAAATTTTTTGTAGAGATGGGGTGTTGCTATATTTTCTTTTCTTTTCTTTTCTTTTTTTTTTGAGACAGAGTCTCGCTCTGTCACCCAGGCTGGTGTGCAGTGGCGCGATCTCGGCTCACTACAACTTCTGCCTCCTGGATTCAAGCAATTCTCCTGCCTCAGCCTCCCAAGTAGCTGGGATTACAGGCATGTGCCACCACGCCTGGTTAATTTTTTTGTATTTTTAGTAGAGATGAGGTTTCACCATATTGGCCAGGCTGGTCTCAAACTCCTGACATTGTGATCCACCCACCTCGACCTCCCAAAGTGCTGGGATTACAGGCGTGAGCCACTGTGCCTGTGTCGGGTGTTGCTATATTTTCTAGGCTGATCTTCAACTCCTGAGCTCAAGTCATCCCTCTGCCTCAGTTTCCCAAAGTGCTGGAATTACAGGCGTGAGCCACCATGCCCAGCCAGTTTTTATATTTTTATTTTAAGGACTACAGTCACACTGCAATTAACTAAAACATTTCTCTGGTTGTTTCAGTATTTGCCTATCATGGTAAATGTATCTATAGCTGCAGCTTTTTTTTCCCACTTCTTTAAATTATTTCCTTGGGAATTGATAAGGAGAGAGATTACCACGAGGGCAAAAGATAGAAATATCTCCTTAGTATTTGCTATGTGTTGTCATTTTGCCTCTGTAAGGGATTATACAAACTTATTATGCCACTAGTGCTATAAGATCACATCAATTTTGTCACAACCTCATCAAAATTGGATGTTCTCATTCATAATTTTTATTATTAAATAGGTATAAGATGGTACAACTCACATTAATTTACTTGCCTTTTATTACCAATGAGGTTGGACACTTTTCTCATGCTTTAATTTATAATGTGTATCTATTTTTGTGTAAATTGCATGAGAGATGTTTTCAGGGGGACAAAGGAGGAAAGGGAAAGTGGGGAACTTGGACCATTAGACCCTAGGTGAGGAATCAACCACCAGCGACCTCATTTCCAAGATCTGGGCTCTTGGGAGTGGAAAGAATAGCCAACAAAGTTAGCCATCACCTGCACAGCAATTTGGCAGGGGACAAGCCCTAGTAGACTATCATGGTCAACCATACTGACCATGTTTCTTCTCCCTTATGCTTTATTCTAGGAACTGGTGGACCTATAATCCAAGACTATTTGGAATCTCATCTGGCTAAAATAGAGTTATCTTTTTCATGCAGGCAATATGGGTGACCCATCAATTGTCTGATAATAATAATGTAAATTGTGCAATCCTTTAAACCTTACACAGAGATTTCACATGTATCATCTCATTTGATCCTGACGACAATCCTGTAATGGCTCAATATTTTTCTTTCTTTCCACAGGTTAGGGAAATGTTATTACTGTCATTATGAATAGTTTAGGAATGATTAATCACTCAGAGCTCTTTCTGAGGGATGGAGTCAGTCCTGTCCCAGCTATTCCTCAGCAGAGAAAGTGCTGGAGAATTATCTTCCTGGCTCTCCCTTCCCACTGGGCCCACACCATCATCATGATATTTATGAAAGGGCTTCCAGCCCTTTGTCTTCTTGGAGGGATTGCTGTAGCCTTTTGTTGATGGAGGAAACATTGAAGGTCTTTGTGTAGAAATAATGGCTGTTTGTTTTAGGAGACATTATTGTTATCTCAAAGGTGCACCTGGGACTAGCCCTGTATAGGAGAGGCTCTAAGCCAGGAAATGGCTGGGTCTGGTCACCATGGAGCTGGGGAGGAGGGCAGAGACCCTCAACCTTTAATGCCTAATGGCTACATGCCAATTAATATCAATTGGATGCTCTTAATCCATCACTAGTTGTAAAGAAATGCATGCCTCTCTTTACTCTGCTTTCTTTTAGTGGATTTCAAGGTTCTATCCATAGATTGGTGGAATTGCACTAATAGGAGAGGTTGAAGTGAGCTTGTCAAGAAAGCTTGACAGTATTTCTAGAATCAACAAAGAAAGGAGCAGAAATATATTGGAGGTTCAGAAAGCGTCTGTGGCTGAGTTCCTGTGTGGCTGTAATGATGTCAGAAGATACTTTGTCATATAGAACCACGATTTTAGTGAAGGCACAGTTGTATAATGGAAAGAGCGTGTGACCTGGAATAAGGTGGTCTGATCCAAATGATGGTGCTACCAGTTATTAGCCACGCATCTTTGGCAAATAGGTCAAGATACTTAAATCATTCTAAACCTTGATTCCTCAAGTGAGAATAACATCTGCTTTTGTGAGGTTGGTGGAAAACAAATTAGGTATTTAGTAGTACAGTGCTTGGAGTATAATAGGCTTTCAATAAATATTAGTTGCCATTCCCTGTCAAGATATAAATTAGGAAAATATTGAAAAACATCTCAGCCAGCCTTAGTGGCTCACGCCTGTAATCCCAAAACTTTGGGAGGCTGAGGCAGGTGGATCACCTGAGGTGGGGAATTCAAGACCAGCCTGGGCAACATGGTGAAACCCCATCTCTACTAAAAATACAAGAATCAGATGGGCACAGCGGTGTGTGCCTGTAATCCCAGCTACTCGGGAAGCTGAGGCAGGAGAATCACTTGAACCCCAGAGGTGGAGGTTGCAGTGAGCCGAGATCACGCCACTGTACTCAGCCTGGGCGACAGAGTGAGATTCCATCTAAAAAAAAAAAAAAGATAGAGAGAGAGAAAAAAAGAAAAGAAAAACAGGCTGGGTGCGGTGGCTCACGCCTGTAATCCCAGCACTTTGGGAGGCCAAGGTGGGTGGATCACGAGGTTAGTAGATCGAGACCATCCTGGCTAACACGGTGAAACCCCATCTCTACTAAAAATACAAAAAAATTAGCTGGGTGTGGTGGCAGATGCCTGTAGTCCCAGCTACTCGGGAGGCTGAGGCAGGAGAATGGTATGAACCTAGGAGGTGGAGCATGCAGTGAGCCGAGATCACGCCACTGCACTCCAACCTGGGTGACAGAGCAAGATTCTGCCTAAAAAAAAAAAAAAAAGAAAAGAAAAACATCTCAATACTCTGGATTGTTGTAGATGAGGCCAGGCTGGAGTACTGCTGATGTAAGTGGCTAGCAAAAGAGCATATAACTCGTATTACAAGGCGTGAGTTTGAGCACAAGCTCTGCCTCTTGCCCTGAGCAAATCATGTACACTCTGAACTTCATGATTCATAGGAAGTTTTGTTCATGGGTAAGATGGAATCAGCAGATATGTCTGATAGGCAACTGGGAGACATTACATAGGAAAACTCTTTGAAAACTATGAAATAAGGTACACAGGTAGGGGATTATAAGGATATTGACAATTATGTTATTGGGTGGTGGCAGCAGGATTGCTGAGATTTTAAGTTCAGACAGAACCTCCAGACTGGGCAGAGGTTCTACTCACAAAAATAAGGAATGAGGGCAATCTTTTCTTCTCTCTTTTTTTTTTTTGTTTGAGACAGAGTCTTGCTCTATCGCCCAGGCTGGAGTGCAGTGGTGCAATCTTGGCTCACTGCGACCTCCGCCTCCCAGGTTCAAGTTAGTCTCCTGCCTCAGCCTCCGGAGTAGCTGGGATTACAGGTACGCACCACCACACCCAGCTAATTTTTGGTTTTTTTTAGTAGAGATGGGATTTCGCCATGTTGGCCAGGCCGGTCTCGAACTGATCTCAGGTGATCTGCCCACCTCAGCCTCCCAAAGTGCTGGGATTACAGGTGTGAGGCACCATGCCCGGCCACAGCAATCTTTTTCAAAGGTGTCCTCTGAGGACCCCTAGGGCTTCCTGAGACCTTTTCAGGTTGTGAGGTTCTCTCTTACCCCGAAACATATTTGCTTAAGGTCATATTTTCTTCATATACTTCAACCAAAATAACATATTGCAACAGATTATGCAGAAGCAGATACGAGAATACAGCTGTCTTCTATTAAGCCAGACATTAGGAGACTTGCAAACATGGAAAACAATTCCATTAAAATTTTTCTTTGTTTGTTTGTTTTGAGATAGGGTCTCACCCTGTCACTGAGGCTGAGTACAGTGCTGTGATCAGGGCTCACTGTACCCTTGACCTCTTGGGCTCAAGCAATCCTCCCACCTCAGCCTCCCAAGTAGCTGGGACTACAGGCATGTAGCACCACACTCGCTTAATTTTTGTTTTTTTGTAAAGACAGGGTCTCGTTATGTTGCCCAGGCTGGTCTTGAACTCCTGAATGTAAGTGATCCTCCTGCCTTGGCCTCCCAAAGTGCTGGGATTATAGGCATGAGCCACTGTGCTCGGCCAAATTTTTGGGGGGTTTGTTTGAAAAAATATAGTATTTTTTAAAAAATAAAAAGTGTTATTTGTGTTTACATGTATAGGGATTGTTATCATTATTTTCAAATGAATGAGTTAATACATATTTACATTTTTCCTGAGTTTTAATTTATTTTATTTTATTTTTATTTTTTTGAGATGGAATCTCAGCTCTGTCACCCAGGCTGCAGTGCAGTGGGGCGATCTTGGCTCACTGCAGCCACTGCCTCCCAGGCTCAAGGGATCCTCCCACCTCAGCCTCCCAGGTAGCTGGGACTACAGGCAGGTGCCACCACACCCAGCTAATTTTTTGTATTTTTGGTAGAGATGGGGTTTTACCATGTTACCCAGGCTGGACTCGAACTCCTGAGCTCAAGCTATGCACCTGCCTTGACTTCCCAAAGTGCTGAGATTACAGGCATGAATCACTGTGTCTGGCCAGTTTTAACTTTTAATAAGGTAATGATTGATAGATATAACCCAAATAAATGAAAACTGTTTGTAGTCCTCAAAATATTGAAGTTGCAAAGGGGTTCTGAGAACAAAATGTGTGTAAACCACTGGCTCAGAGACTGAGTCTAAGCTGGTCAAATTAGATTATTTCATAGCATGGAGGAAAAGAACAGATGAGACAAAGAGAGCTTATTAGCAAAATGCTGAAACTAAGTTTGAGATCCTGGATAGTCACACATTCATTCATTCAAACATTTATGAAGTCTTACTATGTGCCAGGCCCTAGGCCAAGTGCTGAGGGTTTTGAAATACCTGAGACAAGGCTGGGCAAGATGGCTCACACCTGTGGCTCAGAATTTTGGGAGGCCGAGGCAGGCAGATCACCTGAGGTCAGGAGTTCGAGACCAGCTTGACCAACATGGAGAAACCCCATCTCTACTAAAAATACAAAATTAGCCAGGCGTGGTGGCGCATGCCGGTAATCCTAGCTACTCCGGAGGCTGAGGCAGGAGAATTGCTTGAACCTGGGAGGCAGAGTTTGCAATGAGCTGAGATCGTGCCATTGCACACCAGCCTGGGCAACAAAAGCAAGACTCCGTCTCAAAAAAAACAAAAGAAATACCCGAGACACATCTTCTGCCTTCAAGGAGTAAGGAAGGCTGACATGTAAACAAACAGTGACATAGAATGTGATGAGCGCTACAGTGGAGGGTGCACTGGGACCATGGTAAGAAGTGGGAGACAAAGTGGTCAGGGAGAGCTGGGAAATCTTGAAGGTCCCAGAGACAGGTACCATTCGTGTCTGGGGAAGCCCAAAGTCATCGCCATTTGCTTGCCTGCTTATTTTAACAGTGTTAAAACTGTTTTTAACTGTTTTTAAGTCATTGCCAGGGAGGCCTAAAGTCATTGCCATTTGCTTGCTTGCCTGTTAGTTTTAATAGTGCTGGCTGTCAGCCTGGAGGAGGCAGGGGATGGAGGAGGTAGCGCCAGCCAACTAAGGCCTCAGGCTATGAATATGCAAGAGTTTTGCCATAGTCAGAGTCTCAAGGGGCAAGTAAGAGGAAAAAGGCGTAAACCAGCATTTCTTCTCATTCTATTACAACATAATTCTACCCCCTTTCCCCTACAAAGAAAATCAGACTGGTAATATATTTATTAAATTTTTACCTAATACATAGTCCTTGTTTTTTAAAAGTCAAATAACATAGAGAATGTGAAAATCCCTCTTCATTCTCAGCAAACTAACACAGGAACAGAAAACCAAACATCGCATGCTCTCACTCATAAGTGGAAGTTGAACAACGAGAATACATGGACACAGGGAGGGGAACAACACACACCCAGGCCTGTCACGGGGTAGGGGGCAAGGGGAGGGAGAGGATTAGGACAAATATCTAATGCGTGCAGGTCTTAAAACCTAGATGATGAGTCGATAGGTGCAGCAAACCACCATGGCACATGTATACCTATGTGACAAACCTGGGCTTAAAACCTAGATGACGGGTTGATAGGTGCAGCAAACCACCGTGGCACATGTATACCTATGTAACAAACCTGCACGTTCTGCACATGTACCCCAGAACTTAAAGTAAAATAAAATAAAACAAAATAAAAAATCCCTCTCAGTAATCACTGTTCCTAGTTTGGTATATAATCATTTCAACTGTTTTCTCTTCCCTTCCCTTCCCTTCCCTTCCCTTCCCTTCCCTTCCCTTCCCTTCCCTTCCCTTCCCTTCCCTTCCCTTCCCTTCCCTTCCCTTCCCTTCCCTTCCCTTCCCTTCCTTCCTTCCTTCCTTCCTTCCTTCCTTCCTTCCTTCCTTCCTTCCTTCTTTCTTTCTTTCTTTCTTTTCTGCCTTAGCCTCTGGAGTAGCTGAGACTACAGGCTCACACCAACACGCCTGGCTAATTTTTGTATTTTTAGTAGAGATGGGGTTTCACCATGTTGGCCAGGCTGGTCTTGAACTCCTGACCTTGGGTGATCCCCACCCACCTCAGCCTCCCAAAGTGCTGGGATTACAGGCTAGCCAGCGCACCCGGCCCATTTCAATTGTTTTCTAGACATATATAAATATACATGAATTTTAGATAAAGAAGCTTCTGTTGGTTTACACTAGAAGGATGTGTAAAGTCAACAGCAATGCCGTCTGTGAGGTGGAACGTCCGCTGATTGTGATAAATGTAGTATAGGAGGCTCCCCTAAAGTGCTGATGGCTAATGGCAATAAAGTCAGTGAAGGAGGATCTCTGGATGCACTTTGTGAAAGATAAATCACACTGCAGAGAAGCCCAGGATCAGAAACAGTGCTTCTTGCTGGATACTTCTCGGTCCTGGACTGGCTGTCCCCGTGCCTGCTTCCTTCTCTCTCTTCTCTCTCCCCAGGCACTGGTCTGTTTTGCTTTCTTCTCGCCTACCTCTGCCCACAGCTTTTGACTCCTCTTCTTTTCTCCCTGGTCCTTTGTCTCACAGGCTTTTCCATGTCTTCCTGTTCTGGGTACAAGCCTATGGCTTCTTGAGATTTTTTTTTAAAGGGCTCTCCCTGCTGGGAACTCCAGGGAATCATATTTTCCACTTTTGGTTCTTGAACCCCAGGAAAAGTTTGATAAAGGTGTTTCAGGAATTTCATACCCTTCCAAGTGGTGATAACATAGTTTCTGTTTAAATTATTTGCAGGCAAGTCATGGTGGTTCACGCCTGTAATCCCAGCAGTCTGTGGGAGGATTGCTTGTGTCCAGGAGTTTAAGACCAGCCTGGGCAACCTAGCAAAGCCCCATCTCTATTACTAAAATGAAAAAATTACCTACAAATAAATTGTTTATAAATCAAGCAACTATTAATTACTTAAATATGATTTCCCTTTATATGGAACCATTTGAGAGCCTCCTGTTGTGTACTGAGAGAGAAAGCCCTTGGTAAAGAAGGTGATGTATCTCTCTGGGGTGACCAAATCTGTCTGCGTAAAGTCTTCTTGGATGGCCTTTATTTTGCAACACTTCATGAAACAATGATGAATTATTGATTGGTTATTGAACCAATGCCAGTAATCAATTCTCTCTGGAGTTAAAGGGTCTATTGAGGGTAGATAGATATAACTCAAATAAATGAAAACTGTTTGCACTCCTCAAAATGTTGAGGGTAGACCCAGTAACTCCAGAGAGAATCGATTATTGGCATTGGATGAACATATGGTTCGGTCATGGTGTTGATTATCCTGTAATCCTCACAGAATCTTATTGATCCAGGTAGCTTATACTGCACAATTACAGGTAAAAGCCAGGACTTCTGTATAGTAAAATCACTAATTACCAACTCTATTAACTTAGTTACCGCTCCCTTATCATTTGTTAAGACAGTGCATGAAACTGGCAATCCAATTGGGGTGACCCCTTGTGTATGTAATCACTAGGTTTTTCCTGCCTGGTTTCCTGTCTTTTCTGGGTCCATATGTTCAAAGACTCCAGCTTGGGCACCTTTTAACAAGGGCTACTCTTCTCAGGCTTCCTTGGTTTCTAGCACTAAATACATTTTTTTGGTTCAGCTAGATTTAGGCAGCAAAAAGTCTCCGGGTCTCAGCACTAGTATACTCTTTGTAGCTTTAGTTTTTCCAAAATGACCAGTCTCTGGGAGATCTTGAGCAAAATAGCTCAAAGAAGGACAGTAAGAGCAAGTGCAACTCTTCCTCTGTAACCTTCTACAGGAGCGTGTGGAATCACCGCTGCCTCATCAGCCAGAAAAATCCCTGTACAAAGACAGGACTTTTACGTTTTACTACAGTTGGTGTCTTCAGCTCTTTTGAAACAGTGTGCCCTCCTTCGCAGAGACCATAGCTGCAGAAATGTTACCTTATCTCTTATGACATTAACTGAAGTTCATGCTATGTCTCGAGGTTTCTGGGCCACACAGAAGCAATGCTATCTAGGGGGCCGTATTTTTCCAGGATGACTCTAGAGAAGAAGACTCTTCATCTTCCTCAGGACTGTTGACTTCCTGGTTTGATTGCTGTCTTCGTAAACTCTTTATGCAATTCTGAAACCACATGAGAATTTACAAGCCATCAGCTAAAGCCATACTGAATCCATAAGAATCAATTGCTTTGCTCTCCCTGGATTCTGCATTCAGAATGGAATAGAACAGGGAAGTTCCAGCAGCCTCCTTGTTTGATTGCCTTATGCCCTGTCCTCTACTCCTATCTCCAGTCTTCTAGGTATCTGATTTCAGTATTCCATCCGCTGAGAGACTCTATTATATTGATTCAGCATGGACAAGTATCTATAGGTCTATTCTTCCAGCTGGGCTAAGATCTCAGAGCTACTAGAAACTTCAGGGGGATCACTAACAGGATCTTGGATTCATTTCCATTTTTCCAGAATAATCATCATCAGTCTGTTTGTTTTTCCTTCAACAGCAACTCATAAAAGCTTTTGGCTCTGAATCTAATTTCCCAAGAAGAAACTGGCCATGTGTCATAGGTTCTCTAGAACCAGAATCTTCTGAACCTAAGCCCTAAAAAGCTTAATAATGCTCATAGACTTCGTTACTGAAGCAGATGTGAGTGAATCTAGTTCTCTCAGTTGTAGTCTCTGTAGACACACTGATATGAAATGCACGGTTTCAACAACCTTCAGTGTATACCCTGAGGATCTAACCCTTCCCTCATTTCCAGGTTCCTACTTTCCTCTGCCTACTCTCTGTCTTAAGACACATGAACTATTTGGAATCCAACTTGGAATGACCCAATAACATTCACCAGAATATGTGGTGGGATAGCAGCAAAGATAATGGAAGGAGGAATTGCCCAAGAGGAGTGACTGTCAGGGGAGGGAATGGGGGTGGAAGACATCCCCAGATTTCTAGAGAAGCATCCTTAATGCTTCTCTTCAGAGCTATCCAGGTTAGGAAGGAACAGTTGACTTTTGAGTGTCAAAAAAAGTGTATATATAATAGTTCCTTTATGTGTTCGACTAGTATAGACATGTAAAGGAACTATGTACACTTACTGGCAGACGCACCCCAGACCTCTGATATTCTTTGTCAACAAGTTGAGGGAAGGGATCCCATTCCTTCCCAGGGAGAGTGTTGTTGGAAAGGACAACTGTGTTCCATCACATATCACATATTAGGGGCAGGGAAGAAGCTCAGTAGCATACGATGGCCTATATGGCAATCACCTGGGAAAGGAGATGTACAAAGTTTCCGACTGAAGTCAGCACTGGTGACTTCTTACTGCTCTGAGCTGGGCAGGTCTTCCAGCAGTTCAAAAGAAAGCACAAGAATATTCAGTCTCTACTGTAAACATAGGAGTGGATAAAATTTGGTTATTACCCAAGCTCATGACGTTAATGATTAATAATAATTATTAGTCATACTTCTTCAATAACAATACATTTATGCCCCACCTATGTCTAAAAGGGATCAGAGCTCATGTTAAAAAGTGCAGATACAGTAAAATATAGCCTGTTAGAACTACAATTAAGAACGACCTAGCAAAACAAGTGGGAAAAGGTTAGAAGAGGAAAAAAACGTGTACCAGAACACTCTAGATTAAACAAGAGTACTGCAAATGATAACAAAGCCTGAGGTTCCTAGTGGCCAAAGCGAAGAAGAAAACTCAAATAGGTTTCATAGTTCTCATTGCTGAGCAAGAAAAAAGCACACCAGTTAATAGGGAGGTGCTAACTCTGGGAATAATTGGCCTTGTTGGTTTTTATATAAGGAGCATGGAATATCATAAAGGATAAAAGCAATGTTAAAAATTGGAGCTTCTGGCCAGGCACGGTGGCTCATGCCTGTAATCCTAGCACTTTGGGAGGCCAAGGAGGGCAGATTACCTGAGCTCAGGAGTTCGAGACCAGCCTGGGCAACGTGAAACCTGGGCAACATGAAATGTGAAACCCTGTCTCTACTAAAAATATAAAAAATTAGTTGGGAGGAATGGCCCATGCCTGTAGTCCCAGCTCCTTGGGAGGCTGAGGCAGGAGAATTGCTTGAACCTGAGAGGTGGAGGCTGCAGTGAGCCGAGATTGCGCCACTGCACTCCAGCCTGGGCGACAGAGTGAGACTGTCTCCAAAAAAATAAAAAATAAAAATTGGAGCTACTTTTCATTTGACTCTTTTTTATATCTGCCTTCCTTAAAATTCATATTAAATACTCATTTTATAAGGGCAATTTTAGGAGAAGTGTGTGTGTGTGCGTGTGTGCCTGCACACACATGTATAAATGTGTGTGTATATAATATACATTTTTCATGGTATTTTAGAGATGTTGCTTTACCCAGAAATAAAACTTGAAGAGCCTGAGGACTTAATGATAGGCATGTTTTTAGAATATCATCATCAGTTGACTTGCTCAGCAAGCCCCTTTTAATATTGGATAAGAATGTATTTTAATTAATGTAGGTTTTGGCATCCATTGCCCTCTTTTTGCTTTTTGTTTGTTTGTTTGTTTGTTTGTTGTTTGAGACAGAGTCTTGTTCTGTCACCCAGACTGGAGTGTGGTGGCGCATACACAGCTCATGGTGGTGCAGCCTCAGCCTCCTGGGCTCAAGCACCCTCCTGCCTCAGCCTCCCCGAGTAGCTGGGGCTACAGATGTGTGCCACCACATCCAGCTAATTTTTTCTCTTTTTGTAGAAATGGGGTCTCACCCTGTTGCCCAGGGTGGTCTTGAACTCCTGTACTCAAGCAATCCTCCCGCCTTGGCCTCCCAAATTTCTGAGATTACAGGTGTGAGCCACTGCGCTGGGCTTGCTGCCCTCTTTTCTAGCTCTCTTTTCCTCAGAAATGGTGCAACCTTTTTGGAAATGCTATGGTTGCCATATAAGTAAGGACTATGTTACAATGAAGGACAACCCAACGAAAACTGGCTTCAACCATAATGGGATTTATTGTCTGGGTAATGGGATTTATTGCAGGGTTCAGGGCTGATCAAGCTAGTGCCTTAATGACATTGTCAAGGATCTGTCTGTTTCTGTTACTCAGTTTTGCCAGGGGCACAATCAGTTTCATCCTAAGGCTGACTCTTCTGGGGCTTTCTCATTCACATCTAGTAGAAAAGAGAAGATCACCAAAGGTTCCAGAAATCTCTTTTTATGACTCCTTGACCTGAAATGGGTTACAAGGTCATCCCTGAACCTGTAAATTGTGCTAAGGGAGGAGTCTCTGCAGATTTGCTCTGGCCTGAACTGCTTGTCCAAGTCCTATAGCCAGGGTTGGATTTAGCTTCTGCCAACATATGTGAGATGATCCAGAGAGGTGTGATACCTCATATAAAATCATGGTATTAGCCAAGAGAGGAGGGAACAGATCTTAATGAAGCAATAGCAAAGTCAGTACAGCATCCAGCACCTGGAAACTTCAGCCTATAACTTGGAAACATACAGACAAAAAATTTTTTTAATGATTTTATAATTTTTATATTGTTTTACTATTATTATAGTATAAGAATATCCATGAGAATGAAAAGAAAGAAAATCCAGCTATTAAACCACTGGTTTTTAAAAAGTCAGTTTTTCCTTCAAGTTTTTACACTTAGTGTTTTCAAAATAATTTTCATTTTATGGATACAATCATTGTATGGATACAGTTTTGCATTGTTTTTGTTACTATTTCGATGACTGTATCATATTCCATTAAGTGACTCAGTGATCTCATAATTTACTTAATAATTGTCTCTGTAAGATTTTTAGGTTGTTTGCATTTTTTTTTGATGTTATAAATAACCCAGGTATCATTTTTGTGCATGTGACTTTTTCCTTCCTTGGGACTTATCTGTGTCAGCATATGGTTCCTGATACAGATTTAGATACTGTTATTCATTTTACACCAGAATGGAGCTTCTTTCAAGACGGTGATCTTTTGAGTTTAACAAGTGCTTTTGCAATTCACCTTCAGACTCAGTTATTAAACTCTTAAAACAGAGTTTGCTTATAAGGACATCTTATAGACTTGCACAATCCTAACTATTTGGAAGGAATTTTGAAAGGAGAGTCAGAATCCTTAATCAGAAGGATTTAGGGTGTTAGGGTGATAGCATGGTATATTAGTGTAGTGTAGAATAGTGGTTAAATCACGGCTTTTGGAGTAAGGCAGATTTGAGTTTGAATCCAAGTTATAATACTTGCTTGCTATATTATCTTTTGAAAAGTTATTTAACACCATTCTGGGGCCTGGCGCAGTGGCTCATGCCTGTAATCCCAGCACTTTGGGAGGCCAAGGTGGGTGGATCACCTGAGGTCAGGAGTTCGAGACTAGCCTGGTCAACATGGTGAAGCCCCATCTCTATTAAAAATACAAAAATTAGCCAGGTGTAGTGGTGCATGCCTGTAATCCTAGCTACCTGGGAGGCTGAAGCAGGAGAATTGCTTGAACCTAGGAGGCAGAGGTTGCAGTGAGCCGAGATGGTGTCATTGCACTCCAGCCAGGGCAACAAGAGAGAGACTCCATCTCGAGAAAAAAAAAAAAGCAACATTCTAAATCTGAGTTATCTGTATAAAATGGAGATGGTAATTCCTATTTTATTGGTATTTTTCAGGATCCTGGGAGAAAATGTATATAAAGCCTGGTGAATAATGTATCAATAATGGTGGTTGTTGTTATTATTGAGCAATTGTGAATTTGATCTGAGAACAAGATTAAGAAGCATGATATAGTGTGTACAGAAGAATTTAATTTCTGTCCAAGAAAAAAAAAATCAGATACTCTCTACATTTGACATGAAACCATCACCTAGTCTCTGAAACCCCTTCGCACATTCTCATGTAGTTATCATCCAGTCTCCAAAGATTTCCTGGAATGAGCCCATTTCTGCCTTAAAATGGTAGTGACGTACTGGCATTTGACATACTGAGTCAAATCCTGACTCATTCCCCACTCTGGTCTAGTGTCACCTTATGAAATACAAAGGGCAATTCCACTCTTTTACTGTATCTTACAGAAAGGAGCTGGGAAGGCCAGCCCTAGAACCCCCTCCATGTGAGCCTCAGATGATCTTCAGCTGACAATCCTTTGCTGACACGCCCAGTGGTGAAAAGGATGTTTGTGAAGTGGCCCATTTCATAATTGAAAGTACTAGTGGTGAAGAAGGACTGCCTTTTATGTAGCTAAAGTTTCTCCCCTATAACTTTTTATTTTTATTTTTTGAGGCAGTGTCTCACTCTGTTGCCCAGGCTGGAATGCAATGTCACGATCACTGCTTACTGCAACCTCAACCTCCAGGGCTCAAGCGATCCTCCCACCTTAGCCTCCCAAGTAGCTGGGATCACAGGTGCCCACCACCAAGCCTGGCTAATTTTAAAAATATTTTGTAGAGACAAGGTCTCCCAGTTTTGCCCATGCTGCTCTATGAATTCCCGGGCTCAAGTGATCCTCAAGCCTTGGCCTCCTAAAGTGTTGGGATGACCCACTGGACTTGGCCACCCTCTGTAACATGTATCTCTTGGGATAATTCTGGGAGTGATACACAATCGGTCTACTATGGAGGCAGACAGATTTGCATTTTAATCCTGGCTCCATTAGTTGTTTTCCTTGGGCAACTTACTTAAACTCTCCAAAACTGGAAAGCATGGATAATATTGGCACCCACCGCATAAGGCTGTAGTAGGATTAAATGAAATAAGCATGTCAAGCACTTAACACAGGACACGTAATAGGTGTTTTGAGGCAATAGGTGTCTAGTCTTGTCCTTTCTTTCTCCTGATTTGGAGAAGGGTGATGATGAAATGGATATGTTGAGCCTCTGTCAGATTCGGAAATCTTTGAACCAGGCGTTCCAGTTAAACAGGCTGGTTCTTGACTGTAGAGTCAAACTACGATACTTATTACCTGAAGAGAATAGAAACTAGTGGGGATGTAGGGGGAGGGAAACACCAGGAAAGATCATCAAGTTTTTTGTTTTTGTTTTTTCTTTCTTTCTTTCTCTCTCTTTCTTTTTTTTTTTTTTTTTTGACAGGGTCTCACTCTCTCGCCCAGGCTGGAGGGCAGTGGCACGATCATGACTCACTGCAGCCTTGATCTCCTAAGGCTCGGGTGATCTTCCTGCCTCAGTCCCCCGAGTAGCTGGGACTACAGGTGTGTGCCAACACACCCAATTTTTGTATTTTCAGCAGAGAAAGAGTTTCGCCATGTTGCCCGGGCTGGTGTCAAACTCCTGTCTCAAGTAGTCCACTCGCTTTGGCCTCTCAAAGTGCTGGGATTACAGGTGTGAGCCATTGCGCCCGACCCATTAAGTTGTTTTCAGTTTTCTTCTGCAATAATGCACCCGAGGGATGTGATCCCCTTACATAACTACCAGTGGTTCACATGGACAGTGAACTCAGTGATTTTCCCCTGGAGTGGGAAGCAGGTGTCCTAAGTGTTCTGTGTAGTTTGTAAGTCATCTTGAGATCCCTGGGAAGTTCTGAGAGCCCTCTGGAAGCTTTTTTCTCTTTCTACTCTCTATTTTGGAATCACCAAAATAGATACTGGGAAACCCACTGCCTTCTTGACATTTCTATTGAAGACAAGTAGGACTGATTGCTTGTCTGATTGCAACAGGTCAAGGCAGCAGTTCTCAAAGTGTGGTCCCATGACCACGAGTATCACTTTGGAACTTATTAGAAATGCAAATTGTTGAGCCCCACCTAAACCTATAGCAATCCATGTTTTTTAGGGGTTGGTTTGTTTTTGTTTTTGTTTTTTGAGATGATCTTGGCTCACTGCAGCCTTGACCTCTCATCTCTCACCGAGTAGCTGGGACCCCAGGTGCACACCACCATGCCCGGCTAATTTATGTATTTTTTTTGTAGAAACAGGATCTTGCCACGTTGCCCAGGCTGATATCGAACTCCTGGACTCAAGTGATCCACCTGCATCAGCCTCTCAAAGTGCTGGGATTATACGAGTGAGCCCTGTACTTGGCCAGCAATTTGTGTTTTAAAAAGCCTTCCAGGTGATTCTGATGCATGCTAAAGTTTGCTTATCATCGGTGGGTTAAGAAAAGGGGAGAAAGACACATGAGCCAAATCATCACCCCATGTACAACCCTGGGCTTCCTCTGCCCTGCTTTTAGATTCAGATTCCTGCAGCCTCCATGCCTGATGCCCATCTGATGCTCTCGACGGATGACTTATTAGAGAGACTGAGTTCTGCCAGCACCATTTCTACCTTCACGCTGTGTAGGGAGGGGTTCCTGGTAAACTGTGCTTGCTTGCTAGGTCAATCAAGGACTGGCTTTATTTCTCTTACCCAAGACTTGAATGAATGTATTGTTCTCTTTGGACTAAGGAATATTCCAGCCTCTTTCCAACATTTACTAAATATAAGTTGTCCTTGACTATTTTGATGACATTGCTGTGATGGGTCAAACATGGATTAATGATGCTTTACTCAGTTTGAAATTGATTCACTTGGCCGGGTGTGGTGGTGCAAGCCTGTAATCCCAGCACTTTGGGAGGCCAAGGCAAGTGGATAATTTGAGGTCAGGAGTTCGAGACCAGCCTGGTCAACATGGTGAAACCCCTGTCTCTACTGAAAATACAAAAAATTAGCCAGGTATGGTGCCGGGCGCCCGTAATCCCAGCTACTCAGGAGCCTGAGGCAGGAGAATAGCTTGAACCCGGGAGGCAGAGGTTGCAGTGAGCTGAGATCACGCCACTGCACTCCAGCCTGGGTGACAGTGCGAGACTCCATCTCAAAAAAAAAAAAAAAGACAAGAAGAGAAAATGATTCACTTATTTCATTTCTACCCTTTATTATAGTATTATAGTTATTTTTCATTTTTCCACTGTTGGTTCAACCAACAAACACTTATTGGGAAGCTACTCAACTACTTATTGAGTTGCCTAAAAGGTATTATATTCCCAGTTTTACAGATGAGAAAGCTGAGACTCAGAGCCCAAGTCTATACTGTAAGTGGCAGAGCTGGGATTTGAACCTAGATCTGTCTGGCTGCAGTGCTCATGCTCATTCTGCTACATCAAGTTCATTCTGGGACACGTCTTCCTCAATAGAACTTTTTAAGGATAGAAACCATGACACTGCTGGTCATGGTGGCTCACGCCTATGATTCCAACACTTTGGGAGGCTAACAGCGGAGGTCAGCTTGAGTTCAGGAGTTCAGGACCAGCCTGGGCAACATAGTGAGACCTTGTCTCTACACAAAATTTAAAAAGGGGTGGCATGCACTTGTGGTCCCAGCTACTCAGGAGGCTGAGATGGGAGGATCACTTGACCCCAGGAGGTTTGAGGCTGCAGTGAGCTATGATAGTGCCACCCCACTCCAGCCTGGGCAACACAGCAAGACCCTGTCTCAAAAAAAGGAAAAGAAAAGATAAAGATAAAAGAAACCGTGACACCTAGCAAGGTATTTTATACATTGTAGAATTTGAATAATGTTTGTTTAATGAATATAAAATGTGTTTTTAGAATAATTCAGGTTGATAGGCTGATAATATGGGCTACTAACTATGAACATCGGAGGTATTAGAAATACTCGGTTTGGGTTTCATAAAATGGTGGGAAAGTACCCCTCATCTCATGGGATGGAGTACAAAATTCACAGATGTAAGAATTAATGAGGGAGAAAGAGTGTTTGTATGGGGAGAGAGTGTTGAATAGGTACTAAACCAAATTTAGATTCTAATTTAGAAAATTTTTAAGGTTGCTTCTTGCTCTTTTCTGTACCTATGCACTTCAATTTAAAAAGTTACAAATAGCGAATACTGAATTTCTGCCTGTCAATAGGCATTTTACCAGGTCAAGCCATTTTTCTCAGAAGACGTGTAATATTTACTGCCTTGTATAATAATCAGAGATATTATGCATCCATAAATAGTTGACGGGCAATGTTATTTCTCCGAGCAATGTTAATTCTCCGAATTGGAAAAGAGGAAAAGCTGTAGCAATGAGTACCACCTAGTGGCTACTCAGAAGATGTGACAATTTAGCCAACCTGCTTCATTAGGAAAGGTTCAGCTTGCTATCAGTTGTAACTGTGATGGGCTTTCCGCACACAGAAGTTTGATTTCCAGCGGGACCCCATTTTCACATCCAGAAAAATTGAGTCCAAATAACTAATGACAAGTAATCACAGATTTGAGTTAGAAGTAAAGCCATATCTTGGACTTAACAGTGTGGAATGGGGAAATGTGAATAATAATGTTTCCTTCTTTGCCATTTTTTCCCCCTGAAAAAGTATAATGTTAGTGCCCAATCCGTGATCATTCGCCTTCCAGATGAGGAAGTGGGAGAAGATATGGCCCAAGATCTGAAAATGAAAATTCTTAAAGGGAATTGCTCATAAGAGGCTGACAAATTCTACTTTTAAAATGTTTGATGTGGGCCGGGCGCGGTGGCTCATGCCTGTAATCCCAGCACTTTGGGAGGCCGAGGCGGGCGGATCACCTGAGGTTGGGGGTTCGAGACCAATATGGAGAAACCCCGTCTCTACTAAAAATATAAAATTAGCCGGGCGTCGTGCTGCATGCCTGTAATCCCAGCTACTCGGGAGGCTGAGGCAGGAGAATTGCTTGAACCCAGGAGGTGGAGGTTGCAGTGAGCCGAGATCGTGCCATTGCACTGCAGCCTGGACAACAAGAGTGAAACTCCGTCTCAAAAAAAAAAACAAAAAAACAGTTTGATGTAATTATGGACTTAAAGAAAATTTGCAAGAAAAAGACAAAGAATTCTTGATACACTGCATATATTTCACTCAGTTTTCCCATATATGAACATGTTACCATGCTTGCTTCTCCTTTCTCATTCTCTCTTTCCCCATCCTCCACACACATGTGCGTGTGCACACACACAAACACACACGCACACACAAGTTTGAGAGTAAATTATAGACATAATGCCCTTTTGTTCCTAAATACTTCAATACGTATTTTCTAAAAAACAAGGATATTCTCTTATCAAAGTCAGAAATTTATCAGCAATCCAGTACTATCATCTAATGAACAGACCATATTACAATTTCACCAATTATACCACTGACAGCCTTTATAGCAAAAGGAAAAAAATTATGGTCCAGGATTAGCTTTCAATTTTTTTCTTTTTTTGCTTCAGAACATTTATATCAAGTCAAATTTCTTTAGTCTCATTTAACCTGGAACAATTTTTTTTTTTTTTGGGGGACAGAGTCTCACTTTGTCACCCAGTGGTATGATCTTGGCTCATTGCAACCTCTGCCTCCTGGGCTTAAGTGATCCTCCTGCCTCAGCCTCCCAAGCAGCTGGGATTACAGGCATGCAACACCATGCCCGGGTAATTTTTGTAATTTTTTTTTTTTGTAGAGATGAGGTTTGGCTATATTGCCCAGGCTAGTCTCGAACTCCTGAGCTCAAGTGATCCGCCCACCTCCACCACCCACAGTGCTAGGATTACAGGTGTGAGTTACTGCACCTGGCCAAACCTGGAACAATTCTTTAGTTTTTCTTTGCCTTTTATTTCCTGGCCAAAAAAACCTGAGCAACAAAATAAATAATAAATTATAACCCATAGGGAAGAAAAGCTGCCAAGAATCCATAGGTTCTAATTGATATGTGTGTGTGTGTGTGTGTGTGTGTATGCGTGTGTGTGTGTGTGTATGCATGAATACATGAATTAGGAATAAGGGAAAGCTCTTCTGAAGAGAATGTCAACTAATAAATGGAGAAGGAATTGTGGAATTTTAAAAAATCACCATTTGAGGCCGGTGCAGTGGCTCATGCCTATAATCCCAGCACTTTGGGAGGCCAAAGTGGGCGGATCACATGAGGTCAGGAGTTGAAGACCAGCCTGACCAACATGGAGAAACGCCATCTCTACTAAAAATACAAAATTTGCTGAGTGTGGTGGCATATGCCTGTAATCCCAGCTACTTGGGAGGCTGAGGCAGGAGAATCACTTGAATCCAGGAGGCGGAGTGTTGCGGGAAGTCAGGGACCCCGAATGGAGGGACCTGCTGAAGCCGTGACAGAAGAACATAAATTGTGAAGATTTCATGGACATTTATCACTTCCCCAATCAATACCCTTATAATTTCCTATGCCTGTCTTTACTTTAATCTCTTAATCCCGTCATCTTTGTAAACTGAGGATGTATGTTGCCTCAGGACCCTGTGATGATTGCGTTAACTGCACAAATTGTTCATAAAGCATGTGTGTTTGAACAATATGAAATCTAGGCACCTTGAGAACAGGATAAGAATGATTTTCAGGGAACAAGGGAGATAACCTTAAAGTCTGGCTGCCTGTGGGCCGGGCAGGACAGACCCATATTTCTCTTATTACTGAAAACGGGTAAGATAAATATCACTGAATTCTTTCCCCAGTAAGGAATATTAATAATTAACAGCCCTGGGAAAAGAATGCATTCCCGGGGGGGGGGCCTCTAAAATGGCTGCTCTGGGGGTGTCTGCCTTATGCAGCTGCAGATAACAGATGAAACACGCCCTGGCCACCTGCAGTGCCCCCAGGCTTCCTAGGATTAGGAAATTCCAGGCTGGCAAATTCTAGTCAGACTGGTTCTCTGCTCTTGAACCCTGTTAAGATGTTTATCAATGACAATGCATGCACAGCAGGACATGGAAGTTCATTAGTGATTCTAGTTTCGCCCTGACCTTGTGATCTCGCCTTGACCTTCTGCCTTGTGATCTTTTGTCACCCTTGAAGCATGTGATCTCTGTGACCCACACCCTATTCGTACACTCCCTCCCCTTTGAAAATTGCTAATAAAAACTTGCTGGTTTTACGGCTCAGGGGGCATCATGGAACCTGCCGACATGTGACGTCTCCGCCGGACACCCAACTTTAAAATTTCTCTCTTTTGTACTCTTTCCCTTTATTTCTCAGACCAGCAGACACTTAGGGAAATAGAAAAGAACCTACGTTGAATTATCGGGGGCAGGTTCCCCCGATAGCGGAGTTTTTGGTGAGCCAAGATCGTGCCATTGCACTCCATCCTGGGCAACAACAGTGAAAAAAAAAATCACCATTTGACAATGTTAGTAATAATCAGGCAAAAAATACACAGTTTGAAAGGGGTCTCCCCACAAAAACACGTATTAATTACAAAAAGAAAAACAGTAATTTTACGTTGAAGAAACTGGCAGACACCACCTTAACAAAAGATCAAAGTTAATCTCACTAGTAATGAGATGAACAGGCAATGTGTAGTTCCTGATATCATGCACTGAGAAAGACACAGTATCACTTCTATGATATCCCTCCCAAAAATGCATAACCGAATTTAAAAATAAGAAAACATTAGACTAACTTAAATTGAAGGACAATCTGTTAAATAAATGACTTATACTTTTAGAATCCTGCTTTGTAAACAAAACTTAGTGCTCCCTACAGCCCTACTGGCACATGGGACTGGATGGATGTGTTAGGGTGCATGAGGGAGATCAAGTTCTTCAGGGTAAAGTCCAGGTCTTTTTTTTTTAATTTAACTTGCACACAATGTGTGCACAGGGAGAATCACAGGGTGATTGCTCCTAGGTCTTTTTTGATCTGGGAACACTGAGTCGCTCTCTCAGGAGATGACTGTGCCCATCTGATCGTACTAGTCATGCCAGGGACAGAGGTGCTGTGCCTACCTGCCACTCCCATGGCTACAGCCACTGACACCAGGGGCCATGAGACCACATCTCTATTGTAAGGTGTTTGGCCAAGGCCTTGAACTCTAGAGGGAGTACTCTAGACTTTGGGGGCACTTTCCAAAAGGCATCACTACCTTTTGGAAGCAGACAAAAGGAATCACTACACAGTGCAGAAGGCAGGAATATCTTTGCTCTGGGGAGTAAGAACTGGGAAGTTAAGCTGGTTCAGGAAAAGAAAAGTGTATTTTTATAATAACAATGTAAGACAACTACTGAGTGGAGTTCAGTCTTTCTGAGGTGGGTTGGAAGAAGAGGAGGAGACATTGTAGCTACAACCCTTTCCTAATGCATTTCCTGGCTTCCTCATGCCACCATTAGGCTCCTAACCAAGTCTAGAGGATGGGTCCAGATGGGGGATGGGCTTCCATCTTGGAAGCATCTCTGACTCCAGGGCAATAGGCTTTCCTGTCTCCTCTGGGGGAACAGTGAGAAGGACATAGCCTCTTGGGTTGTTTTCTAGTGACCTATGGAATGACAAGCTCCAGTGCTTATTACTACACCAAAGTGATGTCTGAGCTCTTCTTACATACTCCATCAGACACTGGAGTCTCCTTTCAGGCCATCAGCAGCATGGCGGACTTCTGGGATGTGAGTATAAGATCTTTTCTACCCCTCCCCTCTCTTTCTCAATGGCCTGAGGCCACAGGTCAGACAACGGATCAGACCTTATGCTGGGAAATCAAATCAGTCAGGGATCAGACTGAGTCAAAGGGCCAGGCTGAATTAATGGGTTAGTCTAGAGTTCAGGTGGAGGTGGGTAAGGGATTAATACAGCAATCAGGGAATTAAACCAGGAGTTAGATTAGTATCGGGAGTCAGAGGTAAGGCTGAACTTCAAAACGAATTTTAAATAAAGAGTAGGGCCACTTCAGGTCAGACTCTGGTCAAGGTTCATTGGTCAATGGAGGAGTTTTAAAAAGCAGGCCGGGCACGGTGGCTCACACTTGTAATCCCAGCACTTTAGGAGGCTGAGGCAGACAAATCACCTGAGGTCAGTTGTTCAAGACCAGCCTGGACAACATGGTGAAACCCTGTCTCTACTAAAAATACAAAAATTAGCTGGGCATAGTGATGCATGCCTGAAATCCCAGCTCCTCGGGAGGCTGAGGCAGGAGAATCGCTTGAACCTGGGAGGCAGAGGTTGCAGAGGTTGCGGTGAGCCGAGATTGTGTCACTGCACTCCAGCCTGGGTGACAAAGCGAGACTCTGTCCCTTAAAATAATAATAATAATAATAATAACAATAATTTTTTAAAAAGCAGACTGGAGACAAGCTGGGGAGTCAGAGGATGAGGGCAAAGGTCATTCTAAAGGTAGGGGGTCAGGAGGAGGCTGGGTAAGGTTCAAGCCAGCTTGTGGTTCAGTTTGCCCAGGGCCCACTACTGGACAGTTTGTATTGGACCAAATGGTACAACAACCAGAGCCTGGGCCATGGCTCCCACTCCTTCATCTACTATGAGAACATGCTGCTGGGGGTTCCGAGGCTGCGGCAGCTAAAGGTCCGCAATGACTCCTGTGTGGTGCATGAAGACTTCCGGGAGGACATTCTGAGCTGCTATGATGTCTACTCTCCAGACAAAGAAGAACAACTCCCCTTTGGGCCCTTCAATGGCACAGCGTGAGTGAGCCTGTCCTACCAATATCACAGGGCTTGCCCCTCTAAACCTGACACCATCCCAAGGTCTGGGAACCACTTCCACTGAGGCTTAAAGAGCCTCAGAGCTCTTTAAGGGACTTCTGGGGGCATCTCCCTGAATCCCAGCTGTGACTGTTTGGGGACCTTGGTCTGTGTCACTCAGGAACAGAGGAGGTAGGTTAGCAAACACAGCAATAGCCTCCAGACTTGTTCCCACAGACAGGTTGCAATCACACTTGTCCTACCTTGCACGTAGTCCTTCCAGGGAAAGCTTCCTTTCTTGCCTAGAAGTTGGTTAGGGGTATACAAAATGGGTGAAATTGAAGAACCCAACCCTTGAGATTGATACGTGGAGCAGCAAGGGGTCAAGGATGGATGACAAATTAGGGAGGAAGGGGGAAAGGGTGGACAGGACAGAAGAGGGAGGAAATAAGCACCCAGGGTAGAAAGTTTAGTGGATAGAATGGAGAAACATGGGGTGAAGGAGCCTGATGTGCAATCACAGAGCTGGAGGATCTTTTCCTCCTGGTCCAGGTGCTTCCCTTAGGGGGACTATTCAAGGTGGGCCAAAAGTGGGGCTTGGCTTTGTCATCCAAATCTTTGAGTGACATAGTGAAAAATCAGATTTACATTTGAGTTTCAGTTCTGTCATTTATAGCTGGATTATCTCGGTAACCTCTTTCATAGTTTCCTCTTCTGCAAAATGTGGATAATATTCACTCTCCCTTCTCAAATGGTTGTTAGTATCAAACAGAATAATAAATGATACATTATATATGTATATATCACATATCTCATACACACACACACACACACACACACACACACACACACACACACAATATGTAAACCTGTAAAGCCCAGACAATGATAAAGCATTGCCATTGCCTTGGGAGATGAACTTTTGGGCTGGCTCAGCTGGCATTTTCTGTGGCAGGTGGACATACCACTCGCAGGATGAGTTGGGGGGCTTCTCCCACTGGGGCAGGCTCACAAGCTACAGCGGAGGTGGCTACTACCTGGACCTTCCAGGATCCCGACAGGGTAGTGCAGAGGCTCTCCGGGCCCTTCAGGAGGGGCTGTGGCTGGACAGGGGCACTCGAGTGGTGTTCATCGACTTCTCAGTCTACAATGCCAATATCAATCTTTTCTGTGTCCTGAGGTGAGCCCCCTTTCCCTACTTTATCACCCTGTCCATGGCTCCTGGTTCCCGTCTCTTGTGCATGAGACCCTTCCCTAAACTCCTACCCTGTGGTGGGGGTGGAGAGGAGAGGAAGTGGGAGGAGCCGTCCCAGCGAAGGCTCCACTGGAGGTCATCTCCCCCTCCCCCTATAGGCTGGTGGTGGAGTTTCCAGCTACAGGAGGTGCCATCCCATCCTGGCAAATCCGCACAGTCAAGCTGATCCGCTATGTCAGCAACTGGGACTTCTTTATCGTTGGCTGTGAGGTCATCTTCTGCGTCTTCATCTTCTACTATGTGGTGGAAGAGATCCTGGAGCTCCACATTCACCGGCTTCGCTACCTCAGCAGCATCTGGAACATACTGGACCTGGTGGTCATCTTGGTGAGGGACAGATATCTAGGACTTGGGACATTCTGGGGTGAGGAGGGAGTTCCACCCTAATAGGGGCTCCAGGTTCTTCCTTTTGGAGCCCTAAGCCCTCCTTCTGACTTTTGGTCAAATCATCATTTAACAGCTCCCTAAGTGAGAGGGACATGTTCCCCTCTCTCAGCCCTTGGGAAACCCTGTCTCTCACATCTCCTCTCCTCCTCACCTGTCATCTGAGCCCTGTGTTTTTTTTTTTTAGTGTACTATATTCTGCTCCTCTCTTGTCTTTTGTCTTTATGACCTGTTCTGTGGAAACCCATGCCTTTTGTCTTCTATTCAAATATTCTGCCCCTTCATCTTCATCTCCCTCCTATTAACAAGACACATTCAATTCCTGACCAAAGCTTGGAAGTGGTGGGAGCGGAAGGAAATGACTGGTTCCAGTTCCCTACAGCCCTTTACAATCTATACATTAATATTTACCATTGTCCCCAATGCCTTCTCTTGGGCTTTGGAACACTTAAGATGCTCCCCAGTCATCCTACCAAGTTCCATTTGAAACTGAGATAGTGAACAAGTCAGCAAGGATGGCTTTTTTCCCACCTGTCTTACCTACCCTGACTCTCCCTTGGGGCCTCATCTTGGAACTTCCCTTGAGATCCCCTTGCCTTCTCTGACACCCCCATGACCCCTGTGTGACAGCTCTCCATTGTGGCTGTGGGCTTCCACATATTCCGAACCCTCGAGGTGAATCGGCTCATGGGGAAGCTCCTGCAGCAGCCAAACACGTATGCAGACTTTGAGTTCCTCGCCTTCTGGCAGACACAGTACAACAACATGAATGCTGTCAACCTCTTCTTCGCCTGGATCAAGGTACCTGGGATTCCCACACCCAGCTTTGCTTCAAGGCGCACTCATTCTCCCTTCTTTTCTTTTCTTTTTTTTCTTTTTTTTTTTTTTGAGATGGAGTCTCGCTCTTGCCCAGGCTGGAGTGAAGTGGGGGCGATCTTGGCTCACTGCAACCTCCACCTCCTGAGTTCAAGTGATTCTCCTGCCTCAGCCTCCTGAGTAGCTGGGACTACAGGCACCCACCACCACGCCTGGCTAATTTTTGTATTTTTTGTGGAGACGGGGTTTCACCATGTTGGCCAGGGTGGTCTCGAACTCCCAACCTCAGGTGATCTGCCTACCTCAGCCTCTCAAAGGGCTAGGATTACATGCATGAGCCACCGCCCCTGACTTTTTTTTTTTTTTTTTTTTTTTGAGACGAAGTCTCACTCTGTTGTCTGGCTGGAGTACAATGGCACGATCTCAGCTCACTGCAACCTCTGCCTCCCGGGTTGAAGCAATTCTCCTGCCTCAGCCTCCTGAGTAGCTGGGATTACAGGCATGCACCACCACACCCAGCTAACTTTTTGTATTTTTAGTAGAGACGAGGTTTCACCATGTTGGCCAGGCTGGTCTCGAACTCCTGACCTTGAGCCATCCACCTGCCTCAGCCTCCCAAAGTGCTGGGATTGCAGGAGTGAACTGCCGTGCCTGGCTTTTTTTTTTTTTTTTTTTTTTAATGGTCCCAGTATGTCCCTCAATCAGTTGCCCAGACTGGAGTGCAGTGGTGCAATCTCAGCTCACTGCAACTTCTGCCTCCCAGATTCAAGTGATTCTCTGCCTCAGCCTCCCAAGTAGCTGGAATTACAGGTGCGTGCCACCATGCCCAGCTAATTTTTGTATCATTCTCCCTTCTTCAATATGTGTCTCATTTTCTTTGTCTGGCTTGGCAACTCCTGTGGCCTCCATAGGCCCTTGGCATGGACTTTTCAATGCTTTTCCCTTTTCCTTCTTCATCCCTTGGTTCAACATGGTCCTTCCAGATATTCAAGTACATCAGCTTCAACAAAACCATGACCCAGCTCTCCTCCACGCTGGCCCGCTGTGCCAAGGACATCCTGGGCTTCGCCGTCATGTTCTTCATTGTTTTCTTCGCCTATGCCCAACTCGGCTACCTGCTTTTCGGGACCCAAGTGGAAAACTTTAGCACTTTCATCAAGTGCATGTGTGTGTCCTGTCCCCTTCACTCCTCCCTGGCCCCTCACCCTC
The DNA here is from genome assembly GCF_000001405.40 of Homo sapiens. NCBI lineage: Eukaryota > Metazoa > Chordata > Mammalia > Primates > Hominidae > Homo > Homo sapiens. The sequence goes on along the minus strand of NC_000010.11, from coordinate 100,294,897 downwards.
CAGCTCCACGGGTGTATGTATCCTTGGGGAAGATGGGTACGTGCGTGTCTGCATGTCTGTGTTCAAAGCATCTGTGTGAGGGTCTCCAGAAGCCCTGGTGTGTGTGCTTAAATAATCTAAGCACCCTGCCCTGTGTCTATCAGATTGGGGTGAACGTGTGGTGAGGGGTCTCTCTGTGATTAGGAAAGTGGGATGGGGGGTGTTTGTTAGGCTCTGGGTAAAGCCCAGACCTGGTCTCTCAGTTTCACTCAGTTCCGGATAATCCTCGGGGACTTTGACTACAATGC